>NT_187654.1:0-318687 GCF_000001405.40 Homo sapiens | reverse complement strand
AATTTATTTGTACTTTTACTGACTTCTGGGAAAATAATGTTTGACTACATGAGGATGAAGGTATAATGTTTCAAATGAAAGGCCAAGTAAATTAAAATATTTATTGAAGGGCTATGGGATTAAAAAAGAAAAATATATAAAGCTTTGTTTTCGCTGGTTATAAGTGTATCTTGAAAAGAAATACAGTAAAGGAAAGACATGAAAAACAATGCATGAAACACAGTCCTGATGTGTGCTGGGGGGAGGGTTGTCCTCAAGAGCTGCACTGTGCCCCTGGGGAGACTGCAGAGCAATACTCAGAGTATCCAGGCAAGGAGTGCATAGAAAGAAGGTGCAGAGACATGAGGCAGCAGGATTTCTCACTGAGAGGGGTGAGACTAGCTGGTCACAGGCAAGAGAAAGAAGGGCAGGTGCAACTGATCAAGGAGGTGGAAGGCAGGGAGCAACTGCTCAGAGTGGTGACGTGTGGTCCACCTCCCCGGACTGGTCCACCTTCTCTAACTGGTCACTTCCCCAGACTGGTCTACCTCCTGGACTGGTCCACCTTCTCTAACTGGTCACTTCCCCAGACTGGTCTACCTCCTGGACTGGTCCACCTCCCGGGACTAGTCCACCTCCTCGGACTGGTCACCTCCCCGGACTGGTCCACCTTCTCCAACTGGTCACTTCCCCAGACTGGTCTACCTCCCGGACTGGTCCCCTCCCTGGACTGGTCGCCTCCCCGGACCGGTCCACCTCCTAGACCGGTCACCTCCCTGGATGGACTGGCTTGCACTGCTTCCTGGCAGTTGCAGGCTCACTGGGGACTGGAACCCACTTGTCCTCCTGGAGTTTCATCACCAAGTCCACATCCCACCCTGTCTCACTGGAGCCAGGATCCATAAGGTCCCGTGAGCTAATGTGCGTCTCTTTTCAATGCAACTCAAAAGAGCGTAAAACAACCGTTAACTAAATACTGTAGGATTTATTAATTAAAAACTCATTTAATCTATACCATTTTGCATACATATTAAATCTGTAACCTTAATAAATGTCCATTACTTCTTAAAATATAGAGAAATTGAGGATATTTCAACAATGAAATATATAATGGAGGAAGAGTGTAATTTTTTTTCGGATAAAACTCTTTGGTCTATATAATTTTTCTGAGATTAAAATAACACGAGAATTCACTCCAATAAAAAAGTAAACATTACTTTTCTCAAAAAATTTAATTGCCAAACTATTTACAGGAGGTGAACATCAGCGATACAGAAGTCAAATGGAGGCATCGTCACAGGACGGTTATGGCGGAAACGGTGCACAGTTTCTTACAGTCAGCTGAGAGTGAAAAAAAGTCATGGGAAAAAAGAACACAAATAAAGCAATCCTTAACTGCCTTAAAGGAATGACCAACATTCTGGTAAGTTATTAAGAGGAAGTAAGAAATTGTCGTGGTGATGAATAGCATATTGCACATTCAGATTAGGTATCCTGCATGCTACTAAATAGAATTTATCAAAAGAACCATAAAAGCGTGAGAAAGAGAATGACATAAAATAGTTGAATTCCAGTGAATGACTTTGTACAGATGCTGAATATTTGGCACTCTGCTCATCCTCACACTCGATATGATTTCATATTTATATTTATATATATATTTATATACTTCTTTAAAACTTTAAACAGCTAGTTTCCTGGTTCTAACATTCCTTGAATTTCTATAGGAGGCATTTAATATAGTCCTTAGGCCACACCTGGGTATTTTGGTCTGTAGTATGGAAGGTCGGGGGATGAGTTGTCTCTCTCTGCAGGGAGGACCTGTCCTGCCCGAGAGCGAAGTGGCTTACCGTTCGGAAGGAAGCGTTCGAAAGTAGCCTAGGTCTCACTGCTCGTAAGGGGAAGCCTTGTCGAGTTCAGCAAACGAGTTAAAAAGTGGAGTGAGGGGAACATTCGTGCTGAGCCCTTTGAAAGTGATATGATTGTATTATTTAAATGAGTGGGGCTGGGGCATGGTAGTGTTTTGGGGGTAAATCAGAGAATGCGTGAGTGGCTTCCATAAGGTACCACGATCAAGCTGGGAGCGTCCTTTGTCGTACTGGCAGACACAAGCCAACACACTCTCTAGGGAGACCATGGTCTACTTGAAAGAGATAAATTTGAACTTAAATTTGTCCAAGAAACCTGGTGTCAATCTTTTCATTCATTATCACCTCTCCTCCATTGAGTAGGTGAAAGCTTGGATGCCCAAGGCTTTCAGGTTCTGAATAAGCACCAATGAAAAGAGTTACATAAAATCTAAGAAAGTAGGGAGGTAAACCTCTGTCAACTTGTGTGTGTATATACAAAATCTGTTAAAAAGTAGTTTGATAGTAGGTAACGAACATTTCTTCTGCAAAGAAGTCATCTGTTAAGTGTTTACATTGAAACTTGAAATAATTTATTTTAACACTGGATAAAAACGCCAGGGTTAGGACAGCAATTCATAAAATTGTGGACATTTTTCAATGTGGCAAGGATGAAAGACGGCTGTTTCCCGGAGCTTTCCCACGGACCACCTCTGCCTTCTCTCAAGTGCGAAGTAGAAAAATTACAAACGCCTGGAATTAGAGGGGTGGGCTTCTCAAACCCTTGCGTGGTTTGAGTCAGTGTGTCTGATTTCGTTCCTGATGTTTCCCCACCCATGCGGTTTTCGGCTTCCAAATAATTTTTTTTCCTTCATCATTTTAATGTTTAGTTTATCTCCTCATTTCATCTAAGAGGCGATTGAGCTTAAGTAATGGTGAAAACGTGGCCTAATTCTGGTTGGTGCTGGGTTCTTGTTCTTGGAAGCATCTAGAAACAGTTGAAAGCCAGAAGCTAAGGAGAATGGCCCTTGTAGTTATTTCTGCATTTCCAAACCTTTCCAAAGACAGTCTCATGGCCTCTGCCTCTGGTGGTCCCTGATTATCTCTGAGATGTTTACGACCAGCCTGGATTCTGGCAGCGTGCCCTGCAGAGCTGGGAGGGCGGCATTCTAGAAGAGGCCAGGGACTAATCCTTAGCAGTAACGCACACTTTCACCACCTGTTCCCAGGAGCTCAAAGGACTTTAGAGCCAATATGTCATTAATCCTCACAGTGTGTCCTGGAGGAAGACAGGGACAGGAACTGTAATCCCCTTTCTAGAGGAAAAAAACTGAGACATAAACTTGAGATGAGTTGCCGGCTGAGGATGAATAAAAGCCAGGTTGCCTAACAGCCTAGAGATTCCTAGCAATATCTCCTTCATTTCCAGAACATTCTGCTGCCACCCTGCACTGGGGGACATTCAGCCGAATGTGTAGAAGCAAACCCTTTCCTTTAGCACTTTGTTTATGGCCAACAATGTATTGCAACTCCCAACTAATAGCGACAAGATGGGGCTCCTGCAGGGAAGCCATGGGCTCTGAGCTGACCTTATGTGGTGTGTGTCATGGCTGCCACATGGCCCTGAATGAAGCACACTGCATTGACCCAGCCCACAGAGTTACAGATCCTAATCAGAAAGGGGTCATCTTTTTCACCTCTTAAGCTCGTGGTTTTCTATTTTAAAGTTTTGGAAACTTGTATTCAACCCACGCCTACAGAGAAGTGTAAACAGACATGCAGATCAAAACAAGAGAACCCTGGAACATTCCCAGGGGCTGTCGTCTGAAAACTGCAGTTTTAAATTAGCCTGTTAAATTTGCAGCTAAAAAAAAAAATGAAGTTCAGGCTTGAGAAGAAGAGGGCTGGGAAATGAGCAGGCAGGAACCATGTGGAGTTTAGTTATTTCGGCCCGTGTTGGAGAAGCGTGTTTCTGTGCTCACAGGTGGGGCAATTTCAGTTTTCAGTGTGGGCCAAAGGCAGTATCCAGGGGCCCTCCCCGAACCAGCGCTGTTTTGGACAATGCTTTTATGTCCGTACCAGCGCACACCCTCTCACACATTTCCCGCTGCCTTTCCCAGGTTCGTGGGGGGCCCTGTCATCAAGGGTGGCCCTGCTGGTGACTGGGGTACCCAGGCTGACTCAGCCACGGCACGGGGGCCTCCTGTCCACTGAAACACCCCGGGGAACCTGCCAGAATTCCAAGCAAGGCTGACTGATGAAACGCAGCGGAAACAAAAGCTGCATCTCCCAGGAGGTCCCCTGGCCCCTTCATGCTCAGGACCACAGGAGGCTTGGCTTGATGGAATTGCTGCCGATAGAAAAGGCCTTCCTGAGGGAGACTTGGACCCACCTCCCCCACTCCCTACTCGCCCCTCGAAGGTTTGGCACAAACCAGACAACTGTCCCTAACAGAGCTCATTCCACAGTTACCACAGGCGCTGCAAACACAGGCCTGCAGTATCCCTTCACTTTCCTGTGAAATTCCATCCTGGACTCGGGTAGCGATGCTTACAAGGATCTAACAAAAACAGAGATGCGCGAATTTACGGATGCAGGGCCTTCTAATGAAAGGGGTGGAAACGGTGGCTGCTTAATATGGCATCGAAAAGGCAAAAATCAAGACAAGGACATATGCTCCAAGAGAAATAATCAGAACCTGTGCACATGTGTGCTCTGCCACTGTGTCTTCTAATAATAAACCTGGCCACTTTCATAAGAAGCAGCAGGGAAAAATTCCCTCTGCGTAGTAGGTCACTGAGTTTGTAGGCTTTTTTTTTTTCTTTTAAAACCAGATAACCTTACAGGTAATTATATTTTTATCTGACCATTTACCTTTCCATTAAGTGCTTGAAGTTTTTAGAATTGATTTGGAGTTGAAAACATCAACATTTCCTTTTAAACAAAACTGTAATTTTTTTGGTATCATAAACAGTTCAATTTTTTTATATACCATTCTAAGATGGTGATATAAATTTGCTGAGAAAACTATGGTAAAAATTGTCATCGATAACAACTAGTTTTACTTCAAACACAACAACACGTGAAGATGCGAGAGACGCATCACAAGGAAAGCACTCTAGGTGACAAGCAGCATTCTCCTTTCCCGGGCTAAACGCTAGGTCCTGTTTATCATACTTGTGTTTTATTAACCACAGCCTTCAACACAGCAGGATCAACCTGTCGGCTCTAAGGAGAGTGTCTGGGTTTCACCTGTCATTGGCTGTATCATTAGGGAATGTAGGTATGGGGTTATAGTGAACATCACACTCTCTAGGATGATGTTCCTAGAACAGCACAATAATTTTCAGCCGTGTTCTCCAATGGATGTTTACTCTTTTCTTGAAGTTATATTTTAAATATGACGAAATGGTCACACGTCGTGAGCTCCATGGCATGATCTGCTAGAAGTGGCTGAAATAAGCTAGCTCGAGTGACTAACACAAGTATCATAAACAGTTTTATTTTTCTTTACATGTACAATACAGAAACATGGCTTATCTTCTGCGTTTCATGGTAGAATGTCACCTGCATGAGAACTGAGTATATTGCACTTGATTATGTAACACGGACAGGTAACATTCCATCAGGTCTAGCAGCAGGTATCCGTTCTACCATTAAATCATCTTCTTTGGAACATGGCGGACCAGGCAGGGCGTGTGCACATTCACCACGTCGAGTCACCAACCCTGTGCAATGTAGTGGTAGGTTAATCTGCTCCCCTAGGGATGGTTTAGGCCAAGACTTTTGGGGATTGAAAAATAACAATGAGTCTACAAAACATAAGAAATCAACCTACATGCAGTGAACATTTTCTTTTAAGCAGGGATCATAGAATCTGGGATCTGAGACAAATAATTATTGACTACTTTAACAGTTTGCTTTTCTATGTTTTGTATAAGCTCAAGGAAATGAGTTAAACGTATCAGCTGCCAGTAGATAGACCAATGTGAGGAGGTGGCGGGCCTTTATCCACATTACATTTCCTTTCACTCAGAGTGTACACTGACTTTGCTTTTCTGTGGTTACTTCTAAACAGCAGAGTTCATCTGAAATCATACAGCATTTTTAAAGTCTAAAATGCCAATACTCGCAAATACATTTGTTTTAACATAATAAGAGTGGATATAGGAAGAAGCGTCATTACCGTACACTACTCAAGATTTAGGTATTCATTTAGGTAGAAAAATGCCTTGAACACTCTGGGGAAATAGGATTCATTTATAGAAGAATATTTCAGGGATTTTTTTTTTTTTGCATTTTTCAAGGAGATACATTCGTACTGATTTTTGCTTCCAAATATATTTTAAGGCTGTTTGGTAAAATATATACCAGACATGAGGCTCAATTTACAGGGTTTTGTTTTTACAGGGAATTCTTAACTACTCAGCTTTAAAAAAGTAAAACTTCGAAGCTAAACATGCTTTAATATCAGCTCTGCTCCCAATGGTCCCATGCTCAGTGGGATGTGGGGAATGAGGCAGGGAGACACCGCAGCTCTGGAGGGCGCGCTGGGGGCCAACCGCACATCGAACGCCCTGCCAGCCACGGGCTGCAGAGGGGCTGGGGACATTGTAAAGTGCAAATCAAGGCGAAGAAACAAAGTGCTATGGGGTCATCGAAAGCTATTCTGCCTGTGGCTAAGTACATGGTACTCCTTAAGCCGGGAAGGAAGACCAGGTATTGGGGTGGAAACATCTTAAATCGCAGTCCGCTTTTACTTTGAGTAATAATGAGAACTCTGAAACTGGAACCCATGGAAAAATCGGACAGGCTTTTCCTTTGAAGACCGGTCTGAACTGTGAAACAGAAGTCGTGTCAGAACAATGGTTGCAGCAGCTAAATTTAATTATATACACAGAAAGCCTATTAATTAGAGTCGTTCCTATTTTCCTCTGGCACCGACCACAGAGTCATGAACACCAATTTTTTTTTTGAATGCTACAGCTGGAAATCACAATATGTGACCTCTTTTTCCCTTCATGTCTAACACAGGCAAGGAATATATTCTCGACTTTAGCAATACTGCATAGGACAAAAGAATTCTGGAAAAATACAAATGTAAACTACATTTCTTCTTTACCATTTAAACTGAGATATACTTACCACTCACATTCATATTTCTTAAACTTTTTACATCACAACTGTCATTTTAAACAAGCAAACTTTTGTTTTTCGTGTGTGTTTTTTTTTAAGGATACCCTGAAAAGTCAGCTGATAGAGCAATTTGAGAATATATATATATACATACATTAAAAAAATCACATGTAGCGTAAATGGTGAAACTTAAAGAAAATACTGGGTGTCGTATTTTAAGTTAGAAAGAAATAAAAAATACAATAACTGTTTACAAGTAAGGACATTGTTTTCCTTTTAAGCTCCCAGCCCTCCGTAAGACTCTCCTCTCTGCGCGTGACTTCCTGGTGGGAACACTCAGCTTATCTTTTGAATGTGTAGATGCTGCGCTGGGTATTTTCGTGGGTTCAGACTTGTCATCGCCTGGGATTCTGGAGAACTGTACGGCGGGGAGTGTGGTGGTTGGAGAGGTCGCTTTCCATCACAGGAAGCTTGACACAAGGAGCCTCGTGTTTTCTGTCCGAGACAGACAGGAGCAGGGGAGCGGAGCGGCCCGTGCTCAGGGAGTAAAAGCTCGGCTGTGCGAGGGGAATGGGCCTTTCTTTCCTGCGCTTCAGGTTGTAGCACCTTCCACTTGGGTGTCTAATGCCTCCAGGGAGTGGTGGGATGCACCCGTTTATAGTTACTTGTTATTCTTACCTCTAATTATCACACAATTTATAAAAATAGAAATAACAAAATGTAAGCTGGGTTCCAGCTCCAGAGGCATTTCTCGCCGTCCTCTGAGAACACGCAGGAGAAATCAGGTCTCGCCACACCTGTCCCTCAGAGCCAAGTGTGAGCCAGGCCACCCGTGAACAACAACAACAACAACAAAAGCAGAAGTCGTCCTCGCCGCGAGCTCCGTGGACTCTGAGGCCGCCGGCCGCGTCCCGCTGTGTCCGGGGCGCGGGGAGCGCGGGAGCGAGGACGTGTTCAGCGGGAGGAGGAGACAGAAACCACCAGGGCGGCGCCGCGCTGCACAAGCGTCCGGGAAAGCGGAAGCGACGAGGGGAAGGCGCCGGCCTCCGCCCTCAGAGCCGGGTCTGGGCCTCGGGGATGTAGATCTCGATGCTGTCCGCGCGCTCGGAGGCGGAATTCTGCCGGAAGGACGCCGCTCGCTTGGCGGCCATGAGGCGCCTCCGGGCTTCCTGGCGTTGTCTGTCGGGCAGGTCCAGGGATTTTTCTCTTGTGATGGGAAACTTCCCCTTGGGAGGCTTCTTTGGTATTGGAGGCGGGACCTTTCTTTCTTCCTGAAAAGCAGCGCAAGTCACCGTTGGCAGGTGCTCGGAGGAGGGTCCCAGCAGCTCGCGAGCTCAGCGGCCCTGGGGCCTGGCCTGACCCTTCCCGACCGCAGCCCCCAGGGCCGCATCCTTCACTCCCGTCCCCCGTCTGCCCTGGTCCCCGGCTCCCAGGCCACAGGCCTGCCTTCTGCACAGGATGGGATTTGTGGAAGCTCCCTCGCACTCTCCAAAGGGGGCAGAGGCGTCAGGGGCAGCGTGGACAAATCAGGAAAGAAATTCTGCAGATTCGCACCTTGCGTCTCTGCAGTCACTGCGCTAGTCTGACATTGTCGCCCGATTCCTGCGCTTCCCAAAGCCCTGTGTCATCTCCGAGCATCGCGAGGGTTTTGGACACCATCGCTGGACATCCCTATTCAACACTGCAGGGTTTTCTGCAGACTCTGGGATTCCAGTATGTTCATGAAAACCATCTTACGTGAATGGGTGTGCGGGGAAACACTGGCCCGATTCGCTAATTGGCCTAAAATCCCATTGACGTGGACGATATTTATAAAACCACTATTCACTTGCCTGCTTTGTAAAAAGACGCAAGTATTTCTCACCCTTAGCTCAGACTCTCAGATAAGTCACGCTAAAATACGTGTATGCCGTTTTAGATAAATCTCACAATTATGCAACACATGCAAAGGGTAATGCTTGCACTTGTTCCCACAAAAGGTCTGTGTCCCTAACTCTGCGATTCACATTGTTCCTAAAGACAGTGGGACCTGCCCCGTGATTCACATTGTTCCTAAAGACAGTGGGACCTGCCCCGTCTCCCCTTCTGGACAGAGCCATGACAGGGACTCTCCGTAGCCAGCTGTTTCCTTCCCAGGAAAGGGCACACGGCAGAAGGCGTCAGAACCACTTTCCTAAGCAGATATCTAGTTTTGGGGGAGAAAAACAGGAAAACTCCACTCATGTCTTTTTCTCTTCAGCCTCTGAAAAATTCCAAAGGGAGCCCAGAGGTGCTTGTAGATTGGGGGAAGACAGGCAGTTGTGTGAGTACGGAGGAGGCCTGTGGCAAGAAGCCTGCTTTGGTGTCTGGAACTTTGTTCCCTCGGCTTGTTTTACGTGACTAGGCCAGAAGCAATGACTCTTACCTGACTTCTTGGCATCCATCTAAAACAATGGGGGGGATCAGTTCATTGAAACCTTCAGCTACTTTAACAAGTAATTCCTTTTTTCAGCACATAACTGTCCTCATAGTTCAGGGGATGCCAAGAGAAAAGGAGAGAAGAGGATCTGTTTCCTCTTTTGGTGTCCCCTGAACTGTGAGCCTGTGAGATGTACACATCAGTATTTCCTGTGGGGGTTCCCCAATCAAAGGAGCTTCCAGGCCTGTGGGTGTGGCACTGTAGGAGTGTCCAGCAGATGCTGTGCAGGGCCCATCCCAGGGAATTTTTAAGACGCCGTGTTCAGGAGGGGCAGGGCCTCCTGTTCAGGCACGGAGCCTCTGCTGTGCTGGAGATCTGCTCGCTTTCTGGACTGGCGTGCTCTGCCCTCAGCGAGAAACCATTTCCATTTTCTTTCTTTTTTTTTTTGAGACAGAGTCTCACTCTGTTGCCTAGGCTGCAGTGCAGTGGCACGATCTTGGCTCACTACAAGCTCTGCCTTCCGGGTTCACTCCATTCTCCTGCCTCAGCCTCCTGAGTAGCTGGGACTACAGGCGCCCACCACCACGCCTGGCTAATTTTTTTTTTTTTTTGTATTTTTAATAGAGACAGGGTTTCACCGTGTTAGCCAGTATGATCTTGATCTCCTGACCTCATGATCCACCTGCCTAGGCCTCCCGAAGTGCTGGGATTACAGGCGTGATCCACTGTGCCCGGCTAATTTTGTGTATTTTTAGTAGAGATGGGGTTTCACCGTGTTAGCCAGGATGGTCTTGATATCCTGACCTCGTGATCCACCCACCTTGGCCTCCCAAAGACGTTTCCATTTTGAGAATCATACTCTATGCGCAGCTTGGGTAGATGGGCTCACGTTTGCTCTCAATGACCAAAGAATGGAGACTAGACGGAACCATCGTGTGCACCTGGGCTAACTTCAGTACGTTCCGTTTGAACAGCCTTCTCCCTCAGGAGCATCACTGATCATCTCCTTCACCTCAGATCCAAACCGTGGCTTACACGGACCTGTCTAGTCCCACACATGGGTTATGTGGACCTGCCTAGTCCCATGCATGGCTTACATGGACCTGTCCCATGCATGGCTTATGCAGACCTGCCTAGTCCCATGCATGGCTTACTGGGACCTGTCTAGTCCCATGCATGGCTTACGCAGACCTGCCTAGTCCCACACATGGCTTACATGGACCTGTCCCCTGCATGGCTTATGTGGACCTGCCTAGTCCCATGCATGGCTTACACAGACCTGTCCCAAACATGGCTTACTTGGACTTGTCTAGTCCCACACATGGCTTATGTGGACCTGTCCCATGCATGGCTTATGTGGACCTGCCTAGTCCCATGCATGGCTTACACTGACCTGTCCCACGCATGGCTTACTTGGACCTGTCTAGTCCCATGCAGGGCTTACATGGACCTGTCCCAAGCATGGCTTACTTGGACCTGTCTAGTCCCATGCATGGCTTACTTGGACCTGTCTAGTCCCATGCATGGCTTACATGGACCTGTCCCATGTGTGGCTTACGTGGACCTGCCTAGTCCCACGCATGGCTTACGTGGACCTGTCCCATGCATGGCTTACGTGGACCAGCCTACTCCCATGCATGGCTTACTTGGACCTGCCTAGTCCCACGCATGGCTTACGTGGACCTGTCCCATGCATGGCTTACGTGGACCTGCCTAGTCCCACACATGGCTTACATGGACCTGTCCCACACATGGTTTAAGTGGACCTGCCTAGTCCCATGCATGGCTTATGTGGACCTGTCCCACGCATGGCTTACGTGGACCCTGTGCACTCCCACCTCACTCCCCTGTCGTCTGGGATGAGAGGGAACCTGTGGATCCATTGCATCTGGCCTGGAACTCCACTAGTGGCCAGGGCACCTTCTGGGAGGAGCCGATGATGATGACCACTAGATCTGGCTCTCGTTCTCATGACCCAGGTGTGCATCCTTGCTGGATACCAAACACCACTTCCCCAAAGGATGCTGACTTGATTTTCTTTATCATTTTAATTAATAACATTTGTCTAGAAAAATCCATTTATGGTTCCTCAGGACGTCTTTAAAACGTGTGAGGAAATCTATGTCTTTGCTGCTAACTCAGAACTATCTACTAGTTCTTCTGATGACAGCATCACGGAAGAAGTGAAATGCCAGGGTTCAGATTTAATGGCAAATTTCAGCCTATTTTAAGGGTTGAGGCTGATGGATCTACAGGAAGATTAATTCATCAAACGGTTCAATAAGGTATAAAATGTCGCCTTGCCTATAGTGGCCATACTAGAAGGTATATTGAATAGGAGATAGTCCATAACCAGGCCTAAAACTTTCCCTGTGGGAAGCCAGCTTAATATTTACACAATGAGAACAAGTTTGATAAAGATAATTCATAGGTGAGACCCCTGTCAGGAATGAGGCTGCAGGTTTGCTTGTGATCTTGGCTAGTGTCTCTCTGAAAGGCTTATATAGAAGAGACAGAGCAGGGGAGACCCTATTATTTACCACCCATGCCCAAGGCTTCAATTCTGCCCCATTTTCGGCACATGCACACACACGCACACACATGTGCGTATACACATGTGCACACATACATAGAGGGAAATTTGCTCGTGTGTTGCCAGCAAAAGACTGAGAACCCCGTTGTCATGCTCTATCTGCAGCAGGTCGTTAGTGCAGTGAGAAAGGGGGTTTGCTGGGAGCCGGCCCTGCATGGATGCCCTTACCTTTCTTTCCGGGGACTCCATCATCTTCCAGTCGTTGAGCCGCAGCCGCTGCAGCTCGTCGAACTTCATGCTGACGTCCTCAATGGAGAGCTGCAGCATGTCCCAGTAGCCGGCCAGGTCCTGCGACGTCGGCCTCGGCATGGCGCTGGGGTCCTGGGGACACACACAGGGTGTTCAGAGCCAGGAGAGTCTCCTGCGGGCACAGGGCTGGGGAGGCCACTCCTCCCCACGCATGCCTTTCAAGAGGCGGATTAGGGAGAAGCCTGGCTAATTCCAGCCTGAGGCAGATACTTGGGAAGGCCATGCTTCCATGACAGTTTACTTTAGCACACGTATTTGCTGTCGGCCTAAAAACACGTAGCACAGCTGTTCATTGTTCCACGTTGAAAATGCTGGGAATGGGGCAGATGGGAGAGTTTCTAAATGCTTCACAGCTCATAAAAGCAGTAGGAGCCTGTGTTTTTGGTCACCTGTGGATGATTCGGAAGGGACAGGGCTCCGTGAGCCTGCCGTGGTATTGGCCTGGTGGTGGCAGTGGGGAACCAGCTTGGAGCCCATTCTATACCTGCTTGTTCTCTGACGGCTCTTAGCTCTCGTTCTTACGGTGATGACACCTTACAAATGTAATGCGCCAAGGAACAGGATGCTCTCACCAACCGGCGCCCACACTTAGGAGGCACAGGTGACGCTGCTGGGCTGCAGCCCTGGGCCGAGTGGCCCAGAGACGTGCTTGGTTTCTCTGCCCAGTGCCTGACAGATACATGATTTCCACCAGCTGCCTACATTTATGTATGTTATTTTTGAGACAGGGTCTTTCTCTGTCGCCCAGGCTGGAGCACAGGTGTGATCATGGCTCACTGCAGCCTCTACCTCCTGGGCTGAAGGGATCCTGCCTGCTCAGCCTCCCAAGTAGCTGGGACCACAGGCATAGGTCACTACACCCAGCTAATTTCTTTAATTTTGTAGCAATGGGGTCTGGCTGTGTTGCCCAGGGTGGCCTCAAACTCCTGGGCTCAAGCAACCCTCTTGCCTCAGCTTCCCAAAGTGCTGGGATTACAGGGTGAGCCACCGTGCCCGGCTTGCTCCCTACATTGAAATCTGAATGATTTTTCCAGGTGTGGCTCCCTTGATTCAGTGGGGATTTAAAAGAGTCAGAGGAGGTTCTGGTGGGTCAACATTCAACTGGATTTGCTTATGGTTTCAGCAGTGCACACTCAGCATGCTCAGTGAAGAGCATGCTGAACGGACAGCTCTGCGATTCCTCACCCAGAGCCAGGACCTGGGGCCCCCAGCTGCCCTCCGCGCGGCTGAGCCCATTCTTCTCTGCAGCCACACGAGGGCAGCCTTGGCCACTCAAAGCCCCCCCAGGCACTTGAGGAGCTCCCCAGGAGGGCGGCCCTGGCCAGCGGCTGGGAGCCCGAACTCAGCCTCTGTGGGTGGGGATAACTAAAGTGCCTGGCAAGGAGGCCACGTTCTGCACCGAAGTCAGTCGAGGGATGCCAGGAGCTGCAGCCTCAGGGCAGGCCAGGCCAGGTGACAAGCAGCAGGGGAGGCTGCTCAGAGGCTGTAGGGGTGGTTCCTACCTGGCTTCCAGAAGTCTTCGCCAACCTAAGAACATCCCCTCTTTCTGTAGGGCTGGGCACAGCTGTGCCCCTCTTTCTGTAGTGCCGGGCATGGCTGTGCCCCCTCTTTCTGTAGGGCCGGGCAAGGCTGTGCCCCCTCTTTCTGTAGGGCCGGGCATGGCTGTGCCCTCTCTTTCTGTAGGGCCGGGCATGGCTGTGCCCCCTTTCTGTAGGGCCGGGCATGGCTGTGCCCCCTCTTTCTGTAGTGCCAGGCATGGCTGTGCCCCCTCTTTCTGTAGGGCCGGACATGGCTGTGCCCCCTCTTTCTGTAGGGCCGGGTAAGGCTGTGCCCCCTCTTTCTGTAGGGCCGGGCATGGCTGTGCCCCCTCTTTCTGTAGGGCCGGGCATGGCTGTGCCCCCTTTCTGTAGGGCCGGGCATGACTGTGCCCCCTCTTTCTGTAGGGCCGGGCATGGCTGTGCCCCCTGTTTCTGTAGGGCCGGTCATGGCTGTGCCCCTCTTTCTGTAGGGCCGGGCACGGCTGTGCCTGATGGTGTGGGGGAAGCGGAGTGGCTTCTCCTCCCTCGCCCGCAGCTGGGTGGTCCTGGTCACATCTCCTGGGGGATGAAGGAGGAACATGGCCGGCCACTGTGGCAGAGGCTGCCTGAGAGCAGGCATCGCCTTCCCGTGCCCCCCTCCTCTCCTCGGCAACAACACACCCGTCCTTTGGGCTCACCCAGACCACATGCTGGGGCCGGACGGGCACAGCCTGGCATGGTCAGGGTTTGGTTTTGTCTTCTGTTCTCTTTTGGTTGGGGAGGTGGTTGCATCTGAATCCACTGAACATTCAGAGATGATAAGGTGTTTATAATAAAAAAAAAAAGTCAATGGTTGTGCCATGCCATTCCCTTTCCCCCAGCAAACTCATGCAGGGCCTCTTTCCTTGTGAAATTGCCGTCTTTTAAATTCACACAGCTCTGTGGCTCTGGCATCCGGCGTCCATTGGATAGGAACTTCGGTGCCCCGTGTGGCCTGGGGCAGCTCTCTGTGCGCCGGCACCTGCTCAGGCACACACCCCCCGGGGTTGGATGGAGTTAAAATTCAGAGGCAGGCTCAGTGGGTGTGAATGAGACTAAGTTTCTGGGGACACCAAACTGCTGGTCCCACAAGCACAGCAATCAGGCCACACGCTTTGAGGTTAAGTTATTTCCGGTATTATGTGCCTTCTGGTTGTGTCACAAGCCACCTGCACATCCCGACCCTGAGAGGCTCTGCCCCCCGCGGTCCGTCCCGAAAGGCTCCGCTCCCTGTGGTCAGTCCTCAATCTCGGGCTGGGGTTCTGACATTTTCTAGGGTCGCTCTTTGACTTAAAGCTTAGTTACCTACCAACAACTTCCAGCAGACAGCGGTGCTACTTTGCGCTGCGGACCATTTGGCTTTGATGAGCGAAGCATCTCTTAACAAGTCAACACTCCTCTCCTGCCAGGCCTGTCTCAGGCACCACCCCTCCCTGTACCACTCTTCCGCCCCAAACGTGTCAAAGTGTTTTTCTACTAATCCTGAATAGAAGTTGAAAGAAAAGGATGTAGCCAAGCCAGCTATTTTAAAACTCAAAAGGCATAACAAATATTAGGATGAACAATTTTAAGCCAAATATTAGCTATTTCTGGCAGAGCAGAAAGGAACATTTAGCAGGTCTGAATATGCACCTTGGGCTGTGTGTGGGAAGCTTTGGATGAGCATTCCTAAAGACAGTGCCTGCCTAGGCTCACCCGAGTCTGCATAATGTTACACAGAGTTCGTCAGTGGCCCGAATCAATTCCTTTAAAGGTAATAATCAAATAGATACTATGGAGGAGGCAAGAACGTTCACAGGTGACATGGCAGCTGAATGTTTACACAGTTACAGGCTTCTTTCGAGGCACTCAAAACCTTTCTATTTCCCTCTTTTAAATGATGATTATAACTTTGTCAGAGTGATGTGTTGGTGACTCTTTAAAATCGCCGTGAACTTCAGTGGGGTTGATTGGAAAGTATTAGAGAAGGCATACTTTTTAATGATCCTAAGGAAAAGACATGAGATGGCAACTCTGGCTTGCTTGTGCATCCTTTGATGTGTAAGAATATTCTTATGTCTCCTTGCACGTGAAAAAGCCAAGGAAAACATCATCAAAACACCTGGCACCATTGCTACGCGAGGCCTAGAGAAGACCTATTTGCATTTGACTGAAAATGTTTGGTCTGAAAAGAAATCGATGTATGTATTATAAAACAACTTATTAAGTAGCATAACTATTATTTACTATTTCTCAAAATAGTGAATACTTTAGTCAGCCAAGGAAAAGTATACATGTATGTGTGTAGGCAAATATATAGTATATATAAAATATATTAACATGTATATGTAAACTTAGATATACAGTATATATAGAATGTATATGTATGCATGTGTGTAGGCAAATGTATATATAAAATATATTACCATGTAAACTTACATGTTTTATATATACTGTATATTTGCCTACACACATACTATATATTTTATATATACTATATATTTGTATATATAAAATATGTAGTTAATGTTATATATTTGTTATATGTTAATGTTTAGCATGTATATATAAGGATACATAAGTAAAATTTCATATACATGTTAATATATATGTTTATATATAAATACACCTATATATGTTTATATATAGGTGTATATATAAACATATAGATGCATATGATTATAATCTTGTATACATCTAATATATATGAGATGTATATATGAGCTTTTCTGCTCTGCCAGAAATAGCAAATATATATTTATATATTAATATGTGTATATATATTTATATATAAGCATATGTAAGTATATATTAACATGTATATATGTAAGTATATGTAAATATATATGTGGTTTTTCTTTTTGTTTGCTTGTCAGGAATAACCAAGTTTAACGTCAACTGTATTAATCATCTAGTTCATGGTATATTCGTTTCACTACCGACTATAAAATACAAAGGCTAAATTATTTGCAAAATCTCTTCTTAATCTCTTCATTGTAGTTGTTTATGTATTTTTATTTCCAGGCACCTTAGATCATTTTCTTCATTTGTGACATTAGACGTAATAGAAATTTCCCTTGTTTCTCCTCTTCTAAGATGCTCTGGTGGGGCATCCAGTTGCAAAGACACAGTGTCACGCCGCGCTGCTGCAGCCCGCCTCTTCCTGTCCTCCACTCCCCCTTGCAGCCTCCCTGCCTCGGTACTGCTTAAACCAGGGCCATATCCACCTCCCTGCCTCGGTACCGCGTTTAAACCAGGGCCGTATCCGCCTCCCTGCCTCGGTACCGCGTTTAAACCAGGGCCGTATCCGCCTCCCTGCCTCGGTACCGCGTTTAAACCAGGGCCGTATCCGCCTCCCTGCCTCGGTACCGCGTTTAAACCAGGGCCGTATCCGCCTCCCTGCCTCGGTACCGCGTTTAAACCAGGGCCGTATCCGCCTCCCTGCCTCGGTACCGCGTTTAAACCAGGGCCGTATCCGCCTCCCTGCCTCGGTACCGCGTTTAAACCAGGGCCGTATCCGCCTCCCTGCCTCGGTACCGCGTTTAAACCAGGGCCGTATCCGCCTCCCTGCCTCGGTACCGCGTTTAAACCAGGGCCGTATCCGCCTCCCTGCCTCGGTACCGCGTTTAAACCAGGGCCGTATCCGCCTCCCTGCCTCGGTACCGCGTTTAAACCAGGGCCGTATCCGCCTCCCTGCCTCGGTACCGCGTTTAAACCAGGGCCGTATCCGCCTCCCTGCCTCGGTACCGCGTTTAAACCAGGGCCGTATCCGCCTCCCTGCCTCGGTACCGCGTTTAAACCAGGGCCGTATCCGCCTCCCTGCCTCGGTACCGCGTTTAAACCAGGGCCGTATCCGCCTCCCTGCCTCGGTACCGCGTTTAAACCAGGGCCGAATCGTCTCTTTCCCCAGGGCGGGAAGCCTCTTCTGTAGTAAGTGCACGTGATATTCCGCATACCGATGGGAACTCTTTGACAAGGAAGAAAACAATGAGAATCTGTGGAATGATGCCCATTAGCTTGGTTACAGGGAACAGGGGTTCACTGAGGATTCACTTACCATATTCTGTTGGCAAAGCCAATAAAACTGCTGGAATTTCTGGGACATGAGAAGCTGGGCACTCCCAACAGCACTCCTGATTTTACCGAGAACTGTTTAAAACAAAAACAAAAACAAAAAAACAACAACTTCAAAACTGGGTCAATTACACAAAAGCAGAAACATCACACCAAGGGAGCGAGTCCCACTGGAGATGAAAACTGACGACTTCATCGTGCCGAGCGTGTTCGCTGGTGACTCGTGCCTTAGTGTGCTCGTCCCCAACTCATGAAGGAAATCCAGAGATGACCAGATGTCACTGTGAGGACATTCTCCTTGGGTACTGGGAGAAACTTAGTTTAGAAAGGCGGCCTATACCTCAGGGAGTTTTCCTTATTTTGGCATCGAGATTATTTCAGTGCTGCTGTTTGGATGAGCTGGAAGACACAAGAACACGTGTGAGTGAAAGCAACATCGAGTTCTTCCTATTTTTATGGACTCTAACATGTTAGTGAACTCTTTTAGATGTGAATTCCTTCATTTTTAGAAAAAACACATCCATATGGGTTCTCTCATTGGATTCAATTAAATAATTTCTAATGAACTGTGGGCAGTTATCTCCTGGCAGTGCTGTGAGGTGTGTGTTACGTAGGAAGAGGCTGCGTGGACAGAGGCCTCACAGGAAGGTCGTAGCACGTAGGAAGATGTGGCTTCCCTCCTGGAGATGGTAAAAGGGTCACAAGTTACTGAATATGCTCACAGCTACTAAACTCACCAATCCATGTACCCAGTATATGTGTAATGCTAACGCTACATTTCTGAGTGTGCTATGAGTCAGCAGGCCACAGTTCAGTAGGAAGAATTAATCTACAAATGGTTCCTAATTGCAATGACTTTATTTGGTTAATCAAATACTAATTTTTTTTTTTTTTTTTTTTTTTTTTGAGATAGGGTCTCCCTTTATCGCCCAGGCTGGAGTGGAGTGGCGCAATCCTGGCTCACTGCAACCTCCACCTCCCAGGTTCAAGCAATTTTCTGGCCTCAGCCTCCCAAGTAGCTGGGATTACAGGTGCATGCCACCATGCCTGGCTAATTTTGTATTTTTAGTATAGATGGGGTTTTTCCATGTTGGTCAGGCTGGTCTCGAACTCCCGACCTCAGGTGATCCACCCATCTCAGCCTCCCAAAAAGCTGGGATTACAGGCGTGAGCCACCGTGCCTGGCTGTAAAGTTTTTTAAAAGAATATACTGTATGTGTGTGTGTTTATTTTGTTTTATTTATTTATTTTCTTGAGATGGAGTCTCGCTCTGTCACCTAGGCTGGACTGCAGTGGCGTCATCTTGGCTCACTGCAGCCTCCACCTCCTGAATTCAAGTGATTCTCCTGCCTCAGCCTCCCGAGTAGCTGGGATTACAGGTGCATGCCACCATGCCTGGCTAATTTTTGTATTTTTAGTAGAGACAGCGTTTCACCATGTTGGCCAGGCTGGTCTCGAACTCCTGACCTCCGGTGATCAGCCCGCCTTGGCCTCCCAAGGCCAAGGATTACAGGCGTGAGCCACCGCACCCGGCCCCACACCCTCTCTTGAGTCTGCTGTCAGCATGGTCACCACTTTGTAAACAGCTGCTTTGGTAGATCCTAGCTCACCATGATCCTCAAAACCACACAGGAATCGACTGGAACCCATTTCTTACCAGTGCACCCTGGGCCCACTGATCTCTGCTGGATATTATTTGCCAGAGCAACAATTCACCGTTCTTCCATAGAGCGTGCCCAGTACACGTATGTGGCTTTTCTGTGCCTGGGTCAGCACGTGGGGCCAGGGCTGCCCACCAGGCAGGGGGCAGATGATCTACGCATCTCATCACCTCTCAGTTCACACCACGTCTCCCCATCACTGGCTTTCAGCGTGGGCCCTTCAAGGTGGGGCCGTCTTTCCTGAGCTGGCTCACGGGGCGTCATCTGCGTCTTCTGGCCAAGCTGATGATTCCACCTGCTCTTTTTGCTCTCCCTGGAGAGTCTCTGCAGAGCACAAATCACTAACCTACACGACACACCCTAAAACTGAAAGTGCTGCGGTTTAACTAGCCCAGCCCTTTCTCCTGCTTCCGTTGGAAGGAAGCCATGGGAAGCTGACTCTCCAAGGCTGGTGGAAAATGGTGTAGGAAAAGGGGGCATTTATCCTGGAGATTTGCCCCCTTGAACGCAGAGGCGAGAGATCCATCCCCACTTAATCTGTGGCTTTACGTACTTCACAAGGGAATACCGATGTGCTGGAGGTTTTGCCTAGACACATGCAGGTGCTTGGAGCTCAAGGGGCCTTGCAGACCCACCTGTGCCTCACCTGGGGATCTTGTGCCGGGCATGGCCTGACTCACGGGGTCCGGGTCGGGCCAGAAAGTCCGTTTCTTTCTACGTTTAGGAGATGCCCCTGCTGGCTCCCAGGGCACACCTGACTGTGGAAGCCTAGACAGCCTTTCCAGAAGTCGAAACCGAGGTCCAGGGAAGTGAACCCAATCCTCGTGTAGGTTCTTCCACAACAGCTCTTCCCCCAAACATTCCTTAACAGTCAGTCCTAGAGACAGTTACTGGTGAGATTCATTGCACACGATCCAGAAACTGGCATCCTGCTGCCCAAGCCAGGGTGCTGCAGTGTCTCCTCCTTAGCCCGACTTTCGGGAAAAAGAACCGCATTTCATGGGCACAAAGGGTCTTAATGTTCATGTAATAAAATGCTATGAGCCAGTTGAAAATGACGTTGCAGAGATAACCTTGATTTGAAAGGGCTTATGGCACGCCGTGACCCAGAAGTCAACTACACAGCAGTGTGTGCGGTGCCTCCCTCATTTTTTAGAACATGAAGGTCTGGCAATCTGTACCATGTGTTCTTCAAAGTGATTTTCTCCTGGGTAGGATAATGGACTTAAAAACCTATTTTTCTGTCTTGTCTTATTTTTCTAAAATGAAGATTGTTTTGCTCCCCAAAGTTTTATTATGAAACCTTTCACACATGCAGAAAATGGGAAAGAAGAGTATAACCCACAGCTCCCTCCCCATTCCGTGGAGACGGCAGTAAGTGTTGTCCTGTGTTCTCTCTTCCTGAGGCCTTTACCTGCGACCACCTTGTAGACCCAGGGCCACTGTCACCCCCACGAAGGTGACAATAGTTCCTGAATATCACCTAATTCTCCATTGCTTCTAGGGTATGAAAAAGATGAAAAAAGCATAACTTTTAATAAAAGCAAGTAACTCGGATAACACTTTGGCATTGTTTCTGTCTTGAAAAGAAGGATGGAAGGTTGTCTGTCGGGCATCTTAACACCGGGGCCTTGTGCCGTTCACAAATCCACTTCAAGACAGGCTGCTCTTCCTTGGATCTGATTTACCAGCCAGCCTGGGAACAGAGAAGGGAGGGGAGGACTGGAGAAGGAAGCCAGGAGCCCCTGGCCACATGGCACGGGATGGAGCTGGCAGGGCTCTGAGTTGGGGTGAGTCTGGGGGTGAGGGGAGTGGAGGGGCCGCTGCAGTCGGTCGAGAAGCAGCTGGAGGCGGTGGGGTTTGAGTGGTTTCTTGACAGGGGTGACAGTGAAAGCTCCTCATCCTTCCTGTGCATTCCACTGCCCCCAAAATGAACGTGTTCTGCAGCCCTGGACTCGCTGATGACGAGGGGAGGAATCATCTTTGCTTTTGAAATGTTGAATTTCTATTTCTTTTGTATTCTAAAACCTGGGTAATTAATGAAGATATTTAAAGGGACTATTTTAAGTAAGTCGTTGCTGCAGAAATATATAGAAGTGGATGAATAAATGAATTTATTTTGCCAACTCTATGCTTCCTCAAACTGTAATTTAAAAGTCAATCAGTTTCTTAAAATTTGAAGTTTAATTCCCAATTTTCACATTCCCCTTAAAATGGAATTCAACTGAACTGTTAATACAAAGTACTTCAATTTATACTCTTTAACACAACATGAACACATGGGCAAAATCTTGGTATCGATTTAATGTAGTGGAGAGTTATTATAAAGGGAATAAATTGAATATTGCTAGGGAGAGATAATGAATGTCAAAAAGTGTAGCTAATGACATGCCTGCTAATGGTAGGAGAATTTTGCTGTTCAGTGAGTGAGAATGATCCTATCTGATGCCTATAATGTAAGTAGCTTCCTATAATTGCAAAGAAGTTGAAGTGAAAATTCAATTTATTCTCTCCCAGTATATGTCTCTAATTTTGCCATAGTTTAGACACTTGCAGGAGCTATACTAAGGACTAATTCTCATCAGAATGCAAATTCACAAAGAACCTGCTAGAACCCTTGCCTTCCATGTACAAAGAAATTTGATTAACACACTTGGCTCTTTTATTTTTTCTATAATTCCAATTCTATCTAAATTTGGTATGAAGTAACATAATTCACACTATTCTGGTGTTCTAATATTTGAGATGGATTTTTATAAAATTTGCAGAGAGTCGGAAATGATCATTTGAGTATTTGTAACCCCTGTGATCCCCTGAGATTCCCTTGTAACTAATTTTGTAGTGGGGTCTGCCTAAGCTATGGCTCCCAGAAATCTCCTTTCAAGATCTCGAGCCTCATGATTTTCATGTTTTTGAGCACGTTTCTGTGTGTTTTTAATGGATTTATCACAGTTGTACATATTATTGGGGGCACATATGATATTTGAACAGATGTCTACAGTGTGCTAAGATCAAATCAGGATGACTGGGACGTGCATCACCTCAAACATTTATGTGTGTGTGTTGGGAACATTACAATTCTTCTAGCTAGTTTGAAATACATGATACATTATTAACCATGTTTTCTTACTGTACTATTGTATACTAGAACTTATTTCTTCCACCTAACTGTATTTTTGTACCCATTAGTATGAATCAACTTCTCTTCCTCCTCTCTCCTGTTCCGGTAACCACCAATCTACTCTCCACCTTCATGAGCTCTGCTTTTTTTTTTTGGATGGGGTCTCCCTCTTGTTGCCCAGGCTGGAGTGCAGTGGCGTGATCTTGGTTCACTGCAACCTCTGCCTCCCAGGTTCAAGCGATTCTCCTGTCTCAGCCTCCTGAGTAGCTGGGATTGGGATTACAGGCGTGCGCCACCATGCCTGGCTAACTTTTGTATTTTTAGTTGAGACAGGGTTTCACCATGTTGGCCAGGCTGGTCTCAAACTCCTGACCTCAGGTGATCTGCCTGCCTTATCCTCCCAAAGTGCTGGGATTACAGGCATGAGCCACTGCGCCCGCCTGAGCTCTACATCAGAGTGAGATTACGCAGTGTTTATCTTTCTGTGCCTGGCTTATCTCACTTAACATAATAACCTCCAATTCCATCCATGTTGCTCCAAATGACAAGACTTAATTCCTTTTTTTATGGCTGAATAATATTCCACTGTGAATATTATTCACACACATTACTTTCTTACCACATTTTCTTTATCCATTTTTCTACTGATGGGAACCTAGGTCTCTTCCATATCTTGGCTAACATGAATAATGCTGCAATAAACATGTGGGTGCAGAAATCCCTTTGACATATGAATTTCCTTTTGTTTGGGTCTATGCCCAGCAGGACAATGACTGGATCACATGGTGGTTCTATTTCTAGTTTTTGAGAAATCTCTATACTGCTTTCCATAGTGGCTACTTCATATTCCAACCAGCAGTGTGCAAGCTTTCCCCTTACTCCGCACCTGTGACAGCATTTGCTGGTTTTTTGTCTTTGTGATAATAGCCATTCTAGCTGGGATGAGGTGACATCTCATCGTGGTTTTGATTTGCATTTTCCTGATGGTTAGTGGTGGTGAATCTTTTGTCACATACCTGTTGGCCCGTTGTATGTCTTCTTTTGAGAAATGCCTATTCAGGTCTTTTGCCCATTTTTGAATTTTTTTTTTTTTCTGTTATTTGAGCTCCTTGTATATTCTGGTTCTTAGTCCCTTGTCAGATGGGCAGTTTGCAGACATTTTCTCCCATTCTGTGAGTTGTCTTTTCACTCTGCTGTTTCCTTTTCCTGTGCTGACAAGCATCCATGTCTTTTTATTGTCTGATTTCCCCATGACCATTTAGTTGGGTTGTATGGCAACATCTTCATAGGTGCTTAGCAGAGGCCTGGTCAGTGGGTTGATTCTCTTAGTCTGATCCACATAATGGACACAGTCTATGACCTGCATCTCCCAGGAGGTCTGGAAGCAGTGGACGTTCCATTAAGCTGTGTGATACATTGACCCCTAAGGCTGGTAGCTGCCAATATGTGCACAGGCATCTGCTGTGCTCAGAACGTCATCAGTATTTCTGATTCCTCAATCTTCTCTGTTGGTCTGATACCACCTGGGCCAACCATGGACACAGGCACAGTTCTCTGTGGCCATGTCATCCTCGTGCCCTGCATGGAGCATGTGTTCTGCTCATTCTCAGAGTCTCTCTGGGCTCTTTGTCAGCTGCTGACCGCTGTGTGAGTGCCAACTGCCGGGGTGCTTCTCCCCATCCAGACCATTTTGTCTCAGCATGGAAGATGGCCCAGGAGATACAAAGTCACACATCTGACCCCGGCTCTTGTGTTAATAGGACTTGTGGTCATTCTGGCTGTAAAAGGAGAACTTAGTGAGCAAATCCCTATGTTCCTCCCAGCATTAGTGTTTGCCTTGAATGTGCATCTGACCCGGTGAACATGTAGGTTATTCGTTACTTCGGGAGGAGTCATTTGGGGCAAGGAAGTTTCCGATACCGTTTGAAAGATCCTGTGTGTACATGTGCTCCCTTGGTGAGTTCTTGATGAGAGTTGCATCTCAATGGAATTATTCAATAAAGTCTTAGCTTGGGAAGGATTTCTTTTGTTTTAGAAAATATGCACATTTTTGATTTTTCCTTTATGTATTTACCCATTTGGTTTGACATAATTAATACAAAAATCTTAAAACATTACTAATGATTTAATCTCTTGAAAGTACTTTTATTAACAATAGGCAGCCTGCATTAATGTGACTTTATGCAGACCAGCATTTCTTTGGGTTCACTATAGATTTTATTAACCATAGAAGACTGACTGAATCTAGATTCATTCAATCAGTTCGGGGAACTGTGTTATGAAATTATATTTTGGGCAAAAATTACTTCATATAATGGAAATTTCAATATTCAGAGATCAGAGTTTTAGTCTCATAAGACATTTAATTTAATCTTTATTTTAAAAAGTACCATAACCAATAACCCTGTATCTGCTCCTAAAATTAGGACTGGAAATTAAGGTTATCATCTTACCTTTTAAACATTTAGGGAAGTATCTGAACTTGATGAATATTGTTCTAGTTTTATGGACAAAACACACAGGTGAGGGGCGTAAAAAGTGTTTTGACATCTGTCCACAAAAAGATGAAGGTATCTGGGCAATTTAAGAAATTAAGAAAATCACAAAAAGTATCAAGTTCATCCATTCTCTGTTCCTTGTGTTCAAAGTTTATAGCAATGCAGTTAGTTACATTTTCTGATTAAAAATTAGCCAGGTGTAGGGGCATTCAGCTGTAATCCCAGCTACTCAGGAGGCTGAAGCAGGAGCATTGCTTGAACTTGGGAGGCAGAGGTTGCAGTGAGCTGAGATCGCGCCACTGCGCTCCAGCCTGGGTGTCAGAGTGAGACTTCGTCTTAAAAAAAAAAGTATATATATATATATATATATATATATATATATATATATATATACACACATATATATATACACATATATACACACATATATATATACACATATATATGTGTATACACACACACACACACACACACACATATATATATATATATATATATATATATATAGTGGAGCAAAGACAAGGAAAATCAGGATCATTTCAGTGGATGTCTATAGAATGGGAAGTGTTGAAGCTACTCCCAGCCTCCATAACTGAGGATGGCGAGGTGATTCTCTGGGAGTCTAGATGTTCTGCTTTTATAAAGGTGTGAGCAGGAGTGTGGCATCCTGTTCGCTAAGACAGCCCATCCTCCTGCTTCCCTCTCTTCCTCCCCATTCCTATTGTCTGGCACTCTGTGCCAGGCGATGTGTGAGGCACTGTCTGTGGATGATAAATGTCAAATGTGGCCACTTCATTGAAGGAGCCTAAAATCTCAAATGACAGCAGAGGTGCGGAGCTTTAGGCAAGTTCCATCATCCCCCAGGGTATGGGGAATGCCCCGGCCACAGAAGGCTCTGTGAGGTCAGGTAGCACAGACCCTCCCCACAGGCAGGATGAAGGGCAGTGCTGACATGAAGATCTTCCTCCAGAGGAAGGAGACAAAGGGGCCTCTGTTCCCCAGTTCTCTGCCTCTGCGTGGACTCTTGAATCTCCTTTTCAGTCACCACCATCCACCACCTTGACCAAATCCAACCGCGTGTCAAGGCCCAGCACAGTGCCACCTTCTCCAGGAAGCCTTCTGAGAATCTTCCCAGGTGAAAGCATTGCTGAGACCTCTGAGTTTTTAAGTACTTTATCTGTACTTCTCTTATGACACTCAACAGTTTCCACTTCCTGTACCTGGTCTTCTCCCACTGTTAGGTAATCAGTTAGGTCCTTTACCATGTCTTACTCATTGTTGCATCATTTTTGTCTATCGGAGAGTGGCTTGCTTCGTCGTAAGTAATCAATAAATATCTATGGAATGTAGACATCACTGAGAGAGTCCAGAGGAGGATCCTGATGGCTCAAAAAAGGTAAAAAACAAGACAAAACAAAACAAAAATCCCACCACGAAACCAAACATATGTTTAGGGGAATATAATTTGGAGTCAGCAAAAATTAATTTTCCACCCTACCTTACTGAAGAAAAATAGTTTTTCAGATGCCTAATAATAAGGTAAGTGACACTGAAATACTAGATATCCTGGCTGGGCATGGTGGTTCATACCTGTAATCCTAGCACTTTGCAAGGGCAAGGGGGGCAGATCACTTGAGGCCAGGAGTTCACGATTATCCTGGCCAACATGGTGAAACTCCATCTCTACTAAAAATACAAAATTAGCCAGGTGCTGTGGTGCGTGTCTGTAGTCCCAGCTACTTGGGAGGCTGAGGCAGGAGAATCACTTGAACTCGGGAGGCTGAGGTTGCAGTGAGCTGAGATCGTGCCATTGCACTCCAGCCTGGGAGAAAGAGCAAGACTCCCTCTCAAAAAAAAAAAAATACTATATATCCTAAGATTTTGGAATCTTACTGTTGATTTGGGTCCCTATACGTCATCAAATTCAATTTTGTATGTAGTATTTTTATGGCATAATTTATAGAATATTCTGGAATGCCTCCAGTGACAGAAAACCAGGACTTACCATGACAGGGCCTCAGCACTAAAGCCCTTTGTAAGGACTTTCATTCTTGGTTTGAGAAATAATTTGCCTCCTTACAGCTCCTGCCACTTATTTTCCAATGGCTAACGCGGGAGAACCTTGGCCTCTGTCTTCGCAGCTGAGGGACTCTGTGGACCACACGTGGGTCACAGTCGTGGAGGACCAGAATGAGGTGAAGGGTCAGGGATGGGACACACCCTTGTCTGAAACAGCAGGTGAAAGGATGGGATGCACATCCAGCATGGAAGCAGGCAGTGGAGGGGGTGCTTCCCATAAGGGAACTTCTTGACTTGATGCCTTTGGACCGTGGGTGGAAAGGCAGAGCCTTCAATGTCAGAGGGCCGTGACTCCCAGTCCCAGATCACTGCTGGGAAGGCAGAGCGTTCAACGTCAGAGGGCCGTGACTCCCAGTCCCAGATCACTGCTGGGAAGGCAGAGCCTTCAACGTCAGAGGGCCGTGACTCCCAGTCCCGGGTCACCGCTACTATTCTGTGATTTGGGGCAAGATCTTAATCTCTCAGAGCCCCAGTTTATCTGTAGAATGCTTACAATACTACTCACCTAGTCCATTGGGATGAGCATTAATGAGGTCTGCAGTGCATTCGGCACAGGGCCTGACATATCATATGTGTTCAGGGAGAACTGGTCTAGATATTCTTTCTTTCTTTCTTTTTTGAGACAGGGTCTTGTTCTGCAGTGATGGTGAGATCTCGGCTCACTGCAGCCTCCACCTCTGGGGCTCAGGCAATCCTCCCACCTTAGCCTCCTGAGAAGCTGAGACTACAGGCATGTGCCACCACACCGGGCTACTTTTTAAAATGTTAATTATTATTATTATTATTTTTTTTGGTAGAGACAAGGTCTCACTGTGTTGTCCAGGCTGGTCTAAAACTCCTGGGCACAAGCAGTCCTCCCGCCTCAGCCTCACAAAGTGCTGGGATTACAGGTGTGAGCCACTGTGCCCAGCTGAGGATTCTATTTTTTTTTAAAAGATATCTTTTCAAAAATGATAATCCTTGAAAAAATGAAATTGAAAGTATGCACTAAACATGGAAAATGATGACAGGAGAAGTAGTCTCTGTGTTATCAACACAGTAATGGCTAATGTCTCAATGTCTTACACCTTCCAAAGAAGACTACAACTTTCTGAATGTGTCCCGAATGGGATAAACTCAAATGATAATAGGATACAATTTTATAGGCATTTTATGGGCTAAGCCCTGACAAACAAACATGACCTCTTTGTAAATTTTTTCCTCTCTCCTAAATTTTTTCCTCTCTCCTCCTCCTCAAAGGTGTTCTTTTGAGGAAACACATGGTGTAGAAAACACAGCTTGATTGAGTGACATGCAGGTCTCATCACCTGCTCTCATCCTGGAAGGAAGGCACCCCAGCCCTACGCTGCCCCTGTCAGCATGCACAAAACCAGAGCTGGCAATTTAATTTGGCGTCAACTTAGGCAATGCAGTTTTTCTGTGTTTTATCTTTGTGCTAAAGATTATAAATCCCTTTTATAATTAAGACAATTTGGCCAAGTTGAGGCATATACTAACAAGGGTGGAAGATGCTGCAGAAAATGAGTGATTTTTAGATATCAAAATTGTGAAGTTACTCTGTTAAATGTACCCTAACCATGAGAAATGCAAACGCCATGTGAACGATCGGAACACGGCTGTGCTGACTTGCACCAGCCCCATGCAGCCGTGCTGCGGGGACTGTGGGTCACGTGGAAGGCAGCATCTCCCCAACATTCGGCGTCCAATGTCACCTCCTGTAAAGAATAGGTGGGATTTGATGATTAAGAGACAAATGTGGAAGAACAGGCTTAGTCAATTAAAGGCAATGTCTTTCTTTCTTCATAGGTTCAGACCTTAAGTTTTAACAATAAAAAATCAGCACGCCATTGATTTTCTCAGACTGCCGAGGCTCCAAGGCCGTTATTCTCTGTAAGTCATAGTCAATGTAGTTTCATTGTTGCACTTCTATTTCTAGGATTAGTGAATGCCCTATTAAAACAGCCATCTAGAAATGAAATGTCAGGGACAAATTCCCAAGGATCTCAGCTATCCTTTTGAAGTTCAGCATTTATAATGATCTTGTCAATGTACAAATAAATTCACAGAAAAAGAAAAATACTTAGACCGTAATTTGTCAAGACATTCAGAAATAGCTTTGTGAAATTGTACTGTGTTAAACATAAGCATTAGTTGTAGGTATTGTGCAATTATGTAATTGGTCTATAAACAAAGACAGGTGGTATTAGCTTAGAAGTCAATCAAATACAGCAATTTATAATGGGTGCTGCTTCTGAGCTCTTTTTTTTTTTTTTTTTTTTTTTTTTTGAGACAGAGTCTCATTCTGTTGCCCAGGCTGGAGTGCAATGGCACGATCTTGACTCACTGCAACCTCTGCCTCCCAGGTTCAAGTGATTTTCCTGCCTCAGCCTCCCAAATAGCTAGGATTACAGGTACCCGCCACCACGCCTGGCTAATTTGAATTTTTGGCAGATATGGGGCTTTACCATGTTGGCCAGGCTGATCTGTAACTCCTGACCTCAGGCCATCCACCCGCCTCAGCCTCCTAAAGTGCTGGAATTACAGGCGTGAGCCACCGTGCCTGGCCTGAACGGTCTTGATGGTAGGTTTCTCTAGGCAGATGGGAGAAAGGCGGAGAATAAGGGGCTGTCCCCTTCCATGTGGAGAAGCAGAGGCATAGGTGAGTACCAACGGGACTGGGACAGATCTGCCCTGGTGACACTGGTAGAAGAATGACACGGCCCTCCCATTCCACCCAGGAGTGAGACCTTTGGTGGTGACTCTGGTAGAGGAATGACACGGCCTTCTCATTCCACCCAGGAGTGAGACCTTTGGTGGTGACTCCCGTAGAGGAATGACACGGCCTTCCCATTCCACCCAGGAGTGAGACCTTTGGTGGTGACTCCCGTAGAGGAATGACACGGCCTTCCCATTCCACCCAGGAGTGAGACCTTTGGTGGTGACTCCCGTAGAGGAATGACACGGCCTTCCCATTCCACCCAGGAGTGAGACCTTTGGTGGTGACTCTGGTAGAGGAATGACACGGCCTTCCCATTCCACCCAGGAGTGAGACCTTTGGTGGTGACTCTGGTAGAGGAATGACACGGCCTTCCCATTCCACCCAGGAGTGAGACCTTTGGTGGTGACTCTGGTAGAGGAATGACACGGCCTTCCCATTCCACCCAGGAGTGAGACCTTTGAGCACATCATCACACAGTTAACTAACTTAATCTTTTACTTACCATCGACTTCTCTTTGGCATAATGCCAAGGCATTTTTTTGTAAAGCATGAGCTGGTAACAATTCTAGAAAATAACATAAATGCTGCAAATTAAGTTTTTGCCAAAATTCAAGAGAACTGCTAAGTGGAATATGAGATCAACTATGCTCCCAAGAAAACTGTTAGCACAGTTGATTTTCTATTCAACTTACCTGACAAAACACACACAATTTTCCTTCGATATCGTAGTGACTGCTTCTCTTTTCATGTAATTTATATCTTTTCTTAGAATTGAGGGGGATATACTAGAAAGCACATTTATTTTCATTCACTTGAATACCAAAGGGAGGAACTTTTCTCCACTAATGCTGTGATGTGCATATTTGCATTACTGAGAAATGATATTTAAGAGGCCCTAGGGAAGCCTGAGCTCTTACTTTCCTCCGAGAGGTCGTTCTCCTCCGCCTCTCTCTCCATCTCTTTGCACCAGCCTTCCATCCTCTTTGTCTCTGCGTGCAGCAGCTTCAAAAACCACGAGCCATCCCTGCGGCACGGAGACATCCTCCCAGTCTCTACCGTGTCGATGGCGGGCTCCAGCCAGGGGTCTGGAGGGGGCAGGGTGGAGGTGTCCACTTGGGTCCGATAGTCTTCTCTATAGCTGAAGAGCCCCTGGGTCCGTACAGTTCTCACCGCGCTGTACTGGGTGGGGGTGCTGGGCTCGGAGTGCCGCTGGAAGGATGAGCCGAACTGAAGGCCTTTGTCCTCCGTGGTGATGTGGCCTGGGAACCCCTCCAGCTCCAGGTCAGCTTGGACGGCGGCCGTGACGCTGTTAGAACGTTTAAAACGTCCGTGTCTGCAAAAGGAGGGAAGGAAGACAGATGGTAGCCCTTCTGAGAGGACTTCATGCAACAAAGTCCTACATGTCGCCTGTCAGGAGCGCACCTGAGCTCAACAGCCTGGCGGCTCAAGGGCAGGTAGTGTTTTGTTTGTGAAATATGCTGGTGTTTTGTCTATGGAAGAACATTTGGTTTTGCAAATCATTATACTTTAACATCTGCCTAAGTCTCAGGCCTAAATAACACCCACTTGGGATTTAAGTTTATTGAATGATACAATGAGAGTTAACGTGTTTCTTGAAACCACCATTAGCAAATGGCTACCTCCCTTTCAGAAATATGCTACGAGCTTATGCAGCCAAAGCCATGGGTTGCTTCTTTTATGTAAACAATAGTAACATCATACTGAGTTGTAGTGGCTTCCAAATTGTGTTTCAGGGCCTGAGCCACTTCTGTCTGGATAATTTAATATGTCCCCATTAACCCCTGTATGCAAAATAATGACTCCAAATTCTGACTTTGGCAGGTGTTGGAAAATCATTTTCACTGTCTATATTTTAATGTCATCTTTTCCACATAGCTGATCACCAAAATAGTTGATAGGAGGGGGCTTACAGTTGGAGACCAGTATGCTGGGTGAGAACACTGTGAGCGTGTGTGTGCATGTGGGTATGCTCTGTATCGTGTGCCTGTGTGGTGTGTGTGTGTCTCTCTGTGTCTACATAGTCCCAGCTACTGCAGCCATCCCTGTGGCTCTGCAGGCTGAACCCATAGAAGCACACAGCTGTGCATGCAGCTGGTTAGTGACGTTGCCACGTGTTCCCTTTGCTGGGGGCACAGGGAGGGACACTGAGCCACAGAGCAGGATGGAAGGCAGCCTGCCCGGCTCCCAGGTGCAGAAGATGGCCAGGTTCTAGGAGGTCTCTTGGAAACTGGGGAAGCCATAAGCTGGGGTCGGAATTTCTTTGCAATGAAAATCTCCATAGGGTGGGTGCTAAAACGCTCCCTGATGAGGGAGGCCACCCAACACTGTCCCTGTCACACATTGGCTGAGCCCTCACCATGTAATATTCTCATCAAAATTTGTTTTTATGAAATAGACAATACATGCTATTTTAAATATAAACTAAAATGATCGTCCTGCCTTGTTACAAAAATAACACTAATGGATATCACTTTGTATTTTTTGTTTCTAGGTAATATTTTTGAAGTGAAACAATTTCACGGTGTATGAAGGCCTTGAACGTGCTTTGCTGTCTTTCTATCGTTTTACGTGTAACATGACAAGGCGTGAGGCCTGCATTGGCGTCACCCTCAGCCCGTCCTTCTTTCCTTTGGATCAAGGACTCTGACTTTCAGGCCGTCAGCTGCTCTGCTTTCAGAGGTGATAAATTACTTTGGAAAGAATTACTCCCTTGCCTCTTGCAAAAACAAGACATAGGCGGGTGTTAATTCATACTTGAGGGTTATCAATGGAAAAGTATAAACGTATGGCCCTGTTTCCACAAGGACAGGCATGATTGAGGGCCGGCAGGATCTAGGAGCTTCCATCAGGCCTTTGACAAAGAGCCCTCGCTCGGGGGTCACCGCGTGTCAGGAGGGGCTGAGTTACCGCTTCTCATCTTCCACTTGCACCCCGACAGAGTGGTATTCCCGCAGACCGCGGCTCTCCGTGTCAGAATCTGTGGCCGTTTCCACCTAATTCAACAGAGAACGTCTTATTTTAGAACTGAAACATGGGGCCTGGGCAAGGGACTATTTTGTTGTTGTTGTGGATTTGCTGTAATTAATTACGCATTTGTTTAATTAATGCAGCGGTGCACTTGACCCAGTAAAACCGCAGAGAGGGAAATGCATTCACACTGGAGTAATTACATCACTCCTGCGTCTCATCACATTTTACATAACTACCTGAACTCAAGGCTGCAGTTTGGTCTTCTAAATGTATGCAAATAAAACTGCTTAGTTCAGCTCAGGCAAAAAATAGGTGTTGTTGAACTGCATTATAACAGGACTTAAAAGCTCTTATCACGCCCTATGGTGAAGAAAGTACAGCATGAACCAAACACAGCTAATGACAACAAATAAGCGATTTAAAAGACTTATACTGATGGCTGCATCCACGTACAGAAAGACACAGAAAGGAATTTCAGCACTGATCAGAAACAGAGGCAAACTCTCCACCTTCATCTCCATAGAGCTGTCTCACGTCTGCTAAGAGGATGGCCAGCAGGGTGACGTCAGATCAGAACAGAAATCATGTATTCCACAGAGAATTCTGATTGTGGCTGTATTTGCCAAAAAGTCCCCACAAACCCAACAAGCCTTGCAATGATCATCAGCTATGTGAAGTTATCCCACAAGGGAATTCTAGTACAGTACGTTCTCTAAAAAAAAAAAAACAAAACCAAACCAAGTAGGAAAACTGTGAAACCAAAGGTTAGTTAAGCCATTGATATGATTCCAGGCACTCAGTCATTCCTCTTTCCAGAAAAGTATTACCTATTGTATCAAAAGGACTTTTGAGCCCTCTCTGAAGTGTCATAGCTAAGTTATAAAATCTCTCCCTTCTTAAAAATATTACTGATCACTACAAGGAAAAGGTGCAAAGCATGAAATATTTCTGACCCTGTCCCCTGTGAGGCAAGAGAGAGGAGCTGCACGTTAACATTTGAGTTGCCCTTTGTGACTATCCTAAGGTTAAGCCTGTGTCAACGAGGACTGGCTCAGATTTGTGGCTAAGAGAGGTACTGATGGTAACAGCGAAGACTTATTTGGTGCGTACCCTGCGCCAGGCACTAGGCTGAGGTTCCAGCGTTATCACGTGTAATCCACACAATAACCCCAAGGATGTTTCCAGCCCCAGGAGAGAGCTGGGGGATCAGAGGAGGGGGGTGACTTGCTCAGGAGCGCGCCCTGGTTGGGGTCAGGGCTAGGGCTCTTGCCGGGATCTCTCTGACCCCAGAGCCGGGTGCCGCACAGAAGACAGAGCGCGAGAAAACCCTGGAGCTCTCGGCCGCCGCCGTGGATCCAGGGGAACGGACAGAGACGTCCACTTTCACCGGGTGTAATTCTGAAGACAGGCGCAGAAGCGGTCCCGAGACTGGGATGCGTGTTTGCAGAAGCTGACCCTAGACTGGGATGCGTGTTCTGATAGCTGGGTGAGACGGGCTACAGGAGGAAGAACATTCTTGAGTGAAGATCCTGGCCTTCCTGTCAGAATTTACCATTCCCGTTTCTAGTGTTAAGTGGGTCACGACTTTATTAAACCTTACCTTGCTCGACATAAACATGATCAGTGTTATTTTACGCAAAGGATTGTAATACAATTAATACATTTAAAATTCCATGTCTGTACATATGGAGCTGCCTCGTGTTTTAAGTGCAAAGGATTCCATTTTATGAGTATAGCCTAGTGCATTTAATGAGCCTTCAGTGCAGGGGAAATTTGGTTATTTCTAGTTTTCTGCCATTATAAATGATGCTGCTATATAAATACATGTCTGTACTTGTGTGAAAACTTCTCTGAATATATTCACCAGATGGGAGGTCTGGGTCAGAGGTATTTGCACTTTATAATTTTGGTAGATATTGCCAAATCTGATATGAGTGAAATAAATGAATACTTTTAAAGATATTTTGTAAAAGGAACACTCGTTTTTATCATAAAAATGTGGAGAATATTTGTCTCTCTCACTTATTCTATTTCTAGGAATCCAGCCTAAACAAAGGACCTTAAATTCTGACCAGTGTGTGAGGTGTTCATTGCAGCATTATTTATAAAGTAGCACCTGGGGAGAATGAGGGTGATACAGTGGGATAGGAATGTGCAGTAAGTCATGATTTACTTGTGACACGGAATACTACACAGCAGTGAAAACAATGGAGCTGGGCATGGTGGCTCATGCCTGTAATCCCAGCACTTTGGGAGGCTGTGGCAGGAGGATCACTTGAGCCTAGGCGTTAGAGACCAGCCTAGGCAACATGGCAAGACCCCATCTCTACAAAAAAAGAAATTAGCTGAGTGGTAGCACCTGTGGGACAAGCTACTCGGGAGGCTGAGGCAGGAGGATCACTTGAGCCCAGGACACTGAGGCTGCAGTTAGCTGTGATTGCACCACTGTACTACATCCTGGGCAATAAAGTGAGAGAGACCCTGTCTCTAAAAAATAAAGATGGTTCTAAAGATAACCTCAAGAATGCTTATAATACAGACTTTAAAGAACACAGGTTGACAGGTGCCATGGACAACAATGACCAGGGGCATGCACAAGCATAGAGACACTCGCAGTCACAGGCATGTTTGTGTACCATGAAAAAGAAAAATATAACAAAAGTAAAAGGAAGTTTTCCTTCCTTCCTCTGTCTCCAAATTTCCTCTAATATATTTTTGTTATTTTTTATAGTGAATTTGAAAAATACAGTTTTTGGAGCTGGTCAGATTCTGCTACTTGCTGGCCATGCAACTCTTAGGAAACTCTTTTAAATTTTGTTGAATCTTTGCTTCCTTGTTTCAAAGAGGGGACACCCAATGCCTCAGTTAACTGATGTAAAACTCTCAGCCTGAGGCCTGACTCAAGTAGGTTCGTCCACAGCAAATGCAAATTCCCTGTTCTCTCATCCCAGCTTTAAGGACGGTCAGGTGAATAGTGGTATGTATATTACATTAAAGGCACACGCATATGATGAACTGTGCAGATTTTACCCTGGCTGTCTTTTATGAAATCTTTCTAAGTAAAATGAAGTTCTCCATTGCTGGATGGTAAAGTCTGAAGGGGACATGGTAAAATCATACTTGGCCAGGAGGAGCTAAGTATTTATCAATTTCAGAAATCCTGGGCATAGAGAGGCTTCATGTGAGACAGAAAAGCAAGTCTGGGACAAAGAAAATAAATTATTTTATACAATGGAAAGGTAACTCAAGAGTCTTTTCCAAAGGAAATTCTGACTAGAATTGCAGTGGGAGCACACTGGCTCACATCTATAATCCCAGTGCTCTGCAAGGCTGAGGGGGTAGGATCACTTGAGCCCACGAGTTTGAGGCTGGAGTGAGCTGTGATTGATTGCACCACTGCACTCCAGCCTGGGCAACACAGCAAGCCCTCATCTCTTAAAGTTTTGAAAAATATATGGGTGCAAGAAAAAAAGATGAATGAGCAAAATCACTGTCCCACCTCCCATGCAGTCCCAGGCTAGCAGCGGCGTCAAAGCCAACCAGCCTCCTCTGAGCCCAGCTTCTGTAGGGCTGCTGAGAAAATGAAAGTGGGCGGGGCTGGCAGCAGGAACCGCTCACTAGTAATACTGGGCCAGGGTGCCAATCTGTAATCTTTGCTCTCCCAACAAGCTCATTTTCCGCTCTTCCTTCAACACCTCACACATAGCAGGGCAGGTGCCCTGAATCTGATGCAAACTCCTGTTTATTTCCCTCTGAGACGTGCTCTGCCTCCCAGAGCTACAGGTGAGTGGCCGGCCCTGCCTGTGAGGCTTTGAGCTCTGGGGCAGCCATGAGGAAGAGCAGCTGCCTGTGAGGCTTGGAGCTCTGGGGCAGCCATGAGGAAGAGCAGCTGCCTGTGTGCCTGGAGAATCAGGCAGACACTTTTATCACAGGCAGGACATTCAGAATGGACAGCCGCAGAGTCTTTTCCAGGCTGCCCCTGCCTTCTCACAACCTGGTGAGATCACAGAATAGAAACTGATCTCCTTGGCTGGGCATGGAGGCTCATGCCTGTAATCCCAGCACTTGGGGAGGCTGAGACAGGTGGATCACCTGAGGTCAGGAGTTTGAGAGCAGCCTGGCTAACATGGTGAAACCCCATCTCTACTAAAAATACAAAAATTAGGCGTGGTGGCACATGTCTGTAATCCCAGCTGCTCGGGAGGCTGAGGCAGGAGAATCATTTGAACTCAGGAGGTGGAGGCGGAGGCTGCAGTGACCTGAGATCGTGCCACGCACTTCAGCCTGGGCAACAGAGTGAGACTCCATCTCAAGAAAAAAAAAAAAAATTAAAAATAAAAAACAACAACAAAAAAACTGATCTCATTTATAAAGGTGGGATTCACAAGGCACCAGGGACAGAAGGACCCTGAATGTTAGACCAGGCCTCCGTCCCTCCTAACCGCAGTATCTGGGAGCTGTAAACATTTCCCAGAGTTGCCCAAACACACACATGCACACAAAAGAGAATGGAAAACTTAGCAGGAGAGACAAACCGCAAAGGATAAAAACGAAAGTGAATACACAAATGGTCCAATTGGAATGAAGAAAAGCGAGGTCAGGCCAGACCGGGTCAGAGGACGTCTCCGAGGTAGCTCAGCCATGCCCACAAGCTCTCCTCCTTATCCTAGGACTGGCCTATGAGTGCCAAGGCTGGAGCCCATTCTCTCCTACGGGCATCTGGCCTGCAAATCTGGAGCTGTGATGAGACCTGTCTGTGAGTCCTGCTGTAAGGGCCAGACTCAGGTGGCCGGGGCCAGACATCTGAGGAAGAGGGGACTTGCCGCTGGCTTCTGCTCTAAGCTGGGCAGGGAAGGAGGACGGGGGCCATAGGAGGTGTGAGCTGAGGACCCTCACTCACTAGGGATCACGTTAGACGTAGCCCAGTAATTATAATGAGAATCCTGAATTCAAACCCTGATAGTAAAAGGTCATGCAATGCACTGTGAACAAGGGAGTTGCATTGTGGGACAGGACCCCCTGCCCCGGGACAGGACCCTCCTGGAGCTGTCTCTCCATGAGCCAGTGACTCACAGAGGGCGTGAGCTCCACAGAAGATGTGTTCAGTGACGTGGACGCTGTTCATTTGTAGGAATGACATTCGCAGAACACAGATTCTCCTGCTATCTGCACTCAGACAAAACTGTGCCCAAAGGTCCCGGAAGCCAGTCCCATTGAATGCTGGTGGAACACGGGCTAGCCAGCTTTGTCTATGAGCTGCAGAACAGCGTGACACCTGCCCTGTGTCCCAGAACAGGAACAGAACCAGGGCAGGCTCCTGAGGGCACGGAATCATTCTGGGATTTTCTCCTCTTTGAGAAGCAGAGCAGAGAGGGGTGGAGTGGAGTGCAGGCTCCAGTCTCGGCCGCTGCCTTCACTCATGGCCTTGGCCGTGAGCCCTTAGGCAAGTCACTGACCCTCCCTGAGCCTCAGTTTTCCCATCCATAGTCTGGGCACAATTAACAACCAGCACACAGGGTTATTGTAAGGATTAAATGGTGCCTGGCAGGGACGTGGCCACCTGTCCACAGCCTGCTCACTCTTGTCCCAGCCTGTCACCTCCTGCCCTGGCAAGGCTGCCGTCTGCAGCTCCCCTCCTGACGCCTCCCTGAAAGAAGGAACCCGTCTTTCATCTGCTCGATTCCTTCTTTTCCTCCCCTTTACTCCTGCAGTGGCTTCAATTCTTTGGCTGTTTTCCTTATCCTGACACTGGAGCTGCTCCAACTACATTTTCTCTGTAGCTTTTCAATTCACTTCCTTTGGATAATTGTGAGACCGCCAGCTCACAGGATGCACAGAAAACACACAGGATGTTGTGCGTTTTTTTTTCTTACTGCCATGAAAGGTGACTTCGTCATCCACCTACATTCCTGTCTTTGCATCCATCCTCACCCAGCACGCACCCAGCGACCCATCCGTCCACTCCCTTACCCAACATTTACTGAGCACTCCCTATGTGCCAGGCACAGTGCTGGGTGCAGGGTGGCAACAGGCTGGGGGTGCAGTTCCCTCTCACAGGACACAGTGTGTGGGGCTGGGGTCCAGAGAGGCCTCCGGGAAGGGGTAAAGGCACAGGCTGAGCTTTGCAGGGGAAGCTGGGGGGATGAGGAGAAGCCTGTACTCAGCAGAGGCTGCCATGCCAGGGGTGGGAGCTGGGAGCGGAAGAGGGCTGACCACGGAGGGGTGTGGGGTCCTGGCTGTGGGCGGGGCAGGAAGCGGCGGCACTGTGCCGAGCGTGCTGACTTAACTGTATGAGTTTCCAAAATTATGTCCCACTCATTTCAGATAAAGTCGGTACTGCACGTGCTTAGAAGTTGGCACTGCCTCAGTCGTGGCTGGGTGGATATCCTGGAGGGCACCTGTGGGAGGTGGCTGAGGAGAAAAGAGAGAGGGTGGGAGTGTCTGGCAATGGGAAGTCACCTGGCTAATTTGGGGGCCTCTCCAGTCTCTACTGCAGACGTGACCCTGGAGACGGAGACGGAGACGGGCGATGGCACCCTAGCTTTCCTGCTTACCGGCGCCGGAGCCCAGCGAGGCCCAGGGCTGCAGGCAGGTTAGGGACCCCGGTGAGCCCCTTGTCCTCATCTAAGGGGGACGGATGGGAGCACCCAGCATAGTGCCTGGCACATAGAATCAGGACAGAGGCGACAAGAGCGGTCGCATGAACATCCAAAAAAGGGAGAGAAAATGAAAGTCATGCGGACGCGGCTTTGGAGCACATTTCGGTACTTACATCTGACCTTGGGTATGGCTGATGCTCTGGGAATTCAGAATCCTAAACAAAACAATGAAGCCACAGTGTGGAGACCTGGTTCGGAGGCCCTGGACCAGCGGGCGGCTCCCCTGCTCTCTCCGCCCGCATGCCTAGCTACCAGCGCCGCACGGGCCCGGCTCTCAGCACGCTCCACTCACCCTCCTCCCTGGGCCGCCCCAGCGGCAATCAAGAATCTGACTGTTAAAGCTCCGAGGAACGCAGGCTGAATGAAGGGGTAAAAGGAAGCAGGAGGTGGGCCGTGTTGGCAGAGGGCTTGACGGCCAGCCCTGCTCAACCACGTCCGCCAGATCCCGGAGGGATGCGCTACCTGACCCAGATCACAGGACAATCTCCCGGCCTCCCTGGGTGCACAACACTGCACCTAAAACAGACTTGCAGAGGGAGGTGCAGCGTGGGCAGGAGCCGGCCAGAGCTCTCCATTCACGGGGAAAGGAACCGTCTGCCACGTCTATATCATGGGTAGACATCTGGGGGCCCAGATGGACGGCGGGTCAACCGTCTGTGGTCTGAAACCATGGATGCAACATCTGTGACCCCAGCTGAGGGGCCTGCCAGCACCTGAAGTTGCTGTGAGCACGTCCAATTTCTGTAGAGAGGAGAGCATGCCCTTCCTTTTACCTCTTCATTCCCAACACCTTTTGGTTTCCCCACTCAATTCTTTGGCCACAATACCGAAAAGCTTTTGAAAAATCAGACTTCAACAGAAACCCTCCCCTTTAAAGCATCAAAACAGTGTTATCTCCATACTCTCTAGGCAGCCTTTGGCCCTTGGAAAACAAGTGGCCCGGAGTGTATTTTTCAGGGTGGCAGGGGACAGGGAGCTGGAACCCCTGGGTTTCCTTCAGCCCTGCACTGGGGTCCGCATCACCTCGGGGGTCTCCCACCTACTCACTGCGCTGGCAGGTCTGCAAGGCGAACGCACAGCCCTGCTCTCAGATTCCACAGCCCTGCTGGGGTTACAGTCAGTGCTAAGGACCCAGGGCCGCTGGTTGGGTTTTGGCTTATTCTAGGCTATTGGCAGGACTGAGTGGAGCGAGGCCCTGACGGGCGGCCAAGAGCAGCTACCTGAATCCCGATGGAGGAGCAGCGGCTCTTGAGGAGCTCCTCCGCCTTGGACACCAGGATGGCCTTGTCGCTGGTCCGCACAGAGCTGCTCTGGCTCTCTGGCAGGTGGCGCTGGGCAGCGGCCGTCTCCAGCGCGAGGTTCATGGCCTTGTTGCTGTCCAGGCTGTCCGTGGAGTTGTAGAGGCCGCGGCTGTCCTGGGGCCACGGGGACATCCTCTGTGCGCGGCTGTCCTGGTAGGCGTCCTGGGTGGATTCGGTGCTGCTCTGCGCCGTCACCGAGATCAGAGGCTTGGAGGTGGTCCGAGGGGGCACCGGTGGGGGCGTTTTCTTGTAATTTGTATATGAGACAGCTGTAAGAAAAGAAAGTCCCAAGTCAACAGGCGTGTTCTTCCCCGTCAGCCTGTGGTCTACTGTTTCCCCACGCCCATGCCCTGTGGTTGACGGAGCAAGTCTGTTCCTGGACGTCTAGCCTAAAAAAATAGCGTGAAATGAGGGGACAGTGAGACAGCACACATGAATATACCTGTAACAGTGCAGGATTATAAAAATACCAGCAAACCCAGCTGCAGAGACACAGCTAAGCAAGGTGCGTCCCTGCAGGACAGCACACAGGCGTGGCATCATTTAAAAATACCGACAAATCCAGCAGCAGAGACACAGCTAGGCAACGTGCGTCCCCTCAGGACAGTGCGCAGGTGTGGCGTCATTTAAAAATACCAACAAATCCAGCAGCGGAGACACACCTAGGCAAGGTGTGTCCCCGCAGGACAGCGCACAGGCATGGCATCATTTAAAAATACCAGCAAACCCAGCAGCAGAGACACAGCTAGGCAAGGTGTGTCCCCGCAGGACAGCGCACAGGCGTGGCGTCATTTCTACGCAGGTCATGTCATCGTGGAAAATGCTGATTCTATCACACTAGGTTCAGAAGCAGGCCGGATGCTAAACTATGCATAGGTCAAGATGGAATCTATTTGTACAGGAAACCTGTGTGTGAGAAGAGGTCACCAGCACCTGAAGATGTTAATCGCGGCTGCTGAGTGACAGGATGGGCACTGTCTGCTCTTGGGCTTGTGTGTTTTTCTAAAAATCATTATAACGAATAGCTACTGTTTCTGTAACGGAGAAAATATATAATAGCAGAAACTTATTTGCTTCCCTATAAGTACAGGCTCCATAGGTTTAAGTTGTAGGAAGACCACCGGAAAGGGGCCAGCTCTATGCATCTGAGCTGGGCCAGGCCACGCTCACCTGTGGCCGTCACCAGCCAGTCTCCTCCCGAACTCGAGTTGCATGGGGCATTCTGTACCACCGGCTGTACAGCTGGACAGGCCACCAAAGCAAAATAAATGCATCCGGAGATGATGACTGTATTAAATAACTCTTAGAGCCTACCAAAAATGCATGAGGCACCTTGGCCTGGACTCAGGCTATAACTTATTTTTATAGAGAGGATGAACTCCCTAACACTCTCCCTCAACAGGAATTGGTTGTCCGTTACAGTCAATTATTTTCCTTTAGTGCACAGGAAGAGCTGATAAAAGTGCTTCTTGAAGGGAATCTGCTCCCCTCATCAGAGTGCAAAGCAACCACCACCCCACCCCTGCCACACACACACAGTGGGAGGCACTGCCAGGCTGCTTGTGACGTAGGTGAGTGCGCACGTGGGCGTCTCCTGGAGGGGTCTGAGCGCCGTCTGTGAGGACAGACCGAGCAGCAGTTTTCCCCAAGGATGTCCAGACACGGTGCCCGAGAGCAGCTGCCGGCTGCTGCAGGTGGAAACACATCCTTTCTGTGTCTGCAGGACACTTCCCATCCCTCACCTCCTCCAATCATTTTTAACCCATGAGTGGATTTTCCTAATCCACTCTGACCTCTAATGTCATCCCGAGTTAACAAGGACAAATGACAAAACAAGCCTGCCATTCAGGATGACCTGTGCTTTAAGGCATAATGTTACATATTAACATTTACAAAGTGGAGACTTTTTTTTTTTTTTGAGATGGAGTCTTTCTCTGTTGCCCAGGCTGGAGTGCAGTGGGGCGATCTGAGCTCACTGCAGCCTCTGCCTCCTGTGTTCAAGCGATTCTCCTGCCTCTGCCTCCCGAGTAGCTGGGATTACAGCGCTTGCCACCACACCTGGCTAAATTTTGTATTTTTAATAGAGACAGGGTTTCACCATGTGGGCCAGCCTGGTCTCAAACTCCTGACCTCAGGACCTCAGATGATCCACCCACCTCGGTCTCCCAAAGTACTGGGATTACAGGTGTGAGCCACCACATCCAGCCCAAAGTGGATACATTTGTAAAAAGCATGCATTGGAAAGAGAATCTGAAGCCTAGAAAACTGAGGAAGGATGATCAGATGTTATGAAATCAATCGGGTGCTGAGCTTCTCTTTTACCAGACAAACATTCAAAATCCTGTCTTTTTTTCTTTTGTTCCTGACTTTTCCCTCTAACGTCAATCAATGCCTTAAGCAAAATTATTGAAAACTGACAAGATTCAAGGCACTATTTAGGAGACTCAGAAAGTTCCCAAGACTTCTCCATCCCAAAGGCCAGTAGTGCCGGGGAGAGACCTGGGTTAGGAAATATTTCGTTTTTCCGGGTGGGACGCGTTGGGGACTGCACATTCATCTCACCTTGGCAGGGATGAGGTCCGTTTAAACACTTGCTTCTGATGATGCCTTTCCTGGCAGTGTTTCACAGCGCTGATTTATCAAGGGTGTTGAGTGCGACATGGACACATGGTCAGAGAGCCCGCGGGTGGAGATGTGAGGAGGGCTCATCGATAAAGGGGTTTCCACGTGACAGCCCTGGAGAGTAGGCGGCTGTTTTCATGGTAACCCATTTGTCATGGGTCATTTACAGAAAACAGAATCTTTATCATCAATGACACGTCTTCAGATTCTACGGCTCTGGCCGAAGGCAGGCCCGGTGTCCGCTGCGCGCTGGAGCGAGACTGCGGACGGGGGCTCTCAATGACCTCTCCAGTGGCAAAGCTGGCTCTGCGTTGCTTCTCTTAAGCAGAAATATTGATTCCGAAGAAGTTTTGAGTCCCAGCAATAGGGGTAGTAAAAAATCAAAGGCAACAGAGAGACGCGGGAATATAGATTAAAATGTGACATCTGCCTTATTATAGTTATATTTTTCTTTGGCAAGTTTGAGATGAGCAGAAAGGTGATATTAAACACGCCAAATTGGTTGGATTTTCCCAGCGAGGTTCACCTAAGCAGTGAACGATGGCACGTATCAAGCGTCATAACCATGTCACAACATGTCACAGGCAAATGCAACAGGGAGGAAGTAATCAGTTAGTGACCTGCCCAGAAAATTTGAGCAAATGCATGCAAATTCATCCCCACCTTGGCTCATTATGTGTTTCATAGTTACTCTCAAAGGTCTGTCGCCACTGTTCAAAATCACAGACCTCACTAAGTGTATTTAAGTAAAATTTAAAGAGTCTGAAAAATTTCACAAAACAAGTAAACCTTCCTTCTTGTATGGAATATCTCGTAAATTAAAAAAAATGTATGGGGCAGCTTATGACTTATCTCCATGATCACAGGAAAGTCACATACCACATCTTCTCACTTTATAATGTGTTTGCTACAGGCCGATGAAATGATTTTTTAAACTGATTTCTTTGTAAAAATGTAGTTGCATGCCACACTTTTAAAACAAACAGATTAAGAAGGAGCAGTTCACCTCCAGCGTACAAAAAGAAGAATTTACTACACTCTACCTGGCAGGGCACACACAGTGATTTTTCCTGGATGACAAAAGAAAGACATGATGCTCTTTCTAAGTGTGTGTGCACATGCCTGCCAGGTTGTTCTCAAAACCACTAAAACGAAAACGTGGTTTGAAGCAATTAGCTGTGCTGCAGTGATACAGGGATTATCACTGACTGACTTTCGTAAAAGTTGTGGTTGGAACTTTGTGAAAGAGTATTGTTTTTCACCGTTATCAGCAAGGCTGCAATATTGAACTGAATGTCCAGGTCGAACTGAATGTCCATATGGTTGCTGTTACCATATGGGTTTTCCAGAGACCATTGATAAGGGGGCTGAAGACCCTGGGCTTTCTTCCACGTTGGGCACCGACGTAAAGTGCCTGGCAAGCTTCACTGGTGGATACAACATTGTAAGATTCGCTGATTTCAGGAAGCATTTATCTAGAGCCTAAGAGCCTGGCCCCAGTGTGCTCCATAATCACACTGAAAAGGCCGTCCTGAGAACCAAGGGTGCAGCATCAGAGACTAGGGACGCCCAGAGAGAGACTGGGGTTGAAAGAAGCTTCCTGGGGGTGAGCCTGGCCGTGCCTTGAGATGGATGGAGCTGCTCCTGGGAAGCAGGAGTAGGACGGGCCAGCGGACATAGCCTGTGCCTAGATGTACCCATGCCACCACGGGAAGGGCTAGTAGACGTGGCCTGTGTTGTAGACGCACCGATGCCACCACAGGAAGGGCCAGGTGACACGGCCTGTCCTGTAGATGCACCAACGCTGCCACGGGAAGGCCAGTGGGCATGGCCTGTCCTACAGAAATGCTGATGCTGCTGTGCCCGCACCCACAGCCTCAGCTCTAGAAAGGCAGCCCTGGTGGAGGAGGGTTTGGTATCAGTGGATCAGTTGTCATCAACAAAACCACTATTCTCTGGCATAAGGATACTGCAAACTTTACTTGGATTTCCCCAGCAGTCTGCAGGCTCCTCTGGGGGCTGAACCGACTGGTCACATTAGTGCTCTGGGGATACGGCCTGACTTCTTCTTTTCTTTACAAGCGTCATGGAGTTTTCCTCAAACTATTTACCTTCTGGCAGAAACAGCAAATGACCATTCTGCCGTTCTCTCTTCCTCTAAATCAAAACATGCGCTGTGATGCTGGAACGCTTGTTTTGCTCTGCTTTCCTCTGGTGATTTAATATCTTGAGATGATTTTTACCACTCCCTGCAGTTGAGTTTCACTTACAGGATCCACAGACTCACAGGCAAGTCACAGCTGTCAGACCAAACCTCCCCTGTGAGTCGAAGTTAACCATTACGCTCAGGGCGCAGGGGAAAGGGGGGCTTCTCGGTCCTTTCCTGCAAAATCTGTGGACAGGGAAATCTCACACACTTCTTTCTGGTTCTATTAAATCAATCTTTCTTGCTTCAGACATGAAAGCATGTCATCATGTGATCTTGGAGAAACTGCCTTCCCTCTGTCTGAGGGTGCTCTGCGGTGTCCGGCGTCTCACGAAGCGGAGATAAGCATCCAGAGAAGCTGGCGAAGACGGGTGCACAGTAAGGGCGCTGTCACCACCGGGTCCCCAAACAGCACTGGCCGACTCCACCATCAAAGGAGAGAAGAAAATGCCAGCAGCAGCTGCAAACTTGCCACCACCCCTTCATTTCTTCAGTATGAGAAAGAAAAGTCACCTTGGAGTGCGCATGTGCATGTACACACACACTCACACCCCACACTCACACGTGTACACACACACAGTCATACCCCACACTCACACGTGTACACACAGGCACACATCCCCCACACTCACACATACACACACACACCCCCCACACTGTGTACACACAGGCACACATCCCCCACACACATGTACAAACGCACACACACCCCACACTATGTGTACACACAGGCACACATCCCCCACACTCACACAGGTATACACACACACACACCCCACACTCACACATGTACACACACAGTCATACCCCACACTCACACATGTGTACACACACACACCCCACACTACGTGTACACACAGACATGCATCCCCCACACTCACACATGTACACACGCGCACACACCCCACACTCACACGTGTACACACAGGCACACATTCCCCACACTCACACATGTACGCACACACTCACAGCCCACACTCACACGTGTGTACACACACACCCCACACTCACACATGTGCCAGGCACTCTGTGGAGCACGTTATACTTTGCAGTTCATTAAGCTTCAGAACAACCTTGTGGGGTAGGCGGTCTTGGCATTTGCATATCTTGGAAGAGAAGGTCTAAGTCTGAATGGGCTTAAACCTCTTCCTGACATCAGCCCACAAGAAAAATGGTAGAACTGAGATTCAGATGCTTCTCCAGTTGTTGGTTATAATGAGTCTAGTTTTCTTTTTTGTGACCATTTACATAGCAGAACCTTATTTCTCATGACCTGATCTAGTGTTTTCTCATTTAAGAGACGGGTCCAAGAGTGCACGTCAGAATCCTTGCCCACTGCAAAATTCAATGAAAGAGGCACTTATTTCAGCAAGATTTATGGCGGTTCCAGGTTTCCTAAAAACAAAAAATCAAAATGCCTTTGGTGGCAGAAGATATTTTAAAGATTATACCCTGACACTCCATGACCCAAACTGTTTAAAGGGACTATTAACTAATGGGCTTAAGCCAGAGTAAGAGGAGATTATATGAAATGGGCTTTCAATTCCTTAAATCATACCAAATCAATGAAAATTATTTTGGGAAAGAGGCCTTCGAATATTTGTTTATTGGCTTGATGATATATTTTCCTGGTTCATAGGAAAGGTGTGTGGGACCCACTGTTTTCCAAAGCATCAGTTCATCCCTCATGACCTATGGGCGGAAGACCCTTTGCGGCAGCCCTGTGACTGTGACTGTGTACTTCCCCTGAGGTCTTGCTGTGGCACAGCACACAGGCTCACCATACTGTAAGGAGCGTGACCGTGTTCTTCCCCTGTGGTCTTGCTCTGGCAGAGCACCCAGGCTCACCATACTGTGAGCAGCGGGCTTTGCAGGAGATCTGGCTCTCTGTTTCAGCTGAGTGATGGTGATGACACCGGCTGAATTGTCCCATAGGGCGGATGTTTATGGGTTTCTTTAGATAAACATAGAAACTGACCCTCCTAGTCTTGAAACCTGAGAAAGTTACATCTGTCTTATCTGAGTTCCTTTCTAAGGACAGCAGCCATCAGGCCTCCCAGATAGCATCATGGAGCTCCAATTCACCAGATCACTGCATCTAGACAATGAGACCAAAGACCTCACATCCACTCTGACTGCCCAACCCATCATCTGCTTCCTGGTGGCCGCCTCTTCCTCACAGCTCCCTCATTTCTGTTTTCCCATACATGGTTACATTTCTTCCCTGCTATATAAACCTCTAATTTTAGTTTGCCAGGGAGATGGATTTGAGATGGATCTGCCATGTCCTTTCCTGCAGCATCTGATGAAAGCCTTCTTCCCTGGCAATACTCGCTGTCTCAGTGATTGGCTTTCTGTGCAGTAAGCAGCAGAACTTAGACCCAGCTTCTGGCCTTTTGTCAACAGTGATGTTACTCCCTGCCTCTTCTCAGTGCTCCTACTGGCCATGTCAACATAGTAGAGGCCATGGAGAACAGGTGGTCATGCACCACACAGGTCTGCAGCCCCCACCACCATGAGGCGCAGCACCTCAGCGGGATGAGGAGAAGCTGGGCCCAGCAGGCTGAGAATGAGAGCTCTCCTGGGGCTCCAACGTGAACAGGAAGAAAACCAGCTTGAAAGGCTTTGAAAAGGATTTCTATTTAGACAACGTTTTCTTGGAAAGAGCTAGAGCTTGAACACTTGTGAACTGCCAGTCACTGCTGTCTTTACATGGATTTGTCCCCTAGCCTCCCCCAACCCTTGCCAGCAGAAACAGGTGAAGTTTCTCCCTGTCTCGTAGACAGGAAGTGCAAGATTCCGGTTCCAGCAGCCTTGTTGCTGAAAGTTGCGGTATTAGCTACGGAATCACGGTGCCGTGTATTCTTCGGTGACACCATTCAAGGGGAAAAGCCCACTATGTTATCAGAACTTCAGGTTCTCTCAAAAACAATTGGGCCATTTAGCTAAAGGACCAAGGGAAAGTTTTGATTGATCATCTGAGGGTTTACCAACCACAGGATCTGAAACGCCATCTCTGCAGGAGGGAATATGTGTCCTGGTAGGATATTTTTAATCCCCTAAAAATATTAATCACTTGTCCATGTAAGTCCCTTTGTTAATGACCCCATGAGAAATCCAACACATAGTTTTAATAGAAATAACTGACCTGTAGCGTTTAAAGAATTGGAAACACTGTAGAAGTTAAAGAAACATTTAGCAATACACATAAAAACTTCCAGGTATGCAGATACCAGACGCATTTTTACATGTGAGTACAGAGGTCAAGGGGGATCTGTGTGTGAAGACCAGGGACAGGCACTTAAAATATATTTTAAATATAGCTTTTGTCATTCTCACTTACAGTGGGCGTATATGCATATAATATAATCCCTCATGCATTCTGAATGGATTGTTTATAGCAGAACAATAAGTTACAAATAATACAGCAGTTATTAAGAAATTATTTTTAGGCAGCTAGAAAAGGTGAAAGATCTTAGTAGAATTTTCCTTTAATGAAAAGCAGCCCTCCAGCCAGAGAGAAAGGTCAGGTTACACACAAAGGGAAGCCCATGAGACTAACAGCAGATCTCTCAGTAGAAATCCTACAAGCCAGAAGAGAGTGGGGGCCAATATTCAACATTCTTAAAGAATTTTCAACCAGAATTTCACAGGCAACCAAACTAAACAAACTAAATAAGTGAAGGAGAAATAAAATCCTTTACAGACAAGCAGATGCTGAGAGCTTTTTGTCACCACCAGGCCTGCCTTATAAGAGCTCCTGAATGAACCACTAAACATGGAAAGGAAAAACTGGTACCAGCCACTGCAAAAACATGCCAAATTGTAAAGACCATTGACACTATGAAGAAACTACATCAACTAACGGGCAAAATAACCAGCTATCATCATAATGATAGGATCTAATTCACACATAACAATATTAACTTTAAATGTAAACAGGCTAAATGCCCCAGTTAAAAGACACAGAATGGCAAACTGGATAAAGAGTCAAGACCCATCAGTGTGCTATATTCAGGAGACCCATCTCATGTGCAAAGACACACATAGGCTCAAAGTAAAGGGATGGAGGAATATTAACCAAGCAAATGGAAAGCAAAAAATAGCAGGAGTTGCACTCCTACTCTCTGATAAAACAGACTTTAAGCCAACAAAGATAAAAAAAGACAAAGAAGGGCATTGCCTAAAGGTAAAGGAATCAATGCAACAAGAAGAGCTAACTATCCTAAATATATACACACCCAATACAGGAGCACCCAGATTCATAAAGCAAGTTCTTAGAGACCTATAAAGAGACTTAGACTCCCACACAATAATAGTGGGAGACTTTAACATCCCACTGTCAATATTAGACAGATCAATGAGACAGAAAATTAACAAGGATATTCAGGACTTGAACTCAGCTCTGGACCAAGTGGACCTAATAGACATCTACAGAACTCTCTACCCCAAATCAGCAGAATATACATTCTTCTCAGCACCACATCACACTTACTCTAAAATCAAACACATAATTAAAAGTAAAACACACCTCAGCAAATGCAAAAGGATGGAAATCATAACAAACAGTCTCTCCGACCACAGTGCAATCAAATTAGAACTCAGGATTAAGAAACTCACTCAAAACCGCACAACTACATGGAAACTGAACAATCTGCTCCTGAATGACTACTGGGTAAATAACGAAATTAAGGCAGAAATAAATAAGTTATTTGAAACCAATGCTTTAGCTGTGTCCCACAATCTCTGGGACACAGAGTTTCTGGGACACAGCTAACACAGTGTTTAGAGGGAAATTTACAGCACAAAATTGTCACAGAAGAAAGCAGAAAAGATCAAAAATTGACACCCTAACATCACAATTAAAAGAACTAGAGTAGCAAGATCAAACAAACTCAAAAGCTAGCAGAAGACAAGAAATAACTAAGATCACAGCAGAACTGAAGGAGATAGAGACACAAAAAAACCTTCCAAACATCAATGAATCCAGGAAAAGATCAACAAAATACATGGACCGGTAGCCAGACTAATAAAGAAGCGAAGAGAGAAGAATCAAATAGACACAATAAAATATGTTAAGGGGGATATCACCACTGATCCCACAGAAATACAAACTACCATCAGAGAATACTATAAACACCGCTATGCAGATAAACTAGAAAATCTAGAAGGGAATGGATAAATTCCTGGACACATACACCCTCCCATGACTAACACAGGAATAAGTGGAATCCCTGAATAGACCAATAACAAGTTCTGAAATAGGCAGTAATTAATAGCCTACCAACCAAAAAAAGCCCAGGACCAGACGGATCCATAGCCTACGTAACAAAACTGCACGTTCTGCACATGTATCCCAGAACTTAAAGTATATATATAAAAAAGTAGCCCCTAAACCGTTTCTTCTTTAAGGGAAAGCTGCCTAAGAAGTCAGGCATAGATATGCAGACTAGGAGCTTTCATATGTAAATGGAGCAGCTGTACCTGGAAGCCAGGTACATTCAATATGGCATCTCCTGCTCGCTTTTGCTTGTCAGTATGTGCAGGGTGTCATGGCAGCCTCCAGGTAAAGCCAGGTATACAGGTATCATGGCAACCAGCCAGGTGGAGGGTGGAGCCCTCATTTGCATAATAAAAGACGAGGGTGGGAGGGCCAGTCTTTTTGCGAACTATGTAAATGTCACATCTGGTCTAACCAATCCCCTGGGCCCTATGTAAGCCAATCACCACCTCCTCAAGCCTCTGTACAGAACCGATTGCATTCTGCTGCAAACGGGAGACTTTCTTTTGGGCGATCTGCTCCCTCAGCATAAGGAAGTCTTTTCTCTCTCACTTCTTTTTCTATTAAACTTTTCGCCCCCTAAAACCATGTGTCCATGTCGTAAATTCTTTCTCGGCTGTGACAAAAGGACCAGGGTTTATACCCCAGACAACGAAGCTGTTTCACTTATATTTTCCTTATATTGGCAATATTTGATTTCTATAATTTAAAAATTATCAGTTGTCCTGGTTAAATAAAAATTGCAGTACATAAAATGATTTTGATATAGAGATTAACATTAAGAAATGATTTCTGAAACATGGAAGTATATCACTGCATCCATTCATTCATTAATCCATTCTTTTGACAAACATTTGTCGTGCCTGTACAGCCCTGTGTGATAGAATTGTAAATCTCTACATGGCTCATTAAAGTTAAAATTGGAGGCTGGGAAACAATAGTAAAGAAAGAATTCAAAATGATCATTTGACCACATTAATTTGCTGCCACAGATTAAAATCAATGAATGAAAGCATTTTACACATTAGAGAAAAATATCCAGCCATTCAGTTGGATGGTGTGGGTGATAATAATCGTCTTCATTCTGTTTCTGTGAGTGCACGCCTAGCATGCGTTTATCACAACTAATCCTTATGAGCTATAGGCTGTGTTATCTATCACTTTCTATATGTATGTCAAACATTAAATGTATTTGAAAATTCAAAATTTAATTTAGCAATGTAATTCTAGTCTACGTCCTTAAAAAGAAGATGAATCAAGACAGAGACAGAGATTACTAAACAACCACATGGGATTATATAAGTGATCAAATATGTATTTTGAAATTAGAAGAAGAAATGATTGTTTAATAACTGAAAGTTTCTGCAGACCTGACCTGACTACTTTCTTTAAAAAAAAAATATCTATTCCAAGCATGAGTATCTGTTTGGTTTTTAAAGCCTAGCATTGGTTTCTTTTACCATGTAAACAACACTATAAAATCCCTGATGATTTTTTTTAAGTGTCTTCCAAATTACAGGGAAATAGATGAAAACATACCTGGGCTTTGTAATTCAATTACTGAATTGGTTTGGATTTTGTTTGTTTCACAGGGATCGCATAAGTTGGTGTCACTCTGAGAATAATGGGGTTGTGATCAGAAGGAACTGTGTAAAATGCTTTGCCTCTTGAGTACTCTGAGGCCAATGGAATGACTTGGGGCACGAAGAAAAGGTTAATCACACTACTTAGGATGGAGAGAGCCACACATACAGTAAGTTTTAGGAAGAATTCCATAAAAATTGCATGAAATGAAGAGTGTTGATGCTTAAAGGAAATGTATTCAGGTGGATGGGTCCCTCCCTGTTAGAGCTGAATAAATGGGGCAGGGAAGAGGTGTGTAAAAACTGACTTTCCTCAGATGTATCTGGAATTGAGCCCACCTCATTTGCAAACCCCTTCTGAAAAAATTGCCCAAATATCTGGAGTCAAAAGGACTGTCAGAAGGGGAGATGGCACAATTGACAAATACGCAGTGGTGGCTGCAGTGTTGGCAGAGTGAAGGGGTGGGAGACTGCTACCCATTGAAAATGCCTACATTCTTAGGTTTACCACAGTTGTGTCAGAAAGGCTCCTTTCTAGACTGCCCTGACCAATAACTTAGCTACTGGCCACAACAAATGGCTCAAACTTTTTTTTTTTTTTGAGACAGAGTCTTGCCCTGTCACCCAGGCTGGAATGCAGTGGCACGATCTCAGCTCACTGCAATCTCCGCCTCCCAGGTTCAAGCAATTCTCCAGCCTCAGCCTCCCAAGTAGCACGCGGTACCACGCCTGGCTAATTTTATATTTTTAGTAAAGATGGGGTTTCACCATGTTGGACAGGCTGGTCTCGAACTCCCAACCTCAGGTGATCTGCCCGCCTTGGCCTCCCAAAGTGCTGGGATTACAGCTGTGAGATGCCACACCTGGCCTCCAATATTCTAAAATATCTGAACACCTAAAATACCATTACACTTGGGTTCCTCTGCGGCACACGCTGTGTGTCCACTGGTCATGGTCAGGTGCGGCCAGCAGCTACCACGCTGGCCTGCCTAAGCGTGGAACATCTTCCTCATCATGACGGCTGTGCTGGCAGCGCTGTCTAGGACATGTCCTGCATGAAGAGGCCATGTCTGGACATAGTTCCCTGAGTGTTCTAACACAGCACATGAAGCAGAGGACTCTGATCATGAAGGTCCTTCAGGTCTTCAAGGTGTTGGGTTAGCCAACCTCGTGGAGGAGATTTTGGACCAAAGCATTTTACTGGAAAGAAGCTCGTGTGAATGAGATGAAAGAAACTGCTCCACAATCTACACTTCCCATGGCTTTGAGGAATCGCAAATGTGAATCCATCATCGCTTTAAACACATGTTTAATTATCCTTCTACACCTGGAATTCTGGACACCACTTCTGAATTCAATGCTTGAAAGTCATTTGCAAACCAAACGGGAATTTGAAAATTAGCATTCCATCGTATAAGGCACAAATACGTAATCAAGATAAAATATCCCTTGAATGGCAAGCATTGCCATTCTATTTGAATGTAACAGCCACACTTGCATTCATTGCACTCTCTTAATTAGAACTTCAAGGATGATAGCATAAAAGGAATTACAGTCATCAAGCCCATGACTGTCTGAATGAGAGAATGAATATTGGACAAACTAAACTTTCAAGGCAAAAGATTCAACATAGAGGATCAAAGCCATTTTGACACTTTAATTAATGCTAGTCACAAAACAGAAGAATAAATCAGACAGGACACAGAAGTCACATCCCACAAGCATACACACAATGGTTTTCCTGAAGTTACAAGAAATTATGTGGGCCCCACAAGTTCTGGGGCAACGTTGATAGGTTAGCAGCAAAGATGTCTATTTTGAATGTGTTAATTAGCAAGAAATTATAGTCTCACCAGCATTTAACATGTAGACAGTAAAATGAAGTGATGTCAGCTGCTCTGCTGTTCGAGACACTTCCTGTTTCCATTGAAAAGGTTTGAACATCACATCACACGGCGAGAACTTGTATTTTCTGAAGAACACTGAGAATGAATCAACGTTTAGTGAACGGAAGAGTCACATGTTTCTAAGTATAGAATTTTGAATGTTCAAAGGGCCAGGTAACAAAACTAAAGGATAACCCAGAAAAGGAATGCATCATCAGTGATGGCGCACACTGACTTTTAGGATGATTTGACATCAACACACACAAAAAACAGAAACATATCAGCAACATAGTTTGGCTCCTTCCCAATCCAATTGATAAGTAGGACACAATTATGTTCCAATTCTTTTTTTTTTTTTTTTTTGAGACGGAGTTTCACTCTTGTCACCCAGGCTGGAGTGCAATGGCATGATCGCAGCTCACTGCAACCTCCGCCTCCTGGGTTCAAGTAATTCTCCTGCCTCAGTCTCCCGAGTAGCTGGGAGTACAGGCGCTTGCCACCATGCCTGGCTAATTTTGTATCTTTAGTAGAGATGGGGTTTCACCATGTTGGCCAGGGTGGTCTCGAACTCCCAACCTCAGGTGATCCACCCGCCTCTGCCTCCCAAAGTGCTGAGATTACAGGCGTGAGCCACCATGCCCGGCCATGTTCCAATTCTTTAAGAATGCAAAGCTTCTTAGATGAAAACATGTTTGAAAGGAATAATTTTTCCAGTGGAAAAATGAAAAGACCAAGAACTGGAGGATGCTGGTGGGCCTGTTTTTTGAGATGCTGTGAACTGTACAGGAGGTAGCATTTGTTACACATCTTCACAGTCAGTGTGTCTCTCCATGTGTGCATGTGTGTACACGGGACACCTAATTGTGAATGACATCTATACTGAAGTTGTATCAGAATGAAATCTTTACTACCAAGATTTCAAGGGAGGGCTAATTCTGTAGGTGGTATTTTATTTGATGATGAGAGTTTATTTTTACCATGCACATGGCAAATAGTGAGTGCGCAGACATTGATCCGTCAACTAACATACCTGAAGTTACTAATGTCTCTCTTTCTAAGGATAAGGAAGTGACCTTCAATTAAAAAATTAATAAAACAATAAAGCAAAGGCAACTGACAAGAGTTAAGACCGTGTTACCTCTGACTTACACCTCAGAGTCAAATGAATATATCCTAAATCATGTCAACGTCTCCCATAAAGCTTGATCAGAAGGTTGGAAGGTCCCAAACCCACACTATGGATGTCATAATCTCAATCTTAAGGTGACCCTAATGGAAAAGGAAATACAGGAGTCCGCCCCTGCAGTTCACAGCCCAAGCAAATACAGGAATCCACCCCTGCAATTTACAGCCCAAACATCCTGACTTGCCCTCTGCCCACGGATCTGAGAGACGGACCCATCAGAGGGCTGCCGTTGGTCCTGCCAATAAATCAGGGCTCCTTGCACTGAAGTTGCTCTGTGAACCTCCAGAGCCTATGTGGATCAGTAAGCATCAGTTTGAGCTAGCTGAGCATGAACGACACCTGTGGGTCCAGGAAGCCGGCAGCCTTGAGAGCAGTGAGGGTGTGGGATGGCCACGGGATACCCGGGCTCGGTTCTGGCCCCGCCACAGGAAGCCCTATGACCCCAGGCACCTGCAGCCTCCCAGTGAGCGGGGTGAGGATTGTCGGCTCCCTACCCCACCCGCAGGGCCAGCACCAAGAACCAATGCAATGCCAGTGTCTCCAGGCACCAAGAACCAACGTGCTGCCCGTGTCTCCAGGCCTGGCAGCATCTGCGTGGTGAGGATTGTCGGCTCCCTACCCCACCCACAGGGCCAGCACTAAGAACCAACGCGATGCCACAGTATCTCCAGGCCTGGCAGCAACTGGGCACTCCTTCTTCATCCTAATCGTCGAAATAGATGTGTTTCAAATCCCCCATTTACAGTGGTACCCTGAAAATGAAGAGCTTCTAACAAAATAGAGAAAGGCCCATGACAGTCCTCTGGGTCACCAGGAAATTGAGACTCTCATGGGCCCAAGGCAAAGGGCATATGGACCGGAGAGGCTGGCAAGATAATTGCACAATGAGTCATCTGTGGCACAGCCTTGAGATACGAACGCTGATGGGATGATACATAGACCAAGGAGGCAATTTACTTTGCTTTTCAGAAACTGCTCATAACATTTTGGTTCGCCAGCTGGTCTCATTACTGTCTGTCTCGCAGGTTATTCTTTATTTTAAAATAAAGATCTGACCCTGACTTCAAGAATGACAGAAACAGACGATGCAAATTCCATAAGGAATGAAAATAAGTTTTACATAAGTGCACAGAAAGGACTGATTCATCCATGTACATGTCCCCAAAAATCTACGGACCGCCTACCACTTCCTAGGTGTCGTTGACCTGACAGAGGGTTTTATTCTCTACCTTGTCTCTGCTCTCCTGGAAACTCAGAAATATCACTCACAAGACCAGGGTTAGTTGCAAGTGGGCAGGAGTGCTAAGGTAGTAGTTCACACAGAGAGAGAATCCTTCTTATTCATTCATTTGTTCCTTTTTTTCACTAAATAAATCAACAAACATTTCTATCTACTATGTGCCAAGCACTGTTCTAGGCACGGGAATTCAGCAGCGAGGAAAACCCGGCCCCTGTGGAACTTATATTCTAGCCAGGGGAGAGACTCACAATGAATGGAACGGATTACTAAAATATACATAACAGGATGAGGAACGTGGTGGGCTCACACACACTCCAGGAGGAATGTCATTAGCATCTTCACGTAAGAACCTCGGTGTGCGTAAAACCCAATCTCCTTTGCTGCCTACACCAAGGGTCTAATGTAATAGTTCCTTAGCACCAGGTTTATGGAATCATTTAGGAAAGAAACACAAATATCTCTTAATTCTACACCTGCATGTTAAAGAGTGTATGACCAGAAAAAAACCAACTTAATTCTCAAGGAAAAAGAGAAAGCCTCACTGGGCAAGTGGGGCTTGTAGAAACGAGCTGTGTAGGTGCCTGGGGCAGGCTGCCTGCCCAGCCCGGCTCCGACGAGGCTCTGAATGCTGCCTCATGCAAAGGCTGGCTGGCGCTGAGGAATGTCTGACCAGAGGTGCAGGCGGGGCTTGCCTCGGGTGGTCACACACAAGACTGTGTCCCTCCATCACTTCGTTTTTTTTTAACTTTTCAAATTTACTTCTGATGAGCACATACCCAGATGGAAAATACAATCAGAAGGATTTTTGCTGCCTGGCAGTTGCCTTGTAAGTCAGACATCTTCCCCTGTTATTTCACATGGGGAGGGCTACACAGCCCGTGGTGGTTCTGTGAACGCAGAGAACGGAGCTAGGGGCTTAAGCCGTTGGAGCTGTGGGCCAGGCAGGAGCCCGGCAGGAGTGGGGTGGTCATGGCAGGGCATATTCCAGAAGGGATGGACGCCCCAGCCGCCATGTGCTGGAGCTATGCCCGCTGCCCCTGCTTTAGAGAAGCAGCTCAGTTGAGGATCTCAGCCTATGTTGTATGCCAGGAACTTCCAGTCTCTTGGTGATGGGGGAGGTAACTAGGGGAGCTGGATCCCTCACCAGCAGCTGGTGCCACAGCAGAGAGCTGCTCTCTGCAGGAACCTCGGGATTTGGAACTTCCAAGTGGACGTGACCATGGCTGCTGACGGGGCCAGCGCTTCATTCGGTTGGGCTCAGGGCACCCTGTGAAGAAGGGCCACACAGAACACACAGAATCTGGTGGGTCAACATTTCCAGCCACATATGTGTGTGGCTCTTGCTTCAGTCCTGGCCCTTCTGCTGTGAGGCAGAGGTGGGGAGGAAGAAATATGGTATCTGAGTGTTTGCAAAGAATTGGTAAACCTGTTTATCTTCAGAATGTGGACCCTGGATGGTACGTTTGAGAAAGTGCATACACGTATCTGTTAGCACAGCTCCCCATATTATTCCCCATGTAATCCCAAAATTCCGCTGAGCAGGGGTTTTCTTGGTGGTAGATGCTGGAGGCAGACATGAGAAGCAGCAGCAATGGCAGGAATGTCCGTACCGTCCTCCCATCTCTGCTCCAGCAACTGTCACCCAAGCTTCTGTGTCTACTCTCCTCCCATCTCTGCTCCAGCAACTGTCACCCAAGCTTCTGTGTCTACTCTCCTCCCACCTCTGCTCCAGCAACTGTCACCCAAGCTTCTGTGTCTACTCTCCTCCCATCTCTGCTCCAGCAATTGTCACCCAAGCTTCTGTCTTCTTGGTCAAGAAATGCAGATGCAGATTCTGAGTATCTTTTGAAAAGCACCCAGTATCTTTTTCTGGAATAGCCGAAGAGGACAAATAATTCATTTCTGTTAAGCGCCATCTGCCAGATAACACGGGTGTTTTAGAATACCCTCACAGATAAAACCTCCGTTTTATCGCACACACAGAATAAGCGTGTGAGAGACCACTCCTGTGCCTTATAATTACATCAAGATCTAAGCTTATGCTGTCAATATTTAGAAGAGACAGCAATTTTGACTATTTTATGAATCATAGGACAGTTTATAATCATCCAACACTGATAAGAAGAAGGGACAAAAGTTTTTGAACATGATTATCTCTTCATGTATGTGGAGCTTCTAAATCTATTTCCAATTCTGTTTCCTTTCCTTTTATAAAGTACCTCTCCATTATCTTATACACATCAGGTACTAAATACATATTTGTGAGTTTGTTCAATTGATTGTGTAATTGATCGAAATGGTTATAAAGTAATGACCTGCTGTAAACCAATAAATGGATACAAGAAATACTCGTTTTTATTACAGAAAGAGAGTAGGAGCATATCCTGCCACTGAAAGACTTGGAAATGTAACCTGCCCGCATATTTAAGGTGTGGGGCTTTTCCTCCAGAAATTCCATGAATCTGCAGTTGCCTATGTCAACCATGATCTTTCAGCTGCCTTAGCTAATGAATCTTTTTCTTTTTCTTTATCTTCCTTGTACTCATGGTAACATTTGATATGATCCATCATTCCATTCTTTATTTCTTTCCTTCCTGGCTTCCAAAACCAAATAAATAAATAAATAGAGATACAAATATTCCCCATGATGAATCCACTGGGATTTTCAAAGCTTTCCCATGACTTACGTTTAAAAAGCACAGCACGATCCTCTATCTTAATACCTATGTTAGGATGAAATAAATCCAATATAATTAAATATTTTAGAAAGGAGTATTTTTCCTACCTTCATAGATATTTCCTTCCTATATAACTATTTCCTTACTATATTTTGTTGCCACCTTCTATGTCATTGGAAAATATCAGTAGTGATACAGATCTCACCATCCAAGTACCTAAAACCATAGACCAAACTTGCCAGTTAAATTTCTAGCACTCTGCATTTTTGGTGTTTGAAAAAGCGTTCAAAGATTAATTCAGAGTAATCATTCTCATTTAATCTCTTGCTTTAATTTTGGGAACATTAAAATGGCCTAAATAAATTCTGTTTACCCCAACACCACTGCTGACAATATAAATAGCAATGACTAGACACTGGGTGTTGAGTGTTCTGGTAGCTTTGAAGAAGCAAAAAGAATTTACACACTGGGTATTGAGTATTCTGGTAGCTTTGAAGAAGCAAAAAGAATTTAGACACTGGGTATTGAGTGTTCTGGTAGCTTTGAAGAAACAAAAAGAATTTACTGGTTGGGTTTTTGCTTCAGTTTAAAAATATTTTTGATATATAGCATTGGCTTTTGGACATCTTAAGCTTTAGGTAAAGGCAGTTATTCAAATTCAATGTATACACCTGGATAATTTTTACTTTTCTGGAGAATAAAGTTAAATTTTGAAGCGTCACAGGCAATGATTTTTTGGGCCCCTCCGGACCTCTCCCCAGACATGTGTTCAGACGCCATCCAAGGATGACCTCGTGGTGGCTGCCGATCTGGGAAACGCCTGCACTCCACTCACGTTGCAGAATAAACCTTTGTGATAGGATTTGTAGGTTTTCCCCACAATTCTTCCCATTTCAAGTGAGATCAGCGGTTCTTCTTTTCAGAGATTTCTATGGGAGGAAGCCAACCCCACGATATCCTCTCCATTGGCAAAGATCACCATGACTTTCACAAAAGCCTGTACTCAGTAGAGACATGACTGAGGGGACCAGGGGCTCAGGGAGAGGAGGAAAGAGGCCGGAAGCTGGGAATGATGACAGCCAGAGAAGGGGACCTGCGGGTCTCTGAGCAGCTGCAGAACACGGCCCCTGTCCTGATCATGCCCCAGGGAAGGTCTGCAGACTTGAGCGAATCCTGCATGCAGAAGGGGACCTGGGGATCTCATAACAGCCGGAGGGGACCAATGAGGGGACCAATGGCCTATGACCAGGAGGCTTCCCAGATGCCTCCAAACCTCCTGGGAGTCCTGGTTTTGGTATTGCCTTGGGTTTAACCTGAAATGACAGAGGCTGAATTTCACAGTACACCACGCAGGAGGGGTGGGAACTTAGAATGGAAGTTGATTTAAAAAAAAATGTTATTTCTTGCACATGTCGGTTATAGATAATTGAATCATGTCCACATAGAACATCTGATAAGGATGCATGGGTGCCCCTGAGTAAGTATTGTCCTCAGAAAGGAACTCTACAGAAAAAGGCTCAAGTCGATGCCAAGGCTAACAGCCGAGCACAGTGGAGTTTATAACTTAAACGTCAGAGTCCTCTAAGTTAGGACAAACTCTCAATAGAAAAGGAATTAAAGAGCTTATCAACTGTAAATTTTCAAATCACTCACTCATACGTTGAACCAATATTTATTGAGCCTGGTGTGGCACGGTACACGCACGGGTTAATTTAAACTCATCTGGCTTATCGCCACAGGCCTTGGGCATGGCAGTGACATGAAATGTGGAAGAGATGACCGACGTCTGTGACCGTGGGTTTGTGGATTGTCTGGGGGCAGGATGAGGGATTCGTGCCTTTATAAAGGGATCCTAGGGAACTTCCTCACGCTTTTTCCACCATGTGAGGACGCAGGGAAAAGCTGCTGCCTATGAACAAGGAGGCTGCCCACACTGGACACCCTGACCCCAGACTTCCAGCCTCCATAACTGTGAGAGATAAATCTCTGGGGTTCATAAGCCAGGCAGGCTATGACGCTTCCTTATAGCAGCCGGCATGCAATGAGACAGAGACCCGGCAGGGGACTGGCAGCTCCTGCAGCCTCAAGCGTGGGGAGGGTGGTGTTTCCAGACCATTGCAAGAACTCTTCAGTGATGATAAGCTATCTTGATATTGTTAGCATGAATCTCATAGGAATGTGTTCTGCTGTCTGCATTCATAATGGAAGGAAATTGTAAATTCAAGTTAGTGAAAGTTAGTGAAGATAAAGATGCACTTTTTTTTTTTTTTTTTTTTTTGAGACAGAGTCTCTCTCTGTCTCCCAGGCTGGAGTGCAGTGGCACGATCTCGGCTCACTGCAAGCTCTGCCTCCCGGGTTCACTCCATTCTCCTGCCTCAGCCTCCTGAGTAGCTGGGACTACAGGCACCCACCACGACGCCTGGCTAATTTTTTGTGTTTTGTTTAGTAGAGATGGGGTTTCACCGTGTTAGCCAGGATAAAGGCACACTTTTTATCCCATCTAACTGTGAGCAGCCCTGAATTCATGAATACCTTACGCTAGGGTTCCCTTGGGGTCATGGACTCTAGCTTGGAGACTTCAGTTCCAGATCCAGCAACCAGCTGGGGGACTGTCTGCACTAGTCTCACTGCAGTGTCCTGCTGGAAATTCACAGAGGACTCTGTCCCTGGAACCATCAGTCCACAGGCCTTCAATGGTGGTGGCCTCCATGCCCCGGCACCGCTGTCAGATGAGCCAAAGCCTGAGCCCTGTGTCTGCTGAAGTCCTGGATCCTCCTCCACTGTCCGCTCACCTCTGCCTCTGCCCTGTGCCCTGGCCTTTCCGACGCTTCTCTGGCCTTTCCATCACTTCTCTGTGGTGACAGACGCTGATTAGAAGAAGGGACAAAAGTTTTCGACGCTGGCTTTCCAAGCCCACCTGGGTTCTCCTTTCCAGAAGGGGATTTTGATCCGTTTGCCCTCTGGCCCCCTTCACTCCTGACACACCAGCCTAACTAGTGACCTGTCCCAGCAGTGCCAGCCTCGACCTGTCAGCAGAGACTGTGCCTCTGACACCTGTTTTCAAACAGCACATTGACACTGAGACAGCGGCCTTTATTTTAATGAACATTCCCCCAACACAGCTACAAGGACTGAAGTTTCTGACCTAGCTTTTTAATTTTCAAATTGTTTTCCAGTGTGAAGAGCTGATGGTGAGAATTCTCTTAGTAAATTCTCTGATCATTTTAAATACAGAACCTGAAAAAATACCCTTTAAGGGTATGATATTAGTTGGGGCTTTTCAGAGAAACAGAATTAATGGAACATGGGTGGGATGGATGGACAGACGATAGAGATATAGATGAACACATATAGAGAGAGATGGTAAGGAAGAGACAGACAATAGAGACACAGGTGAATACATACAGAGAAAGAGGATAAGGAATTGGCTCCTGTCGTCAATGAGGCTGACGAGTTCCGAGATCTGCAGGGAGAGTGGCAAGCTGGAGATCTGGGCGGGCTCATGGTGCAAGTCGCAGTTCAAAGGCAGGAGGAATTCCCTCTCTCTATGGAAGAGTCAGCTGTTTTGTTTCTTCCACTAGATAGGACGTGGCCCACCCACACTGGGGAAAGCATCTGCTTCACCCCGTCCACCCCTCCAAATGCTAACCTCATCCAGAGTCACCCTCTCAGACACACCCACAATAATGTTTAACCAGATATCTGGGCACTCCATGGCCCAGTCAAGTTGCCACATGAACTCCACCGTCACACTATCATACAGAGAACTGTGCGGCATTATTCGGCCTCCACCACCAATGGCAAACATCACCTAACCATTCGCAAACTGAACGGGAAAGACAAGGCTGGAATATGACGTGTTGGGAGCAAGACGTCCACTCCCCTTTCATTTCCATGTGATGCTTCACAGGAAAAAGATCTTTTTAAGGTTAACTCTCTGGGATCTAGGAATACCTATCAGGAAGCAATTTTGTTTAAGTCCAAAAATATCCTATTAAATCATGTCAATGACTCTTGAAACCCATGAAGCAAAGGAAGAAAATTTCAAGTTATAAAAGTAGCAAATAAATTACAACCTTTTAAGGTAATACATAGTACCTGTAAGATTATTGTCTGGATAATCAACCAACACAAATGTATATATAGGACTTCATGATCACATTTTAAATATTTCAAATGTGACTCCATATAATCCATATTTTGCATCATTACAGGGAAAAAATAAATATACAGATGCTCCTCAACTTGCAATGGGATTATGTCCCCACAAACCCATCATACACTAAAAACATCGTAAGTGGGAAACACGTTTAATACATTTAACCCACCAAACATCGTAACTTAGCCCAGCCTACTCCTAATAAGCTCATAACACTGACACTGGCCTGCAGTTGGCCAACATCGTCTCACTTAATGCCTGTTTTATAATGTGTTGACTATCTCCTCGAATTCATGGAACACTGTACTGAAGGTGAAAAACAGAATGGTTGTGTGGGCACTCAGAGTATGGTTTCTACAGAGTGTGGATGATTTTCATGCTATTATAAGGTTAAAAAATTGTAAGTCCAACCATCTTTAAGTCAAAGGTGGTCTGTACTGATGTTGAATGATTCTGTTTCATTCATTCATTCATCTGATTCATTCATTTGATTCATTCATTTGATTCATTCATTAGAGACATGGTCTTGCTGTCACCCAGGCTAGAGTGCTGTGGTGCCATCAGAGCTCTCTCTAACCTTGAATGCCTGGCCTTAAGTGACCCTTCCAAAGTGCTGGCACTACAGGCGTGAGCCACTGTGCCCAGCAAGTAATTTCATTTAAAAGCATCACTCTAGTTTTTTTTCCCTAAGAGAGCAAAAGTATTTTTTTCTCAATGTTTTCAGAATATTTTTAATTTTATGAATCTAAATAATTTGTTTTTAATGTAATGCTTTTTAGACGAACATCCTGTTAGAGTAAAAGCCATGGTGTCAATACATTTTAAATATATTCCTGAGACAATGTAATGGCATACAAATAATAAACATAATTCTCTGCCATGGCCTAGATATTTTGGCATCTAATGTTTTTATGTCTTTAAAAGATAAGTACATTTTAAATGTACATCGAGATTCTGTTTGTTTCAGTAAATGTGCTATGTGGCTGGAGCTCCTGGTCAGGGAGTGGGAAGGAGCAGAAGCCGTGCTTCGTGCAGACGCTGATCAGATCAGGAGCGCGTCTCTGCCGCTTCCTTGAAGAAATGATTCCTGAGCTGGGGCTTAAAGCACAGCTAGGACTCAGGCAGAAACTCAAGGAAGAAACTGCGGGCCGACGAGCAGCAGCCGTAGAGGCATGGAGGTGCGAGAATTTCAGGAAGACTGGCTGGGAGCGGGTGGCAGCGAGAGGGCAGCTGGGCCGTCTGGTGGGGCCGGGTCACTGGGGTTTGCAACCCCACAGAGGACGGCAGTCTTCACTCCTCTGGCTCTTGCACAGAGCCGAGACGAGGCTCTTGGTCGGGCGGGCTTAGGGTCAGGCTGCCTTTTTAGCAAGAATGTCCTGCAGGCAGGATGGAGAGTGGGTGGGAAGTCCTGCCAGGCCCCTGGAGGCTGAGGAGGCACCCAGGTGAGCACTTAAAATGGTTTCAGCCCCGAGGGGTGACACAGGTGAGGACCGGCGGGGTCGAGGGTGACACAGGTGAGGGCCGGCGGGTTGGAGGGTGACACAGGTGAGGACCGGCGGGGTCGAGGGTGACACAGGTGAGGACCGGCGGGTTCGAGGGTGACACAGGTGAGGACCGGCGGGTTCCAGGGTGACACAGGTGAGGACCGGCGGGGTCGAGGGTGACACAGGTGAGGACTGGCGGGGTCGAGGGTGACACAGGTGAGGGCCGGCGGGGTCGAGGGTGACACAGGTGAGGACCGGCGGGTTCGAGGGTGACACAGGTGAGGACCGGCGGGTTCCAGGGTGACACAGGTGAGGACCGGCGGGGTCGAGGGTGACACAGGTGAGGACCGGCGGGGTCGAGGGTGACACAGGTGAGGGCCGGCGGGGTCGAGGGTGACACAGGTGAGGGCCGGCGGGTTGGAGGGTGACACAGGTGGGGGCCGGCGGGTTGGAGGGTGACACAGGTGAGGGCCGGCGGGTTCGAGGGTGACACAGGTGAGGACCGGCGGGTTCGAGGGGTGACACAGGTGAGGACCGGCGGGGTCGAGGGTGACACAGGTGAGGACCGGCGGGTTCCAGGGTGACACAGGTGAGGACCAGCGGGGTCGAGGGTGACACAGGTGAGGGCCGGCGGGGTCGAGGGTGACACAGGTGAGGGCCGGCGGGGTCGAGGGTGACACAGGTGAGGGCCGGCGGGTTGGAGGGTGACACAGGTGGGGGCCGGCGGGTTCGAGGGTGACACAGGTGAGGACCGGCGGGTTGGAGGGTGACACAGGTGAGGGCCGGCGGGTTCGAGGGGTGACACAGGTGAGGACCGGCGGGGTCGAGGGTGACACAGGTGAGGACCGGCGGGGTCGAGGGTGACACAGGTGAGGACCGGCGGGTTCCAGGGTGACACAGGTGAGGACCGGCGGGTTCCAGGGTGACACAGGTGAGGACCGGCGGGTTCCAGGGTGACACAGGTGAGGGCCGGCGGGTTGGAGGGTGACACAGGTGAGGGCCGGCGGGTTGGAGGGTGACACAGGTGAGGACCGGCGGGGTCGAGGGTGACACAGGTGAGGACCGGCGGGGTCGAGGGTGACACAGGTGAGGGCCGGCGGGTTCCAGGGTGACACAGGTGAGGACCGGCGGGTTCGAGGGTGACACAGGTGAGGACCGGCGGGTTCCAGGGTGACACAGGTGAGGGCCGGCGGGTTGGAGGGTGACACAGGTGAGGGCCGGCGGGTTGGAGGGTGACACAGGTGAGGACCGGCGGGGTCGAGGGTGACACAGGTGGGGACCGGCGGGGTCGAGGGTGACACAGGTGAGGACCGGCGGGGTCGAGGGTGACACAGGTGAGGGCCGGCGGGGTCGAGGGTGACACAGGTGAGGGCCGGCGGGTTGGAGGGTGACACAGGTGAGGGCCGGCGGGTTGGAGGGTGACACAGGTGGGGGCCGGCGGGTTGGAGGGTGACACAGGTGAGGGCCGGCGGGTTGGAGGGTGACACAGGTGAGGGCCGGCGGGGTGGAGGGTGACACAGGTGAGGGCCGGCGGGTTGGAGGGTGACACAGGTGAGGGCCGGCGGGTTGGAGGGTGACACAGGTGGGGGCCGGCGGGTTGGAGGGTGACACAGGTGAGGGCCGGCGGGTTGGAGGGTGACACAGGTGAGGGCCGGCGGGTTCGAGGGTGACACAGGTGAGGGCCGGCGGGTTGGAGGGTGACACAGGTGAGGGCCGGCGGGGTCGAGGGTGACACAGGTGAGGACCGGCGGGGTCGAGGGTGACACAGGTGAGGGCCGGCGGGGTCGAGGGTGACACAGGTGAGGGCCGGCGGGGTCGAGGGTGACACAGGTGGGGACCGGCGGGGTCGAGGGTGACACAGGTGAGGACCGGCGGGGTCGAGGGTGACACAGGTGGGGACCGGCGGGGTCGAGGGTGACACAGGTGAGGACCGGCGGGTTCGAGGGGTATGGGAGGCAGATTCAACAGTACTTCCATCTCCACAATATCTGAAAACCTGAAATGACTAATTTATTCACCTACTGACTTATGCAAGCATCAATTATTTATTTCAGCCATTACTTTTCTGGGTGATAAGATGTTAAATGACCAAATAGGAATCCTTTCTTACAGTAACTGTTACTCTTAGGACAACAATGTGGAAGTCCTCACTGGACTTCTGACTCCATCCCCATACACATGTCCCTCCAAATGTACCCCTACTTCAGGGAAGAGACAGAGCCATAGGACAGACGCAGATCGTTGTCAACTGCAAGAGCCCTGGACTATGAGTCAGGAACCCGTGGCTCTAGTTTCATTCGTATTATGATTAATTCGTCTAGACAAGTTCACTTGTTCAATGACAGCTTCATCTTGAAATCTCATTACCTGGGAGATCATCCCAGCATTCATGTTGTAATTCCAGTCTAAGTACGCAGACAGGAGGATTTTATAAGAGAAGGACACAAATTACTTGAAAACAGTGGTTTTGAAGGGAAGAGCAGGCTACACACTTGGGGAAAATCTTTATGAACACATTTGTTCTCACCCGAGCAATTCTGGCTTACATATGCAGTTCCTGATACAGATGCACGATTTATCTGCATCACGCTCGCCTTCTGCAAACCGGGAGGCACGTGATTCGTCTGTCATGTCTGTTCTAGACAGAGGTGTCAAGTATTTAACCTTTGGAAACCCTTACTGGGAGCTGGTTCCACTCCTTCTCTACAGCACAGACCAGGGGCTCCTGTCCTAACTCCGACACCCGACCCTTACCCGTGTCTCCCAGGGCTTCTCCTTCCCCACAACCAGGAGAGCTTGGGTCTCCCTCCTCTCCGCAGAGACTGTGCTCTGCCACGGCTTCTCCCTACCGGTCCCCAGGGCCAACCGGCTTTCATCCACTCATCCTATAGGCTTAGCGCACAACGGATAAAGTACATAAGGCTTTGGCTGTAGTTCAAATAAATCAAAGACAATGAAAATCACAAAGATTAGTTTTCATCTTTTAGGTATCTGGACTGCATTTCGTCATTTACTGTAAAACACAAGTCTAGATGCGGGGGGGCGGGCCACGTGAGACTTCCACCTGTGCCTGTTTTTAGCGTTTGACGGTCTTGGTGCTGTGCTCAGGCCCGTAATGGGGTCTCATGCCCGAGTCCCGGGTACGAGCCTCTGAACCCGGGACACAGGGATGGCGTCTTCATGATGCACACCCTGGGCTTTAGTTTGCAACATGGAGCTTTGCTGAAGGATTCTTGGGGCTTCATGGAAGCCATGGTGGTTGGCAGTTTCTGAGACGTTCTAATGGGGATCATGACAATCAGAGACATCCTGAGCGGCTGGGAAGACGTTCAGATTCCCTGGGACATCTCGGACCGACTCCCGCACGATATCGTTGTTGCCAGGTTTCTGGAATTTGGACTACGCTGTGCTGCGGGGTTGGAGACGTGATGTCAGCAGCAGGTCTGACACTGAGGACCCATGGGACAGCACGCCTGGGCTTCCCTTCAGCAGCAGGTCTGACACTGAGGACTCACGGGGCAGCACACCTGGGCTTCCCAGGGTGAACTCTGAGCCTGCACACAGCGTCCATCAGCCCGAGCCAGATTTGGCTCCTCTTCATCAGGATCAACCTGGATTTACGACAAGGATTTGTGTAATACTCCTAGAAGAGAAATGGGTTCCCCTTGGGTCAGTGCCTGAAGGATGTCACCATTTATACTGGGCTCGGTTTCAGAGAAGACCTCATTCATTCATGCACTCTACCAGTATTTACCGAAACCTACTATGGTAAACAGAATAACGCCCCTCCAAAAATGTCCGCATCCTAGTCCCCAGAACCTGTGACCATGGTACTTTATGTGGCAAAAGGGACTTTGCAGATGTGAGTAAATTCAGGATTTTGAGATGGGGAGATGATCCTGGATCATCCCAGTGGGCCCAGTGTTATCCCCAGGGTCCTTACATGAGGAAGGGAGGGGGTCAGAGTCAGACGAGGAGGCTTGGACAATGGAGGCCCAGGCTGGAGCCATGTGGCCCGCAGCCAAGGACGGCAGAGAACTCCAGAAGCTTGAGGAGGCAAGGAGCGGGCTCCCCGGAAGCCTCCAGAACGACCTGATGTTTGATGCTAGCCCCACAGAACCTACTTCAGACTTCTAACCTCTGTGACTGTGAGACAGCACATCTGTGCTGCTGGAGACCATAGGGCTTGTGACCATTTTTACAGCTGCAAATATGAGACAAACACACCTGCTTTGTAGGGGTTCCTCAGTCCAGGCCCGTCTCTGGGAGGACCCACAGGGGTCTCCGCTGTGCTGAATTTGTGCAGGGCTTATGGACACCAGGAACCTGGGCTTACCCTGGGTCGGGGGTGGCACAGGACTCCTGCTGCTCCGCATAGAGGGGCTGCACAATTCAGGCCTCGCAGCAGCCTTCCAGGACTCTGCCCACACTGCCAAGACCCAGGGACAGCCTCTGTTCCCACTGTGGTGAACTGGGGCAGTGTTGAACTCCCCTCCGTGGCCCCTCCCCATCCCTCCTGGCTCCCACCTTTCCACTGCTCCTTCTGGAGGCCCCTTCTCCCCACGATGCTGACGCTGTGGGCTCTGGTCTCAGGCCTCTTCTCTTTCTATACCCTCCTGTTCGGGGGTGGCTCCATGGCTCTGGACCGCACCTCCAGCCTCGACCTCCACACCTCTTCTTGAAGTTGGGTTAGCAAGTCATGGGACCCTCAGCTCAACACATCTGAACTACTCGGCACCTGTGGGCTGGGCCCTGTTGGCTTCGGCTGCTGAGAGGCAGCAGCTGGAGAGGGCTGTTGGGCACTTCATCCCAATCCATCCCGGCTCCCCGGTTGTACTGGCCATCCCTTCTTTTACCTGCACTCCATGACCCAGCTCTCTGGGCTGCAACAGCATCACCTCCATCCTGTTGCTTCAGCAGGAGGAGACAACGGCACAGCCCCATCGCTGGGATCTGCATGCATCCGCCGCCTTCTCTGCGTCTGTCCCTAAATGGAGCCATCATTACGGCCTCTCCTCCTGGACTCCCCGGGAGACCCAGCTTCCTGGATGAAGTCCTGGAGACTCCCTGCCTGCATGCTGGCTTTCTGGGCCTCATCCACGGCTGGGGCAGGAGGCCTCTTAAAAGCCTCTTCACGGCTCCCCAGAGCTCAGCCGGGAGCCCCTGGAGCTCCCTCTGAAAGCCATTCCTGCACCTGTGCCTGGCACAGCCCGGCCTCATCCCTTCTCACCTGTGCTATTTGAGGAGCTGTCTTCTCCGTGCTCTTCTGCAGTACGGCCGGGCCGCGGGTCTTCATTATAACATGACTCTGGCCCCCGTGTTAGTCCTCCCGTGCTGCCGTAACAGAGCAACATTGATTCATGTCATGGAGGCTGTGAGTCCCAGACCAAGGCGCTGGGAAAACTGAGGCCTCTCCTGGGTATGCACATGCCGTCTTCTCCCCGGGTCCTCACAAGCTGGTCCCTTCCTGCATGTCTGTGTCCTCATCTCCTCTTCTTATAAGGACACCGGACAGATTGGATTTGGGCCCCCTGTGACCTCATTCTACCTGGTCACCTCTTCGAAGGGTCTGTCTGAAACGCAGTCACATTCTCAGGTCCTGGGATTAGGGTTCAGCACCAAGTCCGGGGAACACAACTCAGCCACAGATCCCTCTCCTGCTTAGAGTCCTCCAGTGACCTCTGAATTCTGCAGGTGCAAGTACTACAGGTGCAGGATGGATGTCCCTCTCAGCTCATGTCCCCCATCCGTCCTGCCTTCCAGCCTCTCCCTCCAGGCCGGGTGCCCTGCGAATCCCAGAGCTGAGGTGCCCAGCGGTTTTCGGGACGTTTGTCATTACTTCAGGCTGGCACCTCCCTCTCCCTGGGTTTCTGCTGCCCAGCCCTGAAGCCTCTCAACTCTTCCTGCAGGCGGAAGGCCTCCCGGACGCTGCTGCAGTGCTGGCTTTCCCCTGGGTTTCCAGAGCCATCCACACACATCTCACAGCACCCAGCAGGTGTGCCATGGCTGACGAGCTCTTCAACTGCAACTGTTTCCAGACTTTAGGCCTTTGGGGCCAATGCTCAGGACTTCAGTGCTTCTGGATTCAGAGCACTTAGCGCAGCGGCCGGCACACAGCAAACACTTAATAAATGCTTACGACATAAATGTAATTTGATCTTTTCTTTAGAATCTTCAATTGGCATATAAGATGATTGTTCTTTATTCTAGTTCATTTTTTACATTTCTAAAACGGAAAGTGATCATGTGTGACTTTTTTCATTCATTTCCTCTGGTCATTTGTTTACTGAAACGCAGCTTTTTGTTGCCTTTGTGGGGTGTGCAGGCTGGTCCTCGCAGTGCATAGCTGTTGACTTATGGAAAGCTATGACCTGAGGCTATGCATCTGAGAGCCCCGCGCAACAGTTTCTGAGCCTATTTGTAAAGCCCTTGTGTCAGAGTGACAGATCCAAGGAGAAGACGTGTTTGGAGGAATCTTCTGGTTTTCAGATTTTGTGGCTCACAGAACCTCCAGCTGCTCATTTTTCCAGTAAAGAGCTAAATGTCCTTCCCAAAGCCTTTCCCCATATAGCGTGTTTTATTTTAACTCCGCAGGGAAGCTGGCTGCAGGGCCTCCTTGCCAGCCCTCTGGGAAAGGAGGATAGGAGGGTGAAGGGCCGGGTCAGAGGTATGTGGACCTGGAAAGGCTGCACACTGCACACCTGGTCCCCGAGCAAGCACGTCTGCAGAGACACCCTGCCCGCGGAGCCAGCCGGCGGCCAGACGGGTATTCCTCCTCTGGGGTGCACCTCCTCCCTCCAACCTGGGGTGCTGCGCACTCGGCAGCCATCGGCCGGGTTTACCAAGTGGTGCCTGTGTGTCCCAACACACCTGAATATGCCCTGCGGTATTTTGTGATTTCAAATCACCTTTACTCTATTGGCCAAAACGTTTTATGAACAGCCCAGCTGACATCCATTTTCAGTTTCTTTTCCTTTAAATTCTCTACTTTTTCAAATTCAAGTTTTAAAATATGTTCTCACCATCTTGTCAGGCAAACTTGCATATCAGTTACACAGTAACTCGACGGTACCAGGTCCTGGTATCAGAAGAAGGTTGAGGCAACAAGTTTAGTCCACGATGAAAATTTCCCCAGGCTCACACGCCTGAAAATCCACTCTTTGTGACAAGATAAAATTAAGTAAAACACTGTCTTTTATTGTAAAAGACTAAAAATGGGAGAATCAAATGCATAGTCATATTTATTCAAACTGAGGAAGGTCAGCAAAGAAGTAAAATTTTAAAAAAGCAACAAAAATCATAGTATTGAAAAATAGTTATTCTACCTCTTATATTCAAGGTACTGAAATATAGAGATAATTTTTCTCCTCTATGTTGGCAAGTATGTATCTTGGAAATGGAATTACTATGTACCCTTGAGAGACAAGTTGCTATAGAAATATAAATAATAAAATAAGTCTGTGGCTGTTTCCTCTGCCATGCTTTCTATAGGTTTTCCCTTTGTTTTAATGACTTCTAGAATCAGTTGTATCATATGTTGAGAAAATTTCCGGCCCAGAGAAAAATCATTATAATCTAATTTTACACCATTTTCCTTCACAATATCAATAATATTCCCTCCCTAGAAAAATCGGGTGAGATGCATATTTGGACAAGTAAAGCAATCCGATAAATAATTTCCCAGATGAGAAAGAAACCATGTGTGAAATGAGTTAGATGTTTTCAAAACCACTTCATTTAAGGGGAGGACACTAATCAATATGCAGTGTTTTTCATAATGAGAGAAACGGTGGGACGAAGGAACGTTTATATGGGTGGCTCACACCGCCTCACAGGGTATTCTGTTCTTACTGGAGTTCCCTGGTGATTAGATTAAAAGGGTCTGTCTCAGCTCGATCACCAGCTGCCTTTAAAGGTTGAGTGAAAAAGCAGGTGAACTGGGGTGTCCCCAAACCAACAGACGTCCTCTGGGAACCTCAACCTGTCCATGTTTAAAACAGATGGTCTAAGATGTATTTTTAAGTTCTCAATACATCTTTCATGCATATATTCAATATTTATTATTATATGAATATTATACATTTGTAGTTATACAAGGTGAAATAATCTAATAATAACATCAACTTTTACCTTTTGAGCCTGCATAAAGTAATGTGTTTAAATAAATCTCGTTCTTCAAGGTACTCACTTTGGAATGTTTTCAAAAATAACTCTTTGGAATTATTTTCATGAGCTAGTTTTAGACAGAAAATCATAAAAGAAAATCAATCTGTCAAAATAACCTCTCTCCCCATACACCACACACGCACACATACACACATGTATACATGGATCAGTAAAGGACAGCTATTGAACGTAGTGCTAGGATATCAATTTCCAAGTATTTAAATACAAAAGTCAGAAGTATTTAAGTAGAAAATTTTTGAAATCCGCCTGACTCACGGACAGGAAACTTTGGATGAAATTTGAAGTTCAGCTATCACAATTATCGAGGCACCTACATCCCGTACATGTTGATAGTTTTCCTCCATAATTTTGTTTTCCCAGACTGGGAGTTTTCATTTCTTTGGTATTTTTTCATAATCTTGCTAAATAGACTATATTGCATGTCATCTAAATTTTATTTAGTAAATAAAGATTTAAATAACTAATATACAATACTTAGAGTAAAATGGGAAACAGCAGAGGTTAATGATTAATCTGTACTTTTATTTCTTCACAAGGGTAACTTGTAATCCTACAGTGCTAAGTATTTCCCCTAGTGCTTTTCATTTCTTTTCTCATTTGATTCTCAGATGTCACATAACTTGGACAGTCCCCTGCATCACCTAGAGGAAATTCTGACTCAAAACTGGGCCAAGATCCGGTAGAAACTCTGAATGGAATCTTTTTTTTGTAATTTATTTGGTAGGTGTATTTTTGGAATACAAAATATACATGGTAAACATTGTATATATATAAATTAAAATTTTAGTCTGAGCTCAGAACTGGTTCTTATCTCTGTGAAATCTGTTTTATTTTTATTCTCTCTATAATGACAGTCCTAAAAACAATAAAGTCCTTTTCTAGGAGGTAATGATTGTTTCAAAGCATTTCTGAAGACTATGAAAGTTCTTAATTGTTTACTTGCTCCTAAGAGACAGTAAACAAATACTGCTGAAAGTATGAGTAATGATCTCTTGGACCGCTGTTTTTCAATGCAATCATTGTAAATCTCATTACTTCCCTGATTCTAATTTGTTCAATGTTCACATCAGGACAGAGCATGAGAACTGGCCCAGGACTTCACCAAGGGGCAGGAGTGAGCAGAACCGGCCAAACCAGAGGAAAACAGGAGGCTACGCAGGGTGCCCACAGCTGCCCGGTGGCTGCACCTGGGGGATGTGTTGTCAGCCTGTGGATTTCCCTTGGGTGGGTCCTGGGCACCACCCTCCCTCGTACAGAAAGCCCTGCTGGGAGCCAGAGAGCCAGGATCTGTTGCCTTTCTCCCGAAGCCCCCGGCTCAGTGGTGCCAGCATTGAAGAAATATCTACCACATAAAAAGCACACCGAGGATCCACAGCTTTCTTTGAAAAATAATCTTTAAATTTATGCAAATAAATTATCTATGGCTACAGCTTCTCTTGAATACCGCAGAAACCAAGAGTCAGAAACGTTAACAAGCCTAAGTTCTTGCAGTGAGGACATGATGGAACACGGTTTGAACACAGTTCCTTCCCTTCCATCCACAGACTCTACTATGAAATACTTTCTACACAAAGTGCAATGATAGTGCCGACTGCAATTTCTAATTCTGCAAAGTGCAATCTCCTGGATTTCTTGTTCACTTTAGCATTGAAACAAACCAAGACCTATTCACAGGTATGATGACACACTCCTGCCTGAATTTCTCTTTGCTTCTCTCCTGTTATGTGTCTGCTGTTCCTAATGCTATTCATCATGAACATAGCTTTGTTCTATTTCCCCTCGGAGCTGTCCTTTAAATTTCTAAGATACAGCTGCAGCATTCCAAGCCCTCTGGTATTCAGAACACCTCAGTCCCCAACACTATGTTTTTTTATAGCTCCTTTCCTTAACCTCTATGTGCGGCGCCTCGAGCTTTTATTGCTTGCTGTGTTTTATGGGTTTCTCTAGGCCATGTATATTCATCGTGTTATAGAAATAATAACATATTAGGCAGTAAAATATTAGGCAGTGATATTTAGGTTGGGCGGTAAATTTTCAAAGGGGTGGGTATGGTTTTCCATGAGAACTAAAGGAAATTGCGAGACTGAGTCTTCGGAGCTCTAAGATAGTTAGTGCATCTGCATTAATGATGGACCTGCTTAGCGGCGGTGAGTCATGTTTACAGATCTGCTTACTGAGCAAGAGACCGGCTGGACGTCACTACAGGGCAGCCTGAGAGTCACTGCGCATCAGCAGAAATCTCACTGCAATCCATTAAACTTTGGTATTTAAAACTTAATCACCTTCCAAATGCTAGCACTTCCATTTTTTCTCCTCTCTAAAACTTTACACAAGTTACACTTGATTATTTTAAGGAACCTTGCTAATGAGTAGATTTCATTCTAAGAAAAAGAAAGGTTATCTACAAGAGACAAAACACCCTTGCGAATGTGACAGTGTAACACAAGCAATTAGGAAACGTTACTAAATGTCAGGAGAGTACATTGTACTGTGCTGCTGTGTGCTGCTCGCTCCTTCTAGGATGAAGACAGGTATGCCTCTAGAGTCCCCGCTGGAAGGCTGAAAACGGCGTCCCCTTACCTGCTGTTGACCTGATGGTGGAGGTGATGTCAGAGGGTGTCATCATGGGAATACATTCGTCATCTTGGGAGTAGCCGGCTTGAATGGCTCGAAGGTAGCTGTGACTCCTTGTTCGGAAACATCCCGGGAGGTCGAGGGCATCCATGGCCTGAGATTCAACTTCACTGAAGACGGACTCGCACACGGACTCGAATTGCCCATTGATCTCCGCCTCGCTCACCTGCAATCATCAACAGCACACGTGATGCCCCGGCCCTCCAGGGTCACCATCACGTTACAGAAAAGCCAGGAGAGCGCGCTCATTCCCAGGCTGCCTTTCACTGCCTCATAGTTCAGCACAGTTAACCTGAAGTCAGCATGGGCATCGGCTGAGCTTGGGAAATACAGCATTGGGTTTTCCCTTACGAAACACTTAGGCAAACAGCCAATTCCAAGTGTTGATGAAATTCTGGGGGACCGCAAGGCAAACCTTCAAGGTAAGGCTGACAGTTATTACAAAGTGTAAGAGAGATAGAACTTTTAAAAGATTAGCAAAGTACCTGGTACAAAGGAAGGGTTCAGAATCCATTTCTTCCTTCCCTTTCCCACATGACGGCCCCTCCTTTCCAAGCTACTAATGGCACGATGGCTCCAGGCACTGAGGCCGTATAAGGGAAAGCACATTCAGTGCATACACTACTCAGTTCTTTTTCAGAATATGGAGTCTGCTTCTACCCATTGCCATGGCAACTCATCACAAATTTGGCTTCTAAACTCATCTCCTTATCCCCATTACGGCAGCATATATCTGAGTCCAGATGAGAAAGAAATGGCTGTACTGGTGTTTTCGTCCACATGAAATGTGCTACTTTACCTAAATTCCAGGCTTTTTTTATTCTTCCTTAGCTTAGGATATTAGTATACTCACTTCATTTTCCCCTCCCTCCCATCCTCCCTCCCTTCCATCCTTCCTCCCCTGTCTCTCTTTCTCCCCTCACCCCCTCCCATTCAGATTATTTCTCTTCTTGTTTCTCCTGGGGATGTGTGACAGCTCAAAGCACCAACAACTTTCTGAACCCCCTGGATTATGTTGGCAGATACATTGTAAAAATACACTGTTTTAAACACCAGATTAGTTCTTTTCCTTTAGTTGTCAGCAGAGTAAAAGGCAAGGTCAAAGAATCAGGTTCTCCCTCTAGCAGTTGTGTTGTTGACACAACACGACACTGGTTGCCCGTCTCCAAGTTCAGACCTGTGGACTTCTCTGGTTTCACCTGAGGTGACCTACGTGCTGGAAGGACGGCCTCTTTCCTCGTGAGCCTAACTCAGCATGGACCCTGGAGAGGCAGGGGGTGAGCAAAGGGCAGCAAAGCCTGAAGCCACCCTGCAGGGAAGACAGACCCATGCCAGGCTGCAGAAAGAGTTGGCACAATGCCGGCGGGGTGGCCTTTTTCAGAAAGGTCTGAGGATTCCTGACACTGGACAGAGACAGACAAACCCAGGCAGGCACAACCAGGACACAGCCGGCAGGATGGCCTCAGGAACCCAGCAAAGGGCTCAGAAGCATGCACACTGGCTTGGAAACAGGATGTTTTTCTGGACCATAAATTTCTTCCAATCTAAGTTTTCACTTATGTAGAATTTTATGGAAAAGTCTTAGATTGTGTCATTCCTGTCAAAGATGTATCGTAGACAGCGTGAGAAGGTCAGAACCTGTGTGAGGCCCTAGTACACCTCAGTGGACACCCTTCTGTAAGCCCGACCCAGGGCCCAGCTGCCCTCGCTCCTAAAGAAGAGACACCATTAACCTGGTATGTGCATTTCACAAACAGAAGCTGGCATCTCAGCAAGGACCCTCGGCTATGCTTCCAGCTACAAGCCTTTCAGTGAGGTTCTAGACATGAAGGTGACTCCTCCTCCCCAAAACAAATAAAAAGTGGTTGAGCAGCATCTCAAGATGGTCCAGCAGGGAATTAAAATGATCTGTTCACCCGGACCTCCCACCCAGACCCTTGGGGCACCCGGACCTCCCGCCCAGACCCTCGGGACACCCGGACCTCCCGCCGAGACCCTCGGGACACCCGGACCTCCCGCCGAGACCCTCGGGACACTGGGACCTCCCGCCAAGACCCTCGGGACACCCGGACCTCCCGCCCAGACCCTCGGGACACCCGGACCTCCCGCCGAGACCCTCGGGACATGAGCTGCAGGAAACCCAAGCAGAGTGCAGCTACTGAGGTTCCAAGGAGGAAACGGCATGGACATAAGCACCTCTCACAAGACTTCAGTTAGATTTTTAATTCCCTTCCTGTGCTTGAGAAAAAATTGAATGTTAAACATGAAGGGCAAACTTTTTTTTTTTTTTCGAGATGGAGTCTCGCTCTGTCGCCCAGGCTGGAGTGCAGTGGCGTGATCTCGGCTCACTGCAAGCTCCACCTCCCGGATTCACGCCATTCTCCTGCCTCGGCCTCCCGAGTAGCTGGGACCACAGGTGCCCGCTACCATGCCCAGCTAATTTTTTGTATTTTTAGTAGAGACGAGGTTTCACCATGTTAGCCAGGATGGTCTCGATCTCCTGACCTCGTGATCCACCCACCTCGGCCTCCCAAAGTGCTGGGATTACAGGCGTGAGCCACCGCGACTGGCCAAGGGCAAACTTTCAACAAACTTTGGTTTGTCACCAAATTCACGTCTCTCCAGAGCCCCTAAGTGTTAGTAATTCCAGATGTCCCACCCTCAACCATGGGCACTGTCCCCTTCCTTCCAGAATTGTCAGGTCTCGTGGCCTAGGGCTGGACAATCAATTAGTGGAAGTTTGTTTCTGGGTGTGACACAGTCTTCTCACCTACTACGTTTGTTTCTGGGTGTGATACAGTCTCACTTACTACCAGCATTCCAGGATTATTTTGAATAACACTTTTTTTTTTCCTGAGAATTCAAAACTGAGTTCAATTTAAAGTAATGCCATAGAACTCTGCATAGGAATGACTTAGAATTCTAAATTTCAAGGTCGTTAAATAAACCCCCAAGCACCCAACTTGTCTGCTTAACCATTGTTTCCAATGATGAATCCTTTCAGATAGACAAAGATGTGAGAAAATGTTATTTTCACTGACTTATTTTGGTAGATACCATCTTGGGTTCATCAAAAGCAAGATGATGAGAGAACTAGTATATTTAGCTTACATTTACCCCCAAACAGGACGACGAGTCGCAAAGAGCCTCTGAATGTTTCATAAGAGCATTTAAAGAGGTGTGAGATCCATTTAATTGAAAGTTGTTTGTGGAAAAGTATTAGAGATGAACGTTCACACCTCGGATGAGATAACTTTGCACTTCTGTTTAAACCTTTTGTTGGGTTACATCGGATTTTTAAAGCTGTATTTTGGTAAACTAGGTTATATCCACTGAAAGGGAAGGTGATAGCTTTAAAAGAAGAAAGTCTGCTGTATCCTCATCTCTGTGTATGGAGCAAGTTGTTAAAATGTATCACTGACTTTCAGTTACTCTGTTTAGTTAATTAGTGTCTCCCCATATCATCTTGGACTTTATGCTGAAATAGAATGTTTCCTCAGTTATTAAAATAATTACAATTATCTAGTTGGGGAGGATCAGTTGATGTTATTGTTTGCAGGGGGCTGGCTGGGAGCAGGGGGCTGGAGGACCCACCATTCCCATTTGCCCAGGACTTGAGCGCAGGGCTAGGGACGGTCTTTCCTTGTCATTGGGAAAAAGAGTCAATGCAATTCCTGATGCAGATGAGAACTTAATTCCATTTCTGGAAGGAAAGAAGTAACCGAGTAGATAAAAGAGGTGGTATCCTTCTTGAGTTGTGCAATAGGAAAAGCCTCAATAGTTCAGTGGAAAAAGTCCTGGGTACAACCTTCCGATGAGGAAAAAACCTGCAAAATGAATAGACTCTACCTCATGAGGAATTTAAAGTCTGCGGCAAAAGAAAGACTTGTGCTTACTGAGCCCCAGGCAAGCTACCAAGAGCTCACAGCATGATCTGCAGCCAGGAGGGCTTTAGTGCCCAGAATTATATAGTATTACTTATTGTTATCATGGTAATAATAAGGGCTATCATTTTTGAGTGCTCAGTATATGCTGGACTCTTTGCCTAATAGCATCTAAAATTGACTGTGTACTTCCATTGTCACGCCGATAACTGCATAATGGGAGGGCACAGAAAGCCCAGGCCTTGGCCCAGAAGCCCAGAATAATCCCTACTCCACAGTAAGTCAGAGAGAATGTGAGGTCGGCTCAGGCTCTTAATCCCTGCGCTCAGGCTCTTAATCCCTGCTCCACAGTAAGTCAGAGAGAATGTGAGGTCAGCTCAGGCTCTTAATTCCTGCTCCACAGTAAGTCAGAGAGAATGTGAGGTCAGCTCAGGCTCTTAATTCCTGCTCCACAGTAAGTCAGACAGAATGTGAGGTCGGCTCAAGCTCTTAATTCCTGCTCCACAGTAAGTCAGAGAGAATGTGAGGTCGGCTCAAGCTCTTAATCCCTGCTCCACAGTAAGTCAGACAGAATGTGAGGTCAGCTCAGGCTCTTAATTCCTGCTCCACAGTAAGTCAGAGAGAATGTGAGGTCAGCTCAGGCTCTTAATTCCTGCTCCACAGTAAGTCAGACAGAATGTGAGGTCGGCTCAAGCTCTTAATTCCTGCTCCACAGTAAGTCAGCGAGAATGTGAGGTCAGCTCAAGCTCTTAATCCCTGCTCCACAGTAAGTCAGAGAGAATGTGAGCTCGGCTCAAGCTCTTAATTCCTGCTCCACAGTAAGTCAGAGAGAATGTGAGGTCAGCTCAGGCTCTTAATCCCTGCTCCACAGTAAGTCAGAAAGAATGTGAGGTCGGCTCAAGCTCTTAATTCCTGATCCACAGTAAGTCAGACAGAATGTGAGGTCGGCTCAGGCTCTTAATCCCTGCTCCACAGTAAGTCAGAGAGAATGTGAGGTCGGCTCAGGCTCTTAATCCCTGCTCCACAGTAAGTCAGAGAGAATGTGAGGTCGGCTCAAGATCTTAATCCCTACTCCACAGTAAGTCAGAGAGAATGTGAGGTCGGCTCAGGCTCTTAATCCCTACTCCACACTAAGAGAAAATGTTTGTTAGGTATACAAACTCAAGGTCAGCTCAAGCACTGTTTTCAAAGGCATTTAAGTGAGTAAGCAACGTGCTTAATTAAAATGATAAACTTTCGATTCTTCTTTGCCATGTAATATAGGATGATTAGACTGAAGGACACTTGCCGATTTTTTCACTGTGCGTTCTCAGGCCCGTCCACCACAGGTGGGGAGCAGGGGGGCCTCCCTTTCACAGCCCCCGTGTCTCAGGCACCTGATTTTAATACCACCCCTCCCGTGGTGCCCAGGGACCCTTCTCCTGGCCACTGTGCCTGTCCCGAAATCAGTCCTGCCCTGGGAGTGGGGCCGACCGGCAGGACTCTGTGAGCGACACCAGGCTATCCTCTCACAGGACTTTCTGAGGCACAATTCAGAGGACAGAGCTGAGAGCCATGCTGCCAGAGCCTTTCCCTGGCCCCCTTTTACTGGAAAAATAGCCTGGGAAGAAGGAAGACAGCCTGTGCTTTATCAACAAGAGAGGCCAGGATGACCACCCTTTTGGTCATTGCTTCCTCAGAAAAAAATCAACGCAAAAATGATATGGAGTTATACACGTCAAAAATATAACAGTAAGTCCACGAGTCTAATCAGCCAGAGCTAATTCGAGGGGAACCCCCTTTGGTGTAGCCTTGCCCAAGTGCTGCTGACCAGGAGGGCAGCGCCATCGCCACCTATGCGGCCGGGGCCTCCGTGCCAGCCTGGCTGGGGAGACTGGACCCCAGGGAGAAAGGGCGAAGGGACCCTGACCTGGCTCACGCAGCTGGCCTGGCTCAGGGTGCTGACGGCCCTCATGTAGCTCTGGTTCCGGGAGCGGAATTTCGGGGAGTTGTAGTTCGCAGCGGGGTCCAGGCTGTGTCCCACAGGCACATCGCTTGCAGCTTGCAGGTAGGTCTGGCTACAGGAAAGAAGAAAGGAGAAAAGGCATTCTGTGAGCACCCGCTGCAGGGCAGAGGTGGGAATGACCATCCAACCCACACCCAGAGGCTGAGCACCCACCACAGGGCAGAGGTGGGAACGACCGTCCAACCCACACCCAGAGGCTGAGCACCTGCTGCAGGGTAGAGATGGGAACAGCCGTCCAACCCACACCCAGAGGCTGAGCACCTGCTGCAGGGTAGAGATGGGAACGACCGTCCAACCCACACCCAGAGGCTGAGCACCTGCTGCAGGGTAGAGATGGGAACAGCCGTCCAACCCACACCCAGAGGCTGAGCACCCGCCACAGGGCAGAGATGGGAACGACCGTCCAACCCACACCCAGAGGCTGAGCACCCGCCACAGGCCAGAGATGGGAACGACCGTCCAACCCACACCCAGAGGCTGAGCACCCACCACAGGGTACAGATGGGAACAGCCGTCCAACCCACACCCAGAGGGTGAGCACCCGCTGCAGGGTAGAGATGGGAACAGCCGTCCAACCCACACCCAGAGGCTGAGCACCCACCACAGGGCAGAGGTGGGAACAGCCGTCCAACCCACATCCAGAGGCTGAGCACCCGCCACAGGGCAGAGATGGGAACAGCCGTCCAACCCACACCCAGAGGCTGAGCACCCGCCACAGGGTAGAGATGGGAACAGCCGTCCAACCCACACCCAGAGGCTGAGCACCCACCACAGGCCAGAGATGGGAACGACCGTCCAACCCACACCCAGAGGCTGAGCACCCACCACAGGCCAGAGATGGGAACGACCGTCCAACCCACACCCAGAGGCTGAGCACCCACCACAGGGCAGAGGTGGGAACAGCCGTCCAACCCACATCCAGAGGCTGAGCACCCGCCACAGGGCAGAGATGGGAACAGCCGTCCAACCCACACCCAGAGGCTGAGCACCCGCCACAGGGCAGAGATGGGAACAGCCGTCCAACCCACACCCAGAGGCCGAGCACCCACCACAGGCCAGAGATGGGAACGACCGTCCAACCCACACCCAGAGGCTGAGCACCCACCACAGGCCAGAGATGGGAACGACCGTCCAACCCACACCCAGAGGCTAGCATCACATTTCCAACTGAATGTCTGTGTCTTGATGAGTAACTTTGCCATATGCAAATATTCTGAGATTCATATTTATGAATGTGAATTTCATCAAAAGTAATAGGGGAGGCTATTTACAAAATTGCCTTTGAAACCTGAGATTTTATGGCCAGGTAGTGAAATTAGGGTCATTCCATATTTTTAAAAAAGTGCTGTAAGCACTAGTAACTCACACAGCATAATAGCAAACTCAGCTCCTGAATTTAAGCCAAAAAACTGAGAGTCTCATAAAAATTATTGGCTCTCTGGCAACTTTACATATTTAAAAAATAACAGAAAAAATACAAGGCTCACTTTCAGTTTTAACTTATGCAAAGTTGTCCAGGTTATGCAATATCAGCAAATATAATAGGAGGAGTAGGCTAAATGAAAACCATTTTATAATCACAACGGTCGTTTTCTTCCAAACTCCCTTAAAATAAATCAATGTTCTCTGGTCTTCCTTCTCGCCGTTTTGTGAAATGTTAAAAGCATGGAAGAACCCTGTGAGTGTTTGGCCGATGAAAGGTCTGGCTTAGCTTAAACTTCTGGCTAACTGGACCACTTTCCAGTTTTATTGACAATCTTTCCACAGTGCAGTAAAATTCATTTTATTTTATCAAAAGCTGTAGAAATGTGGACAGAAATGATTAATTATTCTTCTTGCCTGTTTTGGATGATAATAGGAACATTAAATATCAGTGCACAAGCAGGTACATAAAAATGTCTATAGATGTTAGGTGGACGATTCTGACTCCAGAGTTGGGCATTAAAGCACACACTTTCTTTTCAAAGTAAACCCTTGGTGTGGTTTTTCTCTGATTTACTTCAGTCTTTAAAAATGGAATATCAGAGAAAAAAAACTGGACTCAATGAATTCTTATTAAGTGAAGCTTATTCATTATAGATTTAAAGTCATTCTTTCTGCTAAATATTTTTGCTTTAAAAGAAAATGTATAACATATAGCAGCTCCTACCTACCTTCCCCTCCCTGACTTAGACCAAAAAAAGGAAAGAGAGAGAGAGAGAGAAAGAGAGAGAGACAGAGAGAGAGAGAGAGAGAGAGAAAGCAAAGGGAGGAAATTAGTTTTGAGCTGATTCTAATTTTACTGGGTATGAAGCACACAGTCTTCACATCGATGCCCGCCGACTCCCGGTGCACCTGGGCAGTGGGACGGGCAGCTCTGCTGCAGATGTGGGGACCGGCACCAGCACCAGCAGGGGCCCTGTCCCCTCCCCTCCTCTGTGGATCCCCCAGGTCGACTGCCAGTGAACAGAAGGCGAGCTAACACGGATCCCTGACCTTGGCTGTCACCACCCTGAAAGCATGGGTTCAACAGAGCGGCAAAATGTCAACAGCATCCTGAGACACGGTCACAAGTTTCAGGCTCAGGTTGATGGATGCGTGGACTCATTCTGTAAGAGACCACTGCTGGCTTCCTTTGAATGTGTCCACGTGCCTGTGCGTGTTTAATACAGAGTCATGTGCAGCGGACGAAGCCCCGAGCTATGGAGCCCGAGCAGTGTGGCCTCAGGTGGATGCCAAGAGCCCTGACTGAGGCTCTTAACTTGACTCACCTTTGTCTTTGCAGAAATGTAAACTTCCCGCACTTCTGCTCTCCTTCCATGCTTCCTTGAGATTGCTGGTTTCATACCCTCCATTTCTACCAATCGGCACTTTCTACCAATTACCAATTTTCTTCCAATACAACAGCCGTTCCTTCTGATTAACACCACCGTTTTGCATTTTAACATTCTCAAATTGAAGCTGCCTTCTAGACTGAGAAAACATAAAAGAAGGATTCTCGTCCTCTGGATCTGGTGTCCACAGTTTCTAACCAGTGCCTGCTACGTGAACGAAGGGATCACCTCTGAGCCATGGCTCATCACTCTGGCAGTGGCTGCTGGACAGCCCTCACAGGTGGATCCATGTATTTTGTGAGTCTATGTTTCAAATACATATTCTCTCAATGATTCTCTTTATTTCAAAATGGAGTGTGACACATAAATGTTGCCGCTGAAGAAAGCTAATAATTTTTTTTAAAACATAGACTCACAATAGCTAACATTTTCTATGCAAGATTACGCCAGAAATGCTAATAAGTGTTTTGCATTGTCCTAACACATTTAATGTTTACATTAGTCCTATAAACCAGGCCTCTTCCCAACCTTCCTCCTATGAATGCAGCATCAGACGCACATTGCTGCAAGGTCATTGTGCACTGGTGCCAGGTCATCGCACACTGGTGTCAGGTCATCGCGCACTGGTGCCAGGTCATGGCACACTGGGGCCACGTCATCGCACACTGGTGCCAGGTCATCGCACACTGGTGTCAGGTCATCGCGCACTGGTGCCAGGTCATCACGCACTGGTGTCAGGTCATGACGCACTGGTGTCAGGTCATCACGCACTGGTGCCAGGTCATCGTGCACTGGTGTCAGGTCATTGCGCGCTGGTGTCAGGTCATGATGCACTGGTGTCAGGTCATCAAGCACTGGTGCCAGGTCATCACACACTGGTGTCAGGTCATCACGCACTGGTTCCAGGTCATCACGCACAGGTCTTCACACACTGGTGCCAGGTCATCACACACTGGTGCCAGGTCATGCACTCAGGCTTGGGCGGGATGGGGGCAGCACTCCCTTCTGAGTCCAGGTGGCCTGGCTCTGGAATTCATGCTTTAAAATCCCAAGGTCACTGGGATTTTAAGCACTCAAGATGCTGAGTCATAGGACCACAGAGCCAAAGATCCCATCCTCTGATACCACAGACTTTTTAAATAGTTAAAAAATAACAAATAAAACCTCAGCCTCATTTGGCTTAAGAGGCTTTTTAAAAAATATTATAATGGCTTAGCATTTTATCATATAGAGTCCCAGAAGGCCAGGTTCCTCACAGTCACAGATCAAAACTCAAGAACTAGGACTAGGGGGAGCCAATCAAGATGGGGGGATGCACCCTCCGGTGGCCCCGCCAGGTGACACAGGGTGAAGTCCCCAGCACGGCTCACTCCACAAAATCCACCTGACTCTTCCCCCTGAAAATCCCCCTCCTACATCCCGGGGCATTTTGAAGTTGACTTTCAGCCCCTTTGGTTATCTCTCTAAGTGGTAATTCCTGCGGCATCCCAGGTGTCAGAAATGGAAACATATTTTGCTATATGGACTTAGTAGCTCAGAATTTTTTTTTAAATAGTGAAAAGTTTTCTAGAATAACACAGAAATGTTTTTGTTCTAGTTTTGCCTTTCAGATGTTGCTCCCCTTAGATTGTCATCCACAAACAGGCGAGACGGAAAGCTGTGCAAGTGAATCCATAACCCCAAGACAGAACTGCAGGATTCCTGGTGTTCAACCTTGTTCTCGCCCTTTGCGAATGGTTCCAGAGCTGCTTGCTGAATCCTGGGCTCAGAACCTCCTCTGTGACTTAGGTCATTATGAGAACGAATATACATAACAAAGGGTACCCCTGAAAGGGCCTCTGACCCCAGCTGTTTAGATCCATCTAAACATGCTTGAAAATACACAACGTAAACCATCTCCCTTGTTACCTTGGAAAGCAGTAAGGATTCTATGCAGGTTGTGCTAAGGAGATATTTAAGAAAATTTTTTTCCATACTAAATGTGTTCATTTGAAATACAGAGATCATCTTCTCATTTCTATAAATGGGATCTGACAGGAGAAGCTCCCAAATATAAGAAGTGTTTCTTCCACTGCATTCAATGGAAAATGGAGCACGCTAAACAGTGCTAGTGAAACAGACATTCGTGTGCACACGCGTGCGTGTGCTGTGCGTGCACATGTGTGTATTATTCCACCTGCAAAATGGAAATTCTTAGAACACCTTTCAGTATACATTTCAAATAATATCACAATTAATGACTGGATTTCAGAAAATGGCTTCTTTCCAGATCATTTCCACATTCAGGGTAAAAAGTGTTCTTGAGCTTTCTGTGCCCTTGCAGGAGATGAAGGCATGCTTGTTCCCTAACAGCACATTTTTGAGGGAAATCCACATTTGCATCTCACTGTTGGCACCCACATCTGGGATGCCCCCACAGCTGCCCCGACAACCCATCTCTGGGCTCTTGACTGCAGAGGCTCGGAAACGCCATACCCTTGACCGCAGAGGCTCGGAAACGCCATACCCTTGACCGCAGAGGCTCGGAAATGCGATACCCTTGACCGCAGAGGCTCGGAAATGCCATACCCTTGCTTGGCTGCCCTCCTGGTGCTGACGGTGCCTCCGAGATGTGACCCCGCTCCAGCTGGTGAGTCTATGGAGCACCTGCTCAGTGGCTTCTGAGCAGAGTCCGGCCTTCTCCATACTGATGACTGCTCTTCCTGGAGCCCGTGGCAGGTGGGGCTGCAATGGCTGACCCACGGCCAGCTGAGAGTGAGAGCCAGCATGCTCAGATGCATGACGCTGGCTTGGGTCCCAACGGGGCTGACCCCAACCCGGTGTGGACAACCTCTTCTGGCTCTCCTCTGCCCTGGTCCCAGTGCAGCTAACAGTGACCCAGCCATGACAACCTCCTTTGCCCTGGTCCTCGTGTAGCTGACCCCAACCCAGTGTGGACAACCTCCTCTGGCTCTCCTCTGCCCTGGTCCCAGTGCAGCTGACCCTGACCCAGCCGGACCAACCACCTCCGGCTCTCGTCCACTTGGCTCTACCCGTCCTTTGCTATAACCAGGACTGGGCAGGTTTGAAGGATGTGCCACCAAAGGCTTCCCAAACAGAACACGAGGAGAAGGCATCTTAATAAGGCACCTCCCACGTAAGTCTGGGTGCTTGGAAGTGCAAGAAAGGCCTTCTGCAAGATGGCAAGCGTAGCACTCGTGTAGTTGACAGTGTGTTGGGGACAAAGACTGGAACATAGATTTCTTAATGCAAAATGCTAAAAGGAAATGTAGAGTGTGTGCCAGCTGGGAGGCGGGGAGTGAGCATTGTTTGTCTGGAGAGCAGAGGGTAAAGGGGGAAAGGCATTCTGGGAGAGAAGTTTGGGGAAGCAGAGTGGGAAACTGTGAGGGACACCCCAGACAGCTTGATGTTTATGCCACAGGCAAAAGAAAAGTACTGCAAGTTCTTAATCAGGGACTTGTGAGCTGGGAGCTCAGGACGGTCCCTGTGCGTGGGGCCTGGAGGACGAGGTGCCTGAATGCAGGAAGTGGTGTCCTGGACACAGACCCCGAGAGGCTCCTGCAGACTTGAGCTGGTTTCTCATAAGACACCAAAGGGCTTGGATTTTAGGGACAGAGCCCACAGGAATGAGGAATGTGTTAGAGGTGAGATGATTCCAAGGCGCCTAGACTTCTCCCAACAAAGGCAAGATCTATGATAGGAAGAAAAACAGGTTTTGGAGGTTGGACCTGAGTTTGATTTGGACCTGCTGATTCTAGGGCACTTCCAAGAAGTCTGTGAAAGAACAGAGCAAGTGTGACGGGCAGGGCTGTGAACCTCTGAGTGCTTCAGATGTAAAAGTGTGGAAGACGTCGGGCTGTGAGTGTCACGCAGCAGAAAGGTGGAGGAGGCCTCTCAGGTGAGGCGGGGCCACGAAGGGAATCCAGGAGGAAAGTGAGAGGGGCGTGGGGCGGGGGACGCTCCTGGGCACCCGAGGGACAGGAGGAGCCCGGCCCCGGAGCAGATGCTGAGAAATCAAGTGGAATGAGATGGGGAAAGACCGTCAGATGCAGCAAGCTGGGGTCATTTTTAAAAAGGACAGTTTCAGTGGATATGGGTGCAGAAATGAGATCGCAGACGTTAAGGTAAGAAAATGGAAGTATGAGTGGAACTTTTGAACAACTTGTCAGGAACAGCAGAGAGGACAGGCGATTTGAGAAAGGCTGTGAGTTTTCTTGGATGGGGGGATGAAGCAACGTGAACATTTATTTTTAGAAGGTGAAAATAAGACACCATGGGAAAGACACTCAAAGAGGCGGGCCTGGGATCATTTTTCCTGTCTACAGGAAACGCTATGCTGAGGCCAACAGTGTGCTTGGCTGTGAAATGTGCTTTACAGGTCGGAAGTAACATGGTGCGCAGAAGGCAGTTTGTATGCACAGTGGAGCACATGTGTTGATGCCTGAAAGCCCACATTGAGATCCTGGCTCAACCTCTCGCCAACGGTGTCATTTGGACAAATCTCTTAATCTATGCAACGTACAATGAGGACAGTAGTCACAGGACATAACTTATGGAGTTCTGTGAATATAAGGTAAGAATGTTACATGCAATACAAGTATAATACATGGTGAGCACTTACTTAATGTTAACACATACTATGTTTAACTTGTCCTTGCAAGACCTGTATTGTGACTCGAGATTTTAGCATTTGGTAGATGTCTCAGAAACAACTGGTCTGAAGAAAATATTTCAACTGTTTAAATTTTTCTTAAAAGAACAAGGTAAACTTACCAAAAAATTTATTTTTCTTTCTTACATAGAAATGAAACAGAAAAATATATACCCATTAAATTGTATTAATTGAGAGAAAATTGATAGACAGTGAAAGGCACAGGTCTCACTTGTAGGACTCAGTGAGTTTTGACAGATGTTGACTGTGGCCTCCACCCGTATCCTCTTGGGCATGTTGTATTGTCATTCTTTTTAACTTAGGCCATTCTAGTGAAATTGAAGTGTATCCCAATAAAGTTTTCACTTTCACCTCCTGGATGACTAATTCTTATTGGACATTTGTGTATCTTCTTTTGCAAAGTAACCTTTTGGCTTTTATGCCCATTTTTCTGGGGTTGTCTTTACGTTCTTGTTTTGTAGGAGTTCTTGACATATTCTGCATTCAAGCCCTTTGTCAGACAGACATTTCCCTTATTCTATGGCTTGCCTTTCCATTTTCTTAGTTGTGTCTTTTAATGAACAGAATTTAAAGATTTTGACGGCTGGAGTCTCTATTCTGTCACACGGATCTATTTTGTCTATTTGAGTAGTTCTTAATCTGGGGCGATTAGGCCCTCAAGGGACATCTGGTGATGTATGGAGATATTTTGAGTTTGCCACAATTTAGAGGAGGGTGCTACTCGTGTCTACTGGACAGGTGCCAGAGATGCCATGAAAAGATCCTACAGTGCACAGAGGGCCCCCAACAAGAGAGAATCGTCTGGCCCCAAATATCAAGAATGCTGAAGGTGCACGGAGATCCCCCCAATGAGAGACAATTGTCTGGCCCCAAATATCAAGAGTGCTGAGGCTGAGAGACCCTTTTCTATTCTTATATGAATATCACACTGTCCCGATTAGATTTAACGCAAGTCTTGAAATCAGATAGCGTGAGTCCTCCAACTGTGTTCTTTTTTATCAAGACTGTCTTGGCACTTCTAGGTTCTTCACATTTTCACACATTTTAGAATCTTCTTGTCAGTTTCTCTAAAAACTGAGGTTGCTTTGAATGACATTGATTCTACTGAGGTTGCACTGAATCCATACCTCAGTCTGGGGAGATTTCACATCTTCACATTACTGAGACTTCCAATGCATCACAGTCTAGCTCTCGATTTATTTAGATGGTCTATCTTAGAGCACCACAATTCTACAATGCTGTTGAGATGTTTAAAACTAATTGCATTTTCCAATTATTCATTATGGGTCTACAGAAATGCAATTGATTTCTACCTATTTCATTCATGTCCTAGCCTTGATGAATGGCATGATCTGTTCCAGGATTTGATTTGTAGTTTCCTTAGGTTTTCTATGTAAACAATCATGTGATATAAGAATAAACCTGGAACCTAAACATGGAAGGAGCTCCTTCCTTTTAAATTTCGTGCTTTTTCTCTTCTTGTTTGCCTTCTGTGTCTGGCGAGGACCTCCATTAGAATGTTAAGTAGAGGAGCTGAGAGTCGGCATCCTCGTGTTTTATCTCATCTTACGGAGGGAGTTAAATGTTGCACCCTTAATGTTGACATTTTTTCCCCAGGGTTAGAACTGTAGCCTTTTACTTACTTATTCCACTTACTTTAGTACACGTATTATTATGACTGGGTTGAAGCCTACCATTTTACTGTTGTTTTCCATATGTCCTATTCATATACTTGTTCCTCTGATTTCTTTTTGCTTTCTTTTGGGTTAATCAAATATTTTTAACATTGAGCTTTAGCTCGTATTGGCTGTAATGCATAGCGTTAATATTTGAGTGGTTGCTCTAGAGGTGCGCTGTCCATTATGGTAGATAATGGGATCTAATTAAACTTAAGAGCTTCTGCACAGCAAAAGAAACTATCGACAGAGTAAACAGAAAACGTACAAAATGGGAGAAAATATTTCCAAACTATGCATCCAACAAAGGTCTAATACCCAGCATCTATAAGGAACTTAAACAAATTTGCAAGCAAAAAACAATGTGGGCAAAGAACATGAACAGACACTTTTCAAACGAAGACATACATGTGTCCAACAAGCACATGAAAAAATGCTCAACATCATGGATCATTAAAGAAATGCAAATCAAAACCCCAATAAGATAGTATCTCACACCCATCAGAATGGCTATTACTAAAAAGTGGACAAACAACAGATGCTGTGAGGCTGTGAAGAAAAGGGAATGCTCATACACTGCTGGTGGGAGCATAAATTAGTTCAACCATTGGGGAAAGCAGAGTGGCAAATCCTCAAAGAACTAAAAACAGAACTACCATCTGACCCAGCAATCCCATTATTGTGTATACACACAAAGGAAGAGAACTCATTCTACCATTAAAACACATGCACATTCATTGCAGCACTATTCACTATAGCAAAAACATGGAATCAACCTAAATGCCCATCAATGGTAGACAGATAAAGAAAATGTGGTGCATGTACACCGTGGAATACTATGCAGCCATAAAAAAGAATGAGATCATGTCCTTTGCAGCAACATGGATGGAGCTGGAGGCCATTATCCTTAGCAAACTAACACAGGGACAGAAAACCAAATACTGCATGTTCTCCCTTATAAGTGGGAGCTAAGTGATGAGAACACATGGACACAGAGAGGAAAACTACACATACTGGGGCCTCCTGGAGGTTAGAAGGAGGGAGAGGATCAGAAAAAAATACCTATTAGGTGCAATGCTTATTACCTGGATGACGAAATAATCTGTACACCAAACCCACATGACGTGAGTTTACCTAAATCACAAATCTGTGCATGTACCCCTGAAACTAAATGAAAGATAAAAAAGTAGCCACATGTGGATACATGTATTTAAGTTAAAAATAGATTCCTTAGCTTCTGTTTGAAAAGTCTTTATTTTGCTCTCATTTTTTAAAAGATATTTTTGCTGGGTATAGTATTCTGAATCAATAGATGTTTTTGATCACTTTAAAGGTATGATTCCATTGTCTTCTGGCTCCCATTGCTTCTGACAATAAGGCAGTCATAATTTTCTAATTATTCCTCTGGTTTCTGTTTGACCCCTTCCTTGGTTGCTTTACAGACTTGTCTCTCTCTGGTTTTCCACAGTTTAACTATTTTGTGGCTAGGTATGATTTTTTTCTATTTATCTTCTTAGAGTTCACTGAGCATTTTGGGTCTGTGGATTCTTTCAAACCAAATTTGTAAAATATTTGGCCATTTTTTCTTCAAAACCTTCTGCCAAATTCTCTCAGTTTTCTCCCTGGTTCTCTAATTATATGTGTGTCCCTTCACTTCTTCTTACTACACATATTACTGAGGCTCTATTCTTTTTTTTAATATCTTACCTCTACTTTTTCATATTTGAGAATATATACTGTTTCATTTTCAAATTACTAAGCTTTTTTCCTGCTCTCTCAATTCGCTCTTAAACACATCCCATAAATTTTTCATTTCAGATATTGTGGTTTTCTGTTCTTGAAAATTCAATTTGTCTCTTTCTCATGGATTTCATTTCTCCATCTAGTCAGGCATTAAGACCTTCTTCTCCTTTAACATCTTTAACCTTGTAACAGACATTTTTATATCATTCATAAGACCTTACAACGGCTGCTTTAAAGATCTTTGTGGTGAGTTCTAACATTTTTATATCATTCATAAGACCTTACAATGGCTGTTTAAAGATCTTTCTGGTGAGTTCTAACATTTTTATATCATTCATAAGACCTTACAATGGCTGCTTTAAAGATCTTTCTGGTGAATTCTAATATTTTTATGTCATTCATAAGACCTTACAATGGCTGCTTTAAAGATCTTTCCGGTGAGTTCTAACATTTTTATATCATTCATAAGACCTTACAATGGCTGTTTAAAGATCTTTCCGGTGAGTTCTAACATTTTTATATCATTCATAAGACTACAATGGCTGTTTAAAGATCTTTCCGGTGAATTCTAACATTTTTGTATCATTCATAAGACCTTACAATGGCTGCTTTAAAGATCTTTCCGGTGAGTTCTAACATTTTTATATCATTCATAAGACCTTACAATGGCTGTTTAAAGATCTTTCTGGTGAGTTCTACCATCGGGGTCTTCTCAGGCTTCGTTTTGAGCACATCAGTTTTTTCCTTGCAGGTGGGTTTCATGTTGCTACAACTTCAGCCTCTTTTCGGCATAAAGGACACGACTGGCAGAGACCCCGGCACCTGCTCCCTCCTCCAATGTGTGCTAATTTTGGTTGTGGCCGATCCTCCTTAGCTTTGGGTGTTTGGCTCGTGCGTTGCTGGGGTGGGCCTGGGGAGGCTGCAGATGGTTTACCTGGCCTGTGCACTTGGTGGGGTTCAGCCTCCAGACTGATCTTCACCATCGGTGGTCAGCAGCTGGAAACTAAACTTTTTCAGGGGTCCGCAAATGTTAATAGACTTTGGGGTCTCCCTCCATGGCTCCATCCCTTCTGTTCTGACCCCCACCTCTTCTGGCAACCCCAAATTCCATCCTGTAACAGACACATCCAAGGAGACTGCAGCTGTCTGCTTCAGTTCCTACCGCCCTCCTGCGGCAGGTAGCGAGGGTGCTCAGAGGGAACTCACAGGACCATGGGCAGCCGCGAGTGAGCGCGGCGCCTTTCCTTTAAAATGTGAATAGTCTCTACTTCCTGCCCAACTCTGCTTTCAAACAGGAGGGCATGCGTGTGTGTGTGTGCGTGTGCACGTGTGTGCACGTGCAATGCATGTGTGTGTGGGCTCCACAGTTCATGGCTGTCATCTGTATGAGTGTTTCTTCAATATAAGTTATTATCCCAGAGCCAGAACTCCCCATTATTACATTTTAAAAAATCGTGTCGCCAGGGTGAGCAACTGTCCTTGGCTTGGCCAACCTGCATATCAGTTCTGCTGCTGTAGTTGTTGGTTTGGGGAGCCCAGCACTGCAGAGGCAGAGGCTGTGCCACAGGGGGCTCCGCCTGGGAGGTCTCCTTTCCCAGAGTCCCCAGAGCTCGTGTGGGCACAAGGTCGTCCGGTAAGTCATGTTTTCTGCACACCTGGAGGTGATGCTGGCAACACAAAGCGGGGTCCAAGCCGTCAATGGCAGCTGCGGCAGAGGCCACCTCCAGTCCGCCGGGTGTCTGTGGTCATATTCCAACCTCGGCACCCCTTGTCCTGCCTGTGGTACCAGCAGCACTGACTGTGAGGTCTCTGCCAATGTGGCTGGTAATTCCGTGTTCACTGAGTCAGTTCTGAGGTGAGATTCACCCTCTGGCTGCAGAGGCCCCACGGCTGTTCTCTTGCCTGACTGCAAATGCTCAGGAGACCCCAGGTCTGTGCCATCCGTTTTTTTTCTGCCTGTGAAGAGTTGATTTCTCCATCTGCTGAAGGTGCTGGTGGGGTTTGTGAAGGATCCCATGAGAAGTATGTGATGATCCACCATGTCCCCTGGGCTACGAGGGCTCAGTCACCGCTGAAGCCAGGGCATACACTTGCAGTGAACCAGCCTCCCCCACCTAGCTCTTCCAAAGGCCTCCTGAGGCCCATTTTCGCTGAAAACCCCGCCGAGTCTGAGACCTGTCAGGTCACGCATTGCAAAGCCTGGCCTTACTGTTCATATTTGTACCGGGAATAGTTGATAGAGCTAGAATGGAAGGTAGCAATTTAGTCCTTTGGCATTCAACATTTTTGAGGCTTATTTTTAAAAAATTCAATTTGCTAATCTTTCTCTATGATTTTTCCAAAAAGAATACAGAGGAGGCCAGTGTGAGTGAACTGAACATGCAGGGTGGACATGAATTCAGAATGGAGACCTACATCTGTCCGAAGCAGTACAGAACAGGTTCTCGAAAAAGGGCTTTACTGCTGCTGTTAAACTACTCTCCCAAAATATGTTAATTTAGAAAATGAGTTACTCATCTATCAAATACTTTCTGGGCATCATTTATGAAGGCATCGCCCTTGTCCTCATGGAGCTGGGTGCGCAGTGCAGAAATTTCAGTTGAAGTCAATTTTCTTTTCTTTTCTTTTTTTTTTTTTATTATACTTTAAGTTTTAGGGTACATGTGCACATTGTGCAGGTTAGTTACATATGTATACATGTGCCATGCTGGTGCGCTGCACCCACTAACTCGTCATCTAGCCTTAGGTATATCTCCCAATTCTATCCCTCCCCGCTCCCCCCACCCCACCACAGTCCCCAGAGTGTGATGTTCCCCTTCCTGTGTCCACGTGTTCTCATTGTTCAGTTCCCACCTATGAGTGAGAATATGCGGTGTTTGGTTTTTTGTTCTTGCGATAGTTTACTGAGAATGATGATTTCCAATTTCATCCATGTCCCTACAAAGGACATGAACTCATCATTTTTTATGGCTGCATAGTATTCCATGGTGTATATGTGCCACATTTTCTTAATCCAGTCTATCATTGTTGGACATTTGGCTTGGTTCCAAGTCTTTGCTATTGTGAATAATGCCGCAATAAACATACGTGTGCATGTGTCTTTATAGCAGCATGATTTATAGTCCTTTGGGTATATACCCAGTAATGGGATGGCTGGGTCAAATGGTATTTCTAGTTCTAGATCCCTGAGGAATCGCCACACTGACTTCCACAATGGTTGAACTAGTTTACAGTCCCACCAATAGTGTAAAAGTGTTCCTATTTCTCCACATCCTCTCCAGCACCTGTTGTTTCCTGACTTTTTAATGATTGCCATTCTAACTGGTGTGAGATGATATCTCATAGTGGTTTTGATTTGCATTTCTCTGATGGCCAGTGATGATGAGCATTTTTTCATGTGTTTTTTGGCTGCATAAATGTCTTCTTTTGAGAAGTGTCTGTTCATGTCCTTCTCCCACTTTTTGATGGGGTTGTTTGTTTTTTTCTTGTAAATTTGTTTGAGTTCATTGTAGATTCTGGATATTAGCCCTTTGTCAGATGAGTAGGTTGCGAAAATTTTCTCCCATGTTGTAGGTTGCCTGTTCACTCTGATGGTAGTTTCTTTTGCTGTGCAGAAGCTCTTTAGTTTAATTAGATCCCATTTGTCAATTTTGGCTTTGGTTGCCATTGCTTTTGGTGTTCTGGACATGAAGTCCTTGCCCATGCCTATGTCCTGAATGGTAATGCCTAGGTTTTCTTCTAGGGTTTTTATGGTTTTAGGTCTAACGTTTAAATCTTTAATCCATCTTGAATTGATTTTTGTATAAGGTGTAAGGAAGGGATCCAGTTTCAGCTTTCTCCATATGGCTAGCCAGTTTTCCCAGCACCATTTATTAAATAGGGAATCCTTTCCCCATTGCTTGTTTTTCTCAGGTTTGTCAAAGATCAGATAGTTGTAGGTATGCGGTGTTATTTCTGAGGGCTCTGTTCTGTTCCATTGATCTATATCTCTGTTTTGGTAGCAGTACCATGCTGTTTTGGTTACTGTAGCCTTGTAGTATAGTTTGAAGTCAGGTAGTGTGATGCCTCCAGCTTTGTTCTTTTGGCTTAGGATTGACTTGGTGATGTGGGCTCTTTTTTGGTTCCATATGAACTTTAAAGTAGTTTTTTCCAATTCTGTGAAGAAAGTCATTGGTAGCTTGATGGGGATGGCATTGAATCTGTAAATTACCTTGGGCAGTATGGCCATTTTCACGATATTGATTCTTCCTACCCATGAGCATGGAATGTTCTTCCATTTGTTTGTATCCTCTTTTATTTCCTTGAGCAGTGGTTTGTAGTTCTCCTTGAAGAGGTCCTTCACATCCCTTGTAAGTTGGATTCCTAGGTATTTTATTCTCTTTGAAGCAATTGTGAATGGGAGTTCACTCATGATTTGGCTCTCTGTTTGTCTGTTGCTGGTGTATAAGAATGCTTGTGATTTTTGTACATTGATTTTGTATCCTGAGACTTTGCTGAAGTTGCTTATCAGCTTAAGGAGATTTTGGGCTGAGACGATGGGGTTTTCTAGATAAACAATCATGTCGTCTGCAAACAGGGACAATTTGACTTCCTCTTTTCCTAATTGAATACCCTTTATTTCCTTCTCCTGCCTGATTGCCCTGGCCAGAACTTCCAACACTATGTTGAATAGGAGCGGTGAGAGAGGGCATCCCTGTCTTGTGCCAGTTTTCAAAGGGAATGCTTCCAGTTTTTGCCCATTCAGTATGATATTGGCTGTGGGTTTGTCATAGATAGCTCTTATTATTTTGAAATACGTCCCATCAATACCTAATTTATTGAGAGTTTTTAGCATGAAGGGTTGTTGAATTTTGTCAAAGGCTTTTTCTGCATCTATTGAGATAATCATGTGGTTTTTGTCTTTGGCTCTGTTTATATGCTGGATTACATTTATTGATTTGCGTATATTGAACCAGCCTTGCATCCCAGGGAAGAAGCCCACTTGATCATGGTGGATAAGCTTTTTGATGTGCTGCTGGATTCGGTTTGCCAGTATTTTATTGAGGATTTTTGCATCGATGTTCATCAAGGATATTGGTCTAAAATTCTCTTTTTTGGTTGTGTCTCTGCCCGGCTTTGGTATCAGAATGATGCTGGCCTCATAAAATGAGTTAGGGAGGATTTCCTCTTTTTCTATTGATTGGAATAGTTTCAGAAGGAATGGTACCAGTTCCTCCTTGTACCTCTGGTAGAATTCGGCTGTGAATCCATCTGGTCCTGGACTCTTTTTGGTTGGTAAACTATTGATTATTGCCCCAATTTCAGCTCCTGTTATTGGTCTATTCAGAGATTCAACTTCTTCCTGGTTTAGTCTTGGGAGGTGTATGTGTCGAGCAATTTATTAATTTCTTCTAGATTTTCTAGTTTATTTGCGTAGAGGTGTTTGTAGTATTCTCTGATGGTAGTTTGTATTTCTGTGGGATCGGTGGTGATATCCCCTTTATCATTTTTTATTGTGTCTATTTGATTCTTCTCTCTTTTTTTCTTTATTAGTCTTGCTAGCGGTCTATCAATTTTGTTGATCCTTTCAAAAAACCAGCTCCTGGATTCATTGATTTTTTGAAGGGTTTTTTGTGTCTCTATTTCCTTCAGTTCTGCTCTGATTTTAGTTATTTCTTGCCTTCTGCTAGCTTTTGAATGTGTTTGCTCTTGCTTTTCTAGTTCTTTTAATTGTGATGTTAGGGTGTCAATTTTGGATCTTTCCTGCTTTCTCTTGTGGGCATTCAGTGCTATAAATTTCCCTCTACACACTGCTTTGAATGCGTCCCAGAGATTCTGGTTTGTTGTGTCTTTGTTCTCGTTGGTTTCAAAGAACATCTTTATTTCTGCCTTCATTTCGTTATGTACCCAGTAGTCATTCAGGAGCAGGTTGTTTAGTTTCCATGTAGTTGAGCAGTTTTGAGTGAGATTCTTAATCCTGAGTTCTAGTTTCATTGCACTGTGGTCTGAGAGATAGTTTGTTATAATTTCTGTTCTTTCACATTTGCTGAGGAGAGCTTTACTTCCAACTATGTGGTCAATTTTGGAATAGGTGTGGTGTGGTGCTGAAAAAAATGTATATTCTGTTGATTTGGGGTGGAGAGTTCTGTAGATGTCTATTAGGTCCGCTTGGTACAGAGCTGAGTTCAATTCCTGGGTATCCTTGTTAACTTTCTGTCTCGTTGATCTGTCTAATGTTGACAGTGGGGTGTTAAAGTCTCCCATTATTAATGTGTGGGAGTCTAAGTCTCTTTGTAGGTCACTCAGGACTTGCTTTATGAATCTGGGTGCTCCCGTATTGGGTGCATATATATTTAGGATAGTTAGCTCCTCTTGTTGAATTGATCCCTTTACCATTATGTAATGGCCTTCTTTGTCTCTTTTGATCTTTGTTGGTTTAAAGTCTGTTTTATCAGAGACTAGGATTGCAACCCCTGCCTTTTTTTGTTTTCCATTTGCTTGGTAGATCTTCCTCCATCCTTTTATTTTGAGCCTATGTGTGTCTCTGCACGTGAGATGGGTTTCCTGAATACAGCACACTGATGGGTCTTGACTCTTTATCCAACTTGCCAGTCTGTGTCTTTTAATTGGAGCATTTAGTCCATTTACATTTAAAGTTAATATTATGTGTGAATTTGATCCTGTCATTATGTTGTTAGCTGGTGATTTTGCTCGTTAGTTGATGCAGTTTCTTCCTAGTCTCGATGGTCTTTACATTTTGGCATGATTTTGCAGCAGCTGGTACCGGTCGTTCCTTTCCATGTTTAGCGCTTCCTTCAGGAGCTCTTTTAGGGCAGGCCTGGTGGTGACAAAATCTCTCAGCATTTGCTTGTCTGTAAAGTATTTTATTTCTCCTTCACTTATGAAGCTTAGTTTGGCTGGATATGAAATTCTGGGTTGAAAATTCTTTTCTTCAAGAATGTTGAATATTGGCCCCCACTCTCTTCTGGCTTGTAGGGTTTCTGCCGAGAGATCCGCTGTTAGTCTGATGGGCTTCCCTTTGAGGGTAACCCGACCTTTCTCTCTGGCTGCCCTTAACATTTTTTCCTTCATTTCCATTTTGGTGAATCTGACAATTATGTGTCTTGGAGTTGCTCTTCTCGAGGAGTATCTTTGTGGCGTTCTCTGTATTTCCTGAATCTGAATGTTGGCCTGCCTTGCTAGATTGGGGAAGTTCTCCTGGATAATATCCTGTAGAGTGTTTTCCAACTTGGTTCCATTCGCCCCATCACTTTCAGGTACACCAATCAGACGTAGATTTGGTCTTTTCACATAGTCCCATATTTCTTGGAGGCTTTGCTCATTTCTTTTTATTCTTTTTTCTCTAACCTTCCCTTCTCGCTTCATTTCATTCATTTCATCTTCCACTGCTGATACCCTTTCTTCCAGTTGATCGCATCGGCTCCTGAGGCTTCTGCATTCTTCACGTAGTTCTCGAGCCTTGGTTTTCAGCTCCATCAGCTCCTTTAAGCACTTCTCTGTATTGGTTATTCTAGTTATACATTCTTCTAAATTTTTTTCAAAGTTTTCCACTTCTTTGCCTTTGGTTTGAATGTCCTCCCGTAGCTCAGAGTAATTTGATCGTCTGAAGCCTTCTTCTCTCAGCTCGTCAAAGTCATTCTCCATCCAGCTTTGTTCCGTTGCTGGTGAGGAACTGCGTTCCTTTGGAGGAGGAGAGGCGCTCTGCGTTTTAGAGTTTCCAGTTTTTCTGTTCTGTTTTTTCCCCATCTTTGTGGTTTTATCTACTTTTGGTCTTTGATGATGGTGATGTACAGATGGGTTTTCGGTGTGGATGTCCTTTCTGTTTGTTAGTTTTCCTTCTAACAGACAGCACCCTCAGCTGCAGGTCTGTTGGAATACCCTGCCGTGTGAGGTGTCAGTGTGCCCCTGCTGGGGGGTGCCTCCCAGTTAGGCTGCTCGGGGGTCAGGGGTCAGGGACCCACTTGAGGAGGCAGTCCGCCCGTTCTCAGATCTCCAGCTGCGTGCTGGGAGAACCACTGCTCTCTTCAAAGCTGTCAGACAGGGACATTTAAGTCTGCAGAGGTTACTGCTGTCTTTTTGTTTGTCTGTGCCCTGCCCCCAGAGGTGGAGCCTACAGAGGCAGGCAGGCCTCCTTGAGCTGTGGTGGGCTCCACCCAGTTCGAGCTTCCCGGCTGCTTTGTTTACCTAAGCAAGCCTGGGCAATGGCGGGCGCCCCTCCCCCAGCCTCGCTGCCGCCTTGCAGTTTGATCTCAGACTGCTGTGCTAGCAATCAGCGAGATTCCGTGGGCGTAGGACCCTCCGAGCCAGGTGTGGGATATAGTCTCGTGGTGCGCCGTTTTTTAAGCCGGTCTGAAAAGCGCAATATTCGGGTGGGAGTGACCCGATTTTCCAGGTGCGTCCGTCACCCCTTTCTTTGACTCAGAAAGGGAACTCCCTGACCCCTTGCGCTTCCCAGGTGAGGCAATGCCTCGCCCTGCTTCGGCTCGCGCCCGGTGCGCGCACCCACTGGCCTGCGCCCACTGTCTGGCACTCCCTAGTGAGATGAACCCGGTACCTCAGATGGAAATGCAGAAATCACCCGTCTTCTGCGTCGCTCACGCTCTGAAGTCAATTTTCTAAAGGATATATTTACACAGGCCCGATGTCTTTCTAAAAATCTTATTTTCCTCAAATTGCTTTATATTTCAACTGTGAAATGTATTTCTAAGAAAAGATAGCAATATTGTGCTAAGGAGTATAAATTAGATTTCCTTTGAGAAAGGACAGTGACTTAAACGTCAGAACAGATGTGATGAGCATTATGGAAATCCTCCAATCATTTGTCCTCCAGGATATGGGTGTCAGTATATCCATACTGATGAACATACACATTTTAAGATAGATGAAAAATCTGCTCTTGCTATAAAACTGTGTCTCTGTAAATCTTTAGAGATTAAAGAATATAAGTCAGATTTTAAAGAATGATGGATAATTTTTATATAAACATATGTATATGAAAACAATACAATAATATAATGTTACATATGCAACTAATTTATGTTATTTAATATTATATGTAGTACAGCCACTTTGAAAAACAGTCTGGGAGTTCCTCAAAAGGTCAAACATTGAGTTATCAAGGACCCAGCATCTCCACTCCTTGGTATATGCCCAGGAGAAATGAAAATGTGTGTCCACATAAAACTCATACAGGAGGCCGGGTGCTGTGGCTCACGCCTGTAATCCCAGCACTTTGGGAGGCTGCGGTAGGTGGATCTCTCGAGCTTAGGAGTTTGAGACTAGCCTGGGCAACATGATGAAATCTCGTCTCTACCAAAAATACAAAAACTTAGCTGGGTGTGGTGGTGTACATCTGTGGACCCAGCTACTTGGGGTCACTGAGGAGGGAGGATTCCTTGAGCTCAGGGGGCGGAGGTTGTAGTGAGCCGAGATTGTGCCACTGCACTCCAGCCTGGGCAACAGAGTGAGACCTCATCTCAGAAAACAAACAGAATAATGGTCATAGCAGAATTATTCATAATAGCCTCCAAAAGGAAACAACCTAAGTATACATCCATGATGGATGGGTAAATAAACTGTGGTCTATCCATACAATGGAATATGCTTCCATCATAAAAAGAATTGCAGTTCTGACACATGCTGCAATGTGGATCAATGTTGAAAACGTTATGCTAGAAGCCAGACACAAAGATACAGTATTGTGGGGTTCCATGGCCACGACAGGGAGAATGCAGGTTCGTGGTTGCCAGGGGTTGGAGGAGTTAGGGGAAGTGGGGAGTGACGGTACAGGGTTTCTTTTTGGTGTAAAGTTTATGTTCTAAAATGGATTGCACTGATGTTCGCGCAAGTCCATAAATAAACTAAGAACCACTGAATTGTACTTCAAGTGGATGAATTGTATGGTTCTTAAATCATAACTCAATAAAGGAGGAAAATAAGATACGAAGAGCACTCTATTTAGCTTTATGTCATCTGAAAGTTGAAATGAACCGTACGTTCAGAATGTAGACTTGAAGCAAATTTTCAAAAAAAACCCACTGGTACCTTCAGTTCGTCTTTTCTCTTGGGCCTCAAGGAAGGACAGTGAGGGAGCTCTGGGGCAGCAGAGTTAACGATAATTCATTTTCCACAAATACTTTCATTCTTCGCCTCTGATTTGGTGCTGGTTATGATTCTCTGCGGAAGGTATTATAATTAACCTTGCTTTAACAAGAAGAGAAAGTCTTCACTCAGAGGTGACACGTTCTACAGCACGAGCTCGAGCTGAGATTTGAGCCTGAAGACCTTCTGATTCCAAATTTGGCATGTGTTGCTTTTGTGGCATATTTTAAACATTTGCCATGGATTATTACAACTATATGATAAACTAATAATTCAGACAAACACGGAAATGAGTCAACAGTTTACTTCCAGAGTGGGGAGCTGCTGGCTTCGGTTCTCACCCCATCATGGACGCTGTGGGCTCGGACAGTTAGCAAACGCTGCATTCTCTGTTTTCTTCCTTATAACAGGGAAGGTAACATCAGCGGGATCACAGATTTGCTGGAGGGGACAACCATGGAAAGGGGCAGGGTATAAAAGTCTTTGATTGCTAATTGAAAAGATTTCATCCTAAAGAGGCACTTAGGCCCACAAGAATGTAGCACGTTTCTAAAGCTCATGCACAAAGGACAGGCCGCACTCACTAGAGCCCTGGATTCACGCATTCACCAGAGACTCTTGTGATCATCTGCTTCCTTCAAGTCACGAACAGAAGACGTCAGGGGAATATGGAGACCACTTTGCTTCTCAAGCATCTCAGAGGCACGCACTCTGAGAGCCCTGCTGTATCACTTGTGTGGCGACGGAAGTGCGAATCAAGTAGGTAACCATCTTCGGCTCAAATTGGTCCACTCCCCTGAGTAGTAGGGAGCTGTGTCCAGAACACAGGAGTGGAGGTCAGGAGGTCCGGATCTGGGGCTTGCATTCGGTTCTGTGCATCCTCACCGTATGAACCTGGGTAAGTCACGGATGTTGCTCACCCACTGTTTCCTCTTTCGGCAGTGGAAGCAATGATGGTGCCTGGCCTGCATCCTCAGGGGCCGATGAGGTCAGGTGAGCCGATGGCACCGAGGTTGGCTGCAGGGTGGTGTGCCCCGCCTGGCTTCTGGTGCTGTTGCTTCTAACAACAAAGCGACTGCACTATCTTTATCCTGTTACACCACAAGTACTCCACACACGACACAAGACATCAGACCTTTTCTGCAGCAGCTCCTGGTAGATGCTAAGCTCAGCGATTCTAACGGCTGGCCTATCACAGAGAAGCTATGATTCTGCCTGTGGTATCTTCATTATTATTTACATCTAAGCCATTTATGTTTGAGTTTTTTTTTTAACAAGTACATTGCTTTTTTCTTTATAAATATTTTTGACTGTTGTCACTTTACATTTAAAGGCTGGTGTCGGAGCAACAAGAAGACATTCATTGGATGGTTTTGCAAATCCCAATCTGGATCACAGTCTCCTGCGTGCTTGCATGTAATGTAGATTCCTGGATCACGGTCTTCCGCATGCTAGTATGTAATATAGATTCCAGGATCACGGTCTCCTGTGTGCTTGCATGTAATATAGATTCCTGTATCACGATCTCCTGAGTGCTTGCATGTAATGTTGATTCCTGGATCGCATCCCCGGAGATGGAATTTAGAAGGGTGAGGTCAGCCCCAAATCCAAATTTTAAATAAACATTCTAGGTGATTCCATTCCTGGTGGTCTATGGGCCAGACCACACTTTGAGAAACATGGATCTATTTGGATGGAGGGATAGGGTGCCCCACTGAGGTACTGTTTAGAGAATCTGAATTTTGTCCATTTCATTTGCAAATCATAATGAACACCCTAGTGAAACATCTCTCCCTGGTGTTAGGAGATAAAATTCGTATTTACATTTTCAGCAAACTCCAGTGCATTTATAGCAAGGTCCCTTCTCCCGCAGTTACCTAGCAATGTTTCCAGGAAAATGATTTCTGAATCCATGTCGATAACGGCCATATGTGAACAGTGTCTGCAGTGTCCACAAAATGAAGAAGGGTCATTCATCTTTGTGCCTGTTCACTTAAGTGTCTTTAAGAATGTGTTCTGTCCCAGCTGTGTCTTGGGCATCAGAATGGAAATGTGTGGCCGCAGCTGGCTTGACTTGAGGAGAGGTGCCGACGCGGTGGCTGGGGTATGTGGGGAGGTGGGGGTTGGAGCTGCAGGACTCAGAAAACTCCTCATACGGAGGCAACTTGAGTTTAGTAATTTGCATGGAATCTCACCAAATATTAAGTGGTCAAATATTGAACGGTGGTCTCCTGCCAGCAGGACGCATGGGGAGGATGATGTGGTCAGGTTTAGAAGCCTGCAGATCCCTCCTCAGCCCCAGTCCCTTAGATAAATAATCCCTGAGACAGAAATACTGACTGTTCCAACTACTATGAGCTGGATGCTGAGCCCATCACAGTGTGGAGGAGATGTCATGGCCTTGCTGGCACAACCCAAAAGAATGAAGACCCAGCCTCCACTCTAACCAGCCTCTACAGAACTGAGACCCAGCCTCCACTCTAACCAGCCTCTGCAGAACTGAGACCCCACCTCCACTCTAACCAGCCTCTGCAGAACTGAGACCCACCTTCCACCCTAACCAAGCTCTGCAGAACTGAGACCCAGACTCCACTCTAACCAGCCTCTATGGAGCTGAGACCCATCCTCCACTCTAACCAGCCTCTACAGAACTGAGACCCAGCCTCCACTCTAACCAGCCTCTGTAGAACTGAGACCCAGCCTCCACTCTAACCAGCCTCTACAGAACTGAGACCCAGCCTCCATTCTAACCAGCCTCTATGGAACTGAGACCCAGCCTCCACTCTAACCAGCCTCTGTAGAACTGAGACCCATCCTCCACTCTAACCAGCCTCTACAGAACTGAGACCCAGCCTCCACTCTAACCAGCCTCTGTAGAACTGAGACCCATCCTCCACTCTAACCAGCCTCTACAGAACTGAGACCCAGCCTCCACTCTAACCAGCCTCTGTAGAACTGAGACCCAGCCTCCACTCTAACCAGCTCTGCAGAACTGAGACCCAGCCTCCACTCTAACCAGCCTCTGTAGAACTGAGACCCAGCCTCCACTCTAACCAGCCTGTGGAGAACTGAGACCCAGCCTCCACTCTAACCAGCCTCTGCAGAACTGAGACCCAGCTTCCACCCTAACCAAGCTCTGCAGAACTCAGACCCAGCCTCCGCTCTAACCAGCCTCTGCAGAACTGAGACCCAGCCTCCACTCTATCCAGCCTCTGCAGAACTGAGAGCCAGCCTTCCACCCTTACAGACCCCCTCATTCTGTTGAATTTTCCCTCGCGGCACTCGACACCTTTAGGGTGCTACACACTTCACTTTTTATTACTGATCACCTGTCATGTTTACTGCTTATTATCTGTCCTCCTCTGTGACAGCATGGGAAGCATGAGAGCTGTCACTGCCTGCCATGCCCACGACATTGGGGAGCATCTGGAGCAGTGCCTGACACATGGAGGAGCTCAAGAGACACTTGTGGGATGAATAAATGAATGAATGAATAAACTGCTGTCACTCCTGGGAAGGAGGGGCTTCCTTGCTGCCTTGGTGGTCTCTGAGCTGGTAGAGGGTCAGCCTGGAGTAGCTGGTGCCATCTCATCATTGCCTGGGACGGTCTGAATGAAGCCAGTGCAGGTGGGCAGGCCTGAGGCCTGATGCTGGGGTGGCCTGGCCCGGCCTCCGTGGATTCGGGCCTCCAGCCCTGGCTAGCTCTGGGCAACATGGCTGCATGAATCAGTATATTCCCTGTGTGGAATAGGCCTTTCACTGTTAAAGCTGGAGATTCTTAATAATGCCCAACTTTGAAGCAGCCAGGCTGTAAAGCATGTCTGCATTTTTAAAGAAAGACCCCATTTCAGTGACATCGATTCATCAGAGCACACCATTAATTAGAAACAGCAACACTGTCTTACACTTTCTACTAGAATGTCATTAATTAGAAATAACAACATTATCTTACACTGTTTACTAGAAACACTTTTACTCCTCTTGTCATATTGGGCCATTCAACAAACATTAATATCGAATATGTGTTGTGAATGATGCTGGGCATTAAGAACATATACATTCACTCACTCTCTCATTCACATATTTGACAAGTGTGGGCTGAGTGCTTCAATGCAGCTTGCATGGCCCAAGTCTGGGATGCAGCAGGCAGCAGGACTGACAGCTCGTGAGGGATAGAGGCCCCCACAAGCAAGAAGGTAGCACGGGCTGATCACACACACACACACACACACACACACACACACACCCTGTTAAATTAAGGTTTTAGGATCAAAAGTGACTACATAGCTACCTCAGATTGCCTGGTGAAAAAAATGTCTCACTGAACAGGTGCTATTTAAGCTGATATCTCAATGACTAATTATGCAAGGATTGAGAGGAACCATTTAGGGAGAGGAAACAGCAACTCCAAAGACCCTAAGCTACGAGAGAGCTCTGAGCATTTGAGGAAATTAAAGACCAGAGTGGTGAACGAGCAGACCAGGCTTGGTCTCATAATGGAGACGTTTGTGGGCCGAGGCGGAGAGGCTCCATTTTACTTTCAATGTGACAAACATCTGTCACGGAGTTTTCAGGGACTCGGTCTGATCTGTCTGTAAAAAGCCTGTAAAACTGCTCTCTGGGCAGGGCATCTCTGAAAGAAAGGCAGCAGCCCCAGTCAGGGCTTATAGATAAAACTCCCATCTCTCTGGGACAGAGCACCCGGGGGAAGGGGCGGCTGTGGGTGCAGCTTCAGCAGACGTAAACGTTTCTGCCTCTCGGCTCTGAAGAGAGCAGCAGCTCTCCCAGCACAGCGCTCGAGCTCTGCTAAGGCACAGAGTGCCTCCTCAAGTGGGCCCCTGACCCTCTTGTCTCCTGATGGGGAGACATCTCCCAGCAGGGATCAACAGACACATCACACAGGAGAGCTCCGGCTGGCATCTGGCAGGAGTCCCTCTGGGACGAAGCTTCCAGAGGAAGGAACAGGCAGCAATCTTTGCTGTTCGGCAACCTCCACTGGTGATACCCAGGCAAACAGGGTCTGGAGTGGACCTCTAGCAAACTCCAGCAGACCTGAGAAGAGGGGCCTGATGGTTAGAAAGAAAACTATCAAACAGAAAGTAATAGCATCAACATCAATAAAAAGGACGTCTACACCAAAACCCTATCCGAAAGTCACCAGCATCAAAGAACAAAGATAGATAAATCCATGAAGATGAGGAAAAACCAGCACAACAAGGTTGAAAATTCCAAAAACCAGAAAGCCTCTTCTCCTCCAAACGATCACAACTCCTCACCAGCAAGGGAACAGAACCGGACAGAGAATGAGTTTGGCAAATTATAGAAGTAGGTTTCAGAAAGTGGGTAATAAACTCCTCCAAGCTAAAGGAGTATGTTCTAACCCAACACAAGGAAGCTAAGAACCTTGAAAAAAGGTTACAGGAATTGCTAACTAGAATAACCAGTTTAGAGAAGAACATAAATTACCTGATGGAGCTGAAAAACGCAGCATGAGAACTTCGTGAAGCATACACAAGTATCAATAGCTGAATCAATCAAATGAAGAAAGGATATCAGAAATTGAAGCATCACCTTATTAAAATAAAGTGTGAAGACAAGATTGGAGAAAAAAGAACAAAAAGGAACAAACAAAGCCTCCAAGAAATATGGGACAATGTGAAAAGACCAATCCTACATTAGATTAATGTACCTGAAAGTGACGGGGAGAATGGAACCAAGCTGGAAAACACTCTTCAGGATATAATCCAGGAGAACTTCTCCAACCTAGCAAGAAAGGCCAACAATCAAATTCAGGAAATACAGAGAACACCACAAAGTTACTCCTTGAGAAGAGCAACCCCAAGACACATAATCGTCGGATTCACCAAGGTTGAAATGAAGGAAAAAATGATAAGGGCAGCCAGAGAGAAAGGTCAGGTTACCCACAAAGGGAAGCCCATTAGACTAACAGTGGATATCTCTGCAGACACGCTAAAAGCTAGAAGAGGGTGGGTGCCAATATTCAACATTCTTAAAAAAAAGAATTTTCAACCCAGATTTTCATATCCAGCCAAACTAAGCTTCATAAGTGAAGGAGAAATAAAATCCTTTACACACAAGCAAATGCTGGGAGATATTATCACCACCAGGCCTGCCTTACAAGAGCTCCTGAAGGAACCACTAAACATGGAAAGCAAAAACCGGTACCAGCCACTGCAAAAACATACCAAATTGTAAAGACCATCGACACTATGAAGAAATTGCATCAATTAATGGGCAAAATAACCGGCTAGCATCATAATGACAGGATCAAATTCATATATAACAATATTAATGTTAAATGTAAACAGGCTAAATGTCCCAGTTAAAAGACACAAACTGGCAAATTGGATACAGTCAAGGCCCATTAGTATGCTGTATTCAGGAGACCCATCTCATGTACAAAGACACACATAGGCTCAAAATAAAGGGATGGAGGAATATTTACCAAGCAAACGGAAAGCAAAAAAAGCAGGAGTTGCAATCCTAGTCTCTGATAAGACAAATTTTAAGTCAACAACGATCTAAAAAGACAAAGAAGAGCATCACATAATCGTAAAGGGATCAACGCAACAAGAAGAGCTAACTATCCTAAATATATATGCACTCAATACAGGAGCACCCAATACAGGAGGACCCAGATTCATAAATCAAGTTCTTAGAGACCTACAAAGAGACTTAGACTCCCATACAATAATAATGGGAGACTTTCACACCTCACTGTCAATATTAGATCAATGAGACAGAAAATTAACAATGATATTCAGGACTTCAATTCAGCTCTGGACCAAGCAGACCCAATTGACATCTACATAACTCTCCACCCTAAATCAACAGAATATACATTCTTCTCAGCACCATATCACACTTATTCCAAAACTGACCACATAATTGGGAGTAAAACACTCCTCAGCAAATGCAAAAGGATGGAAATCATAACAGTCTCTCCGACCACAGTGCAATCAAATTAGAACTCAGGATTAAGAATCTCACTCAAAACTGCACAACTACATGGAAACTGAACAACTTGCTCCTGAATGACTACTGGGTAAATAACGAAATTAAGGGAAAAATAAATAAGTTCTTTGGAACCAACAATAACAAAGACACAACATACCAGAATCTCTGGGACACAGCTAAAGCAGTGTTTAGAGCAAAATTTATAGCACCAAATGCCCACAGGAGAAAGTGGGAAAGATCTAAAATCAACACCCTAAAATCACAATTAAAAGAACCAGAGAAGCAAGAGCAAACAAATTCAAAAGCTAAGATAAGACAAGAAATAACTCAGATTAGAGAAGAACTGAAGGAGATAGAGACATGAAAAACCCTTCAAAAAAAATCAATGAATCTAGAAGCTGGTTTTTTGAAAAGATTAACAAAATAGATAGACCACTACCCAGACTATTAAAGAAGAAAACAGAGAACAATCAAATAGACACAATAAAAAATGATAAAGGGGAGATCACCACTGATCCCACAGAAATACAAACTACAATCAGAGAACACTATAAACACCTCTACACAAATAAACTAGAAAATCTAGAAGAAACTGATACATTCCTGGAAACATACACCCTCCCAAGACTAAATGAGGAATAAGTCAAATCCCTGAATACACCAATAACAAGTTCTGAAATTGAGGCAGTAATTAATAGCCTACCAACAAAAAAAAGCCCAGGATCAGATGGATTCACAGCCAAATTCTACCAGAGGTACAAAGAGGAGCTGGTACCATTCCTTCTGAAATTATTCCAAACAATAGAAAAAGACGGACTCCTCTCTAACTCATTTTATGAGGCCAGCATCATCCTGATACCACAACCTGGCAGAGACACAACAAAAACAGAAAACTTCAGGCCTATATCCCTGATGAACATGGATGCAGAAATCCTCAATAAAATACTGGCAAACTGAATACAGCAGCACATCAAAAAGTTTATCCACCACGATCAAGTCGGCTTCATCCCTGGGATGCAAGGCTGGTTCAACATATGCAAATCAGTAAACATAATCTATCACATAAACAGAACCAATGACAAAAACCACATGATTATCTCAACAGATGTAGAGAAGGCCTGCAATAAAATTCGACACTGCTTCATGCTAAAAGCTCTCAATAAACTAGGTATTGATGTGAAGTATCTCAATAAGAGCTATTTATGACAAACCCACAGCCAATATCATACTGAATGGGCAAAAACTGGAAGCATTCCCTTTGAAAACTGGCACAAGACAGGGATGCCCTGTCTCACCATTCCTATTCAACATAGTGATGGATGTTCTGGTCAGGACAATCAGACAAGAGAAAGAAATAAAAGGTATTCAAATAGGAAAAGAGAAAGTCAAATTCTCTCTGTTTGCAGATGACATGATTGTATATGTAGAAAACCCCATTGTCTCAGCCCTAAATCTCCTTAAGCCGATAAGCAACTTTAGCAAAGTCTCGGGATACAAAATCAATGTGCAAAAATCACAAGCATTCCTGTACACCAATAACAGACAAACAGAGAGCCAAATCATGAGTGAACTCTCATTCACAATTGCTACAAAGAGAATAAAATACCTAGGAATCCAACTTACAAGGGATGTGAAGGACCTCTTCAAGGAGAACTACAAACCACCACTCAAGGAAATAAGAGAAGACACAAATAAATGGAAAAACATTCCATGATCATGGATAGGAAGAACCAATATTGTGAAAATGGCCATACTGCCCAAAGTAATTTACAGATTCCATGCTATCCCCATCAAGCTCCCATTGACTTTCTTCACAGAATTAGGAAAAAAAAAACTACTTTAAATTTCATATGGAATCAAAAAAGAGTCCATATAGCCAAGACAATCCTAAGCAAAAAGAACAAAGCTGACAAAGAACACCAGCTGACTTCAAACTATACTACAAGGCCACAGTAACCAAACAGGATGGTACTAGTATCAAAACAGATACATAGGCCAATGGAACAGAACAGAGGCATCAGAAATAACACCACACATCTACGACCATCTGATCTTTGACAAACCTGACAAAAACAAACAATGGGGAAAGGATTCCATATTTAATAAATGCTGTTGGGAAAACTGGCTAGCTATATGCAGAAAACTGAAACTGGACTCCTTCCTTACACCTTATACTAAAATTAACTCAAGATGGATAAAAGACTTAAACATAAGACCTAAAACCATAAAAAGCCTAGAAGAAAACCTAGGCAATACCATTCAGGACACAGGCACTGGTAAAGACTTCATGACTAAAACACCAAGAGCAATGGCAACAAAAGCCAGAATTGACAAATGGGATCTAATGAAAGTAAATAACTTCTGCACAGCAAATGAAACTATCAGGCAACCTACAGAATGGGAGAAAATGTTTGTAATCTATCTATCTGACAAAGGGCTAATATCCAGAATCTACAAGGAACTTTAACAAATTTACAAGAAAAAAAAACCTAACAACCCAATCATAAAGTGGGTGAACGATATGAACAGGCATTTCTCAGAAGAAGACATTTATGAGGCCAACAAACATATGAAAAAAAGCTCATCATCACTGGTCATTAGAGAACTGCAAATCAAAACCATAATGAGATACCATCTGATGCCAGTTAGAATGACGATCATTAAAAAGCCAGGAAACAACAGATGTTGGAGATGATAAGGAAAAATAGGAACGCTTTTACACTGTTGGTGGGAGTATAAGTTAGTTCAACCATTCTGGAAGACCGTGTGGTGATTCCTCAAGGATCTAGAACTGGAAATACAATTTGACCCAGCAATCCCATTACTGGGTATATACCCAAAGGATTACAAATCATTCTACTATAAAGACACATGCACATGTATGTTTATTGCAGCACTATTCACAATAGCAAAGACTTGGAACCAACCCAAATGACCATCAATGATAAACTGCATAAAGAAAATGTGGCACATATACACCATGGAATACTATGCAGCCATAAAAAAGGATGAGTTCATGTTCTTTGCAGGGACATGGATGAAGCTGGAAACCATCATTCTCAGCAAACTAACACAGGAACAGAAAACCAAATACTGCATGTTGCCACTCATAAGTGGGAGATGAACGATGAGAACCCATGGACACAGGGAAGGGAATATCACACACAGGGGCCTGTTGGGGGGTGGGGAGCTAGGGGAGGGATAGCATTAGGGGTTACACCTAATGCTAAATGACGAGTTAATGGGTACAGCACACCAACATGGCACATGTATACATATGTAACAAACCTGCCCGTTGTGCACATGTACCCTAAAACTTAAAGTATAATAATAATAAAATTAAAAAAAAATTACTATTAAAAAAAGAATAAAATACATTTCAATTTCATTTAGCACTTAGTTCAGACTACTAAATAAATATTTATAGTTAAAAAATAATAATAGGCAGGGTAGTGGTGAATTTGGGAAGAAGGGAGTAACTGGGTGGGGAGCTCGCTGGGGGCTTCCGGAATGACCTATTTCTTTTTTTTTTTTTTTTTTGAGACGGAGTCTCGCTCTGTCGCCCAGGCGGGACTGCGGACTGCAGTGGCGCAATCTCGGCTCACTGCAAGCTCCGCTTCCCGGGTTCACGCCATTCTCCTGCCTCAGCCTCCCGAGTAGCTGGGACTACAGGCGCCCGCCACCGTGCCCGGCTAATTTTTTTTTTGTATTTTTAGTAGAGACGGGGTTTCACCTTGTTAGCCAGGATGGTCTCGATCTCCTGACCTCATGATCCACCCGCCTCGGCCTCCCAAAGTGCTGGGATTACAGGCGTGAGCCACCGCGCCCGGCCGACCTATTTCTTGACTTCAGTATTTGGGAGGATTTTTGAGGTGGGAACCTATTGTTTCTTCTCTTTTGTATGTTATTTATGTTATTTGTCAATAAAAAGTTTATATATATTTAAAAAAAGCCCGTAAAACCTGGGAAACATGGCAAAACCCTGTCTCTCCTAAAAATACAAAAATTAGCCAGGTGTGATGGCAGGTGCCTGTAATACCAGCCACTCGGGAGGTTGAGGTGGGAGAATCGCTTGCACCCGGGAGGTTGAGGCTGCAGTGGGCTGAGATGACGCCCTGCACTCCAGCCTGGGTGACAGAGCAAGATCTTGTCTCAAAAAAGAAAAAAAGAAAAAAAAAGAAACCCCAGGAGCTGTTGTGTGGAGGACAGTGTGTATGGATTCAAGATGGGAAGCGGGAGGCCAGTTAGTGGAGTGACCCCACGATGGTCCTGCTGACAGCTGGAGACCCCAGTGAGTGGCAGGAAGAAGTCAGAGGTGGGACAGAATTGGCTGTGCCCAGGGGGCATGGCTGGCAGGAGGTAGAGCACAGAGAAAGATCAGGGGCAGGAATGAGTGTTCGACTTTTAAAATGTTTAACTTTTTTTTAAAAAAACTATATTTTTGGCAGTTAAACTCTAGTTCTATTAGTCATTATAAGAGAGTGTGACCTGGCCGGGCGCGGTGGCTCACAACTGTAATCCCAGCACTTTGGGAGGCCGAGGTGGGCAGATCACTTGAGGTCAGGAGTTCAGGATCAGCCTGGCCAACATGGTGAAACCCCATCTGTTTGGTGATTTCCCGTAAGTTCTGTAAGCTTTCTTCACTCTTTTTATTGCTATTTTTTGCTGTCCTGATTGAATTATTTGTAACGATGTTGTCTTTGAGTTCACCGATGCTTTCTTCTGTTTGATCTGGTCTGTTGTTGAATCTTTCCAGTAAAATTTTCAGGTCAATTATGTTCTTCAGCTCCATAATTTCTGTTTGGCACATATTTAAAAAATATGTCCTGTCACTTTACTTAAATTCTCATTTTGTTCCTTCATTGTTCTCTTGACCTTAGGGGGCATCTTCATATCCCTTGTTTTGAATTCTCTGTCGAATAAATCATATAACTTCATTTCACTAGGGTCAGTTTCTGGAGATTTGTTTTATTTCTTTGAAATATCTTTGCCTGAGTTTTCATTTTCCTTGACTTTCCGCACTGGTGCCTTTCTCAGTCTTCATGACCTTGTCTTATACATGAGAAGACCCCCACCAATCATTCAGAGATTCTGAGGGTCTCAGCCAATTCTTTCCCTTCCCAGAGAGAAGAAGGTAGCTGTGGTTTTCGCCTGTTTGCTCTGCCTGAATCAGGGAAGAACACCATCGCATCTACTAGTCTAAGCTGTCATCTCTGTCCTCCCCTATGTGGCTGGACTGCTGGACCCAACAGAGCTCCAAGACTGGAAGGCTTGGAAGGTAGATGCCAGTTCTCTGTGCAACCCTGAAGAAGCTGAGGTGTGGGATGCATGGATCACCTCTTTCCTCTTCAGTGGGAAGCTGAGAGATGGAGTTCTTGTTTGCTTATTCTGTGCTGAGGAGGGAGAGGATCTACGGCATCTACCAGCCATGCCACTGTCTTCATTCTCCCCCAGGCAACCAGAGTGGGCCAGACTCCAGCAGGCCCAATGCTTGCAGGTCAGAGGCCAGACTCTGGGAGCTCTCTTGGAAAAGTTGGGGTGCTGGATGTGCTAACTGATCCTTCCCTCCCCTGGGAGAAGGTAGAAGCCAGGGGGTCTCTTCCTGATTGTAGGGTGCTGTGCCAGGGTAGGAATTCTTGAGAGAATCTCCCGAGCATCTTTGGTAAGTCTGGTTTTGTATTTTCCCAAGGTGCAGGAGATTTTCAATTAGTGTCATTTATTTATTTATTTATTTTTATTTTATTATTATTATTATTTTTGAGACGGAGTCTTGCCTTGTCGCCCAGGCTGGAGTGCAGTGGCGCGATCTCGGCTCACTGCAAGCTCCGCCTCCTGGGTTCACGTGATTCTCCTGCCTCAGCCTCCTGAGTAGCTGGGACTACAGGCGCCCGCCACCACGCCCAGCTAATTGTTTTGTATTTTTAGTAGAGACGGGGTTGCACCGTGTTACCCAGGATGGTCTCAATCTCCTGACCTCATGATCCACCCGCCTTGGTCTCCTAAAGTGCTGGGATTACAGGAGTGAGCCACCACGCCAGGCCTAGTGTCTAAATTTTTGTAAAGGGAATTTGTCCACAAATCATTGTTGAACGGCTGTGTTTGTTGAGGGGAAGGAGGGCCCAGACCTTCCTACTCCATTATCTTGTTGAAATCACTCCCCAAAAGATTTTTACTATTGCAATGTATAATCACAAATGCTGAATTAATAAATAATTTGAGTACTTCATAATATAAATGTAAGGATCAGTAGACAGTAAAATCTATCATCCTGCTGTGATTTTAGATAATCAAAGTGTTTGCTGAATCTGCATCCATTTGAAACTAAAATGCTAGTGTAACTGCTCCATGTAACATCCCAGCCAGCGGTACCCTGGTCAGTCGGTGATGCTCACAGAGAAGTCTGAGCCTGACAATTACTGTGGGATAATAAAAAGAAATGAGTTTATATTGCCCTTCCATTTGAGGAGGTCATAATTTAATCAGGAAGTAGAGAAAACACAGAAGATAAAAAATAACTATCACTGCATTAAATGGAACTACAGAAAAATGACACACGGAGAATTCTCCCAATGGAAAATTTTCAATAGTTAGAAGTTGTCCAGTAATGCAATGGGAGCCCTGAAAAGGAAATCCGTGGTGGGAACCCCCTCGGCTGGACTAGGAGGATGTTGGAATTTCCTTCCAGTTACATCCGGATGGGATTTGGGGACCGCTTTCCAGAGCTTCAGGGGGCAAATGTGCAACAGGACCATATTTGCACTTCAGGGAGCCCTTTCCAAGCAGAAACACAGGGGTAAAGTCAAGGGGGCCAGAGGCACACGTCAGGCCAATCGTCAATATAAAGATGTTAGAAAGGGATAAAAAATAGTATGTGAAGATTTTCAGAGTTTTCATAATTAAAGATTTTTACTGAACATAATCGAACATAATCAACCTTAGACTAATAAGAAACAGCCGATGGGGGCGTATTTTGTGAAGGATCTTGGTAAATGTGAACTGGACTAAACTGGCAGTGGGGAACCATGGAGAGCTGCGGCCAGGAGATGGCCCCGTTACGTAAGCCTGGGCGGGCGTGTGCTGGGGCACCTTGCTCTGCACCCATCGCAGCTGTTTGTGTGTCTGGGCCCAACAAGGGCCATGGTGGATAAGGGATAAATGAGACTGGATACTCACTGCCCCAGCTCCCAGCAGAATCGTGTGGCAGGAGGCATGAAGCTAGATCCTGGAAAATGTGCTCGGATTTCCAAGGCCTGTCTGCATGCCACCTCCTCCCTCCGCTCCTCCTCCATCCACCGCCCCGGGTGGGAGGAACCTCCCTGGGAGTCCGTGGGAGTTTGTAGTTCATGTCAGAATTATTGACGCAGAGGCCAAGCGAGGGCTTCAGAATCCACAAACGTGAAGGGCAGCAGGGTTTCCCTCTGCTGGGGATGGGTGAGGGCCTCCCGCTGGAGATCCAGGATGCAGTTGGGTGTGATGTGGGGCCAGGAGATATGCGGGTGTGTGGGGTGTAAACTGGCTGCACACATGCCTTTGGGTAGAGCAATCACACGCATATTTCCTGCAGGTCAAGTAGATGTGTGACAAGTATCGGGTGTGGGTCATTTTACCCACAGTGAGTCCCAAAGAAACGTACCCCACAAATAGGCTGCAGGGGTGAACAGTGGAGGTGGAGTGGGAGGAGGGGGTTAGGCAGGAAAGGGGAGGCTGAGCCATCTCTCCATGTTAGAAAAGAAAGGAGGGGAAGACCCCATCAGGAAACTCAAAAGAATTGAAAAATGCCCAGTCCAACGTCCAGTCTTAGAGAAGCAGTGACCAGAGACCAGGAGGGCCCTTTCTTTTTGCTCAGTCAAGAGCCTTCTTTCTCCTCCATCCTCCTTCCCACCTGGCCCACATGGAGCCAGCGTTAGGAAGAGGGAGGGGGAGGGGGTGTGAGTGACCCCCATGCTCTAACCTCCCTTCCCTGTAATTCCCTAGAAATTAATGTTTGGGCTTTGCAGAGGGAAGGGAAGAACAGAACTTTGAATAGGAAAACAGACTGAAGGTTAAAAGACATCAGGTCTGTCTGGACAGGGCTAAGGGCTGGTGTCTTCATGGGCTGCACCTGAGATTGAGTGCACCCAGTTCTGCAGCTGCCGGCATGGGGTTGGGTCCCGAGCACGGAAGGGCAAGAATGTGTAAGATGTTTTCATATCTACATCCTCATGTTTTGAGCTTCCTTAATTATCCCAAGACTAGAAGCACATATGTTTTGCTTGGTCCTCCAACACCATTGAAGATGGCTTCTTTAAGGTGGCTTAAAGAATGGTTAAGGGATAGAGATCCACCAGTCCCTGGTAATGACATTGACAGTGAAGGCCTCTGCCAGGGGTGGGGCTCAGGGATGCAAGGGGCTGTCTGCTCTGGACCAGAGGGAGCCTCCGAACGGGATGGGGAGGAAGGAATGTCCCTCAGGACCCAGGAGCACAGAGGTGGGATTCCCATTTTCAAGTGAATAGGACAGAACAAGATTTTGAGCAACCAATTTCTTAGAACTACAAACTCAGTTAATCATGAAATTAAAGTGGAATTTGAGAGTGTGGAGTACACATTTCTCTTTATTTTAGCCAGCTAAAGTTACTGCTCTTCATGAAGAATCACCAACAATCGCTAAACTGATTTGAAGACAGATAACTGAGGAAAGGAAATCAGGTTTCAGCTGAGTAATCCGTGCTTCCCTTCCAGTAGTCAGCAGCAAAATCACCATGGTCACCCAGCTGGAGAAATGACATCCTATATTTGACCATACATTCCGGAAGAGAAAAGCCAACACGGAGATGGAAATAAGTTTCAGAAACAGTGTCTGATAATTACCAAGATAGAGGGGTGCCATTTTATGCATACTTCATTATCCTGGCGACGCGATTGCTTCTGGTACGGCCTGAACTGTGTCTCCCTGTAGAAGAGGTCCATGGAGATCCTCACCCCCAGTGCCTCAGAACATGACCTCGCTTGGAAATAGGGTCACTGCAGACGAAATGAGTTGAGATGAGGTCACCGGAGTGGGCTCCGAGGATGACAGTGCTCTTATGAGAAGAGGAGAAGGGACGAAGATGGGGAAGGTCCTGGGAGGCAGAGGCCGAGGGTGGAGTGATGCACCCACAGCCACGGACACTGAGGCGGAAGGAGGGATCCTCCCCTAGAGACGTGCAGGGAGCGAGGCCTTGCCCACACCTTGATTTCAGACTTCTGGCTCCCAGAACTGGAGAGGGTAAATTTCTATTGTTTTAAGCCACGCTGTGTGTGGTACTTTGTTATGGCAGCCCCAGAAACTAGTACAGTCCATCCCCCAAATGTAAATGGTGTTGCGGGGTCAGAAGTGACCTCAGAAAGCTTCTAGCAATACTCAAATGCGCATTCCTCACCCTCCATCAAGGCAAGGGATTCCCCGGTGCTAACAGCAAACCCCAACCACTCCCTGTAATGTGGTTCTGTCTCTACGTATTCCCTTACTGTACATCTTCTTTAAAAACAGCCTTGGGCGGGTGGATTGCTTGAGCCCAGGAGTTTGAGACCAGCCTGGGCTACGTGATGAAACCCCATCTCTACAAACAATAACAAAAACAAAAACAAAAATTAGCTGGGCATGGTGGCGCAAGCCTGTAGTCCCAGATACTGGGGAGGCTGCGGTGAGAGGATTAGAGCCTGGGGAGGTTGAGGCTGCAGGGAGCTGTGATCCTCCCACTGCACTCCAGCCTGGGCAACACAGCAAGACCCTACCTCAAAAAAAATTACCTTGGAGACACAAAATGTGGCAACATGCAAGGAATAAGTTTCATTTCTGAGGCTTTGAAACACACAGAATTATTGTTCCACTCATAGCTGAAAAGTAAAATAAAGCTGTTGATGACAAATTTATTACTATGGTAACTGCAATACAAGGATAATTTGTTTTTAAATGCAGTGTTACTATTGGAAAAACTGTACTTATAGGTTGCTAGGGGGCCTAGAAGACAACGAAACTAATGTTTTTCAGTTATCTTTTCTTATTTTAGTGCTACATGCTTTTTGCAGAAAATTTGGAAAATATTTAAAAGAAAATACAATTCAACCACAAACCCAGAGATAACCACCATTGGGATTACTGTGCATTCATACATTATTAGTTTTCATTGCTGTGTGTGATAGTTTGTGTGTGTCAACTAGGATATGGTACCATGGCATTTGCTCAAATACCTGAATGTGAAGGTGTGTTTTACAAGAGATTAATGCTCACATTGGCAGATTTTGAGTAAGGCAGATTTCCCTCCAAACTTGAGATGAAGTCACACTCTGTCGCCCAGGTTGGAGTGCAGTGGCGTGATCTCGGCTCAATGCAACCTCCACCTCCCGGGGTCAAGGGATTCTCCTGCTCCAGCCTTCTGAGTAGCTGGGATTACAGGCATGTACTACCATGCTCAGCTAATTTTTTTTCCTTTTTTTTTTTTTTTTTTTTTTTTAGTAAAGACAGCTTTCACCATGTTGGCCAGACTGGTCTTGAACTGCTGACCTCAAGTGATCCACCTGCCTCAGCCTCCCAAAGTTGTGGGATTACAGGCCTGAGCCACAGCACCCTGTTAAACACTGTTAATGTTTTAACAGTCTGTACACATATTATTTACTTGACAATTATTTTATTTATCTATTCAGTCCTTAATACATATTTACTTACCGAATGAATAAATGAAAAAATTCATAAATTAGGCATCATACGCCAAAGAAGACAATGAACTCATAGAACACATTGTCTTTACTATTGGGGAGAATTACATATAAGATGAGCTGTTTAGTAAAACTCGCTGCTGCTTCAAGGTTAGCACCGGGTTCTACTAATGGTGTGATTCCACTTAACTGTGTCCTCAGATCTTACAGATTGGACTCTTTTTTGCTCTGTTCTCTTCATTCAGTACATTCTCTGGAATCTCGAAGGTCGCACCTTCAATAGCCATTAGATTAAGAGACATGAACAGAAAGCCTTGCATGAATTTTTTCAGCTAAAAATACAGAAGTATTTAGCTGAACTATCCGTGCTGCTGCTGTTAGACATTCTGAAGGCTATGACAGTAAAGAGAGTGACTCATATTTAAGGAATGGTTGTTCTGAACACTCTTCATCGTGCGAATGTGAAAAATTATTTTTCTATTGTGCTACCAGAACTCTATTAGGAGTCACGTGATGAACTCAGGTAAGGCCCTTGGTTATGGGGCAGGAATGCACGTGTCACAGTTACAGGAAAACTCAGAAAAGTAGCTCATTGGTATAGTGAAGAGCTAGTAAATGCATTTTGTGGCTCTGAGTGTTATCATGAATGACTTAACTGTTTTGGAAAGTTAAGACTTCATATAATTAGAAATGGAAAAAAATCATGGTATTTTATTTATGTCTCTCAACCGAACTCCCTACCAAAAGCAGGGCCTGAAAAGAGAAAATGGCCACTATTAAATAATTTTACACATTATAAAAATTTGAAAAAGTAATTTAAAGAAAGAAAAATAATTAATAGTAGCTATATTTTTAATAGTAACCCTATCTCTCCTTCATTTCATTCATTCACCCCTTGAGTCAAAGTGGAAATCAAAGTCAAAATTGCTGAGTATTTAGATAACAGTGACTATAAAAGCATCATCTATCAATATATGTGTGATGTAGCTAAGATATATTCTTAGAAACATTCATAGCCTTATATACTTTTATTAGTAAATATACTTTCAGATAAAGAATGAAACAACAAATAGGTCTAAGAAAACAAAAGAAGAAATAGCAATAAAAGCAGAAGTTAATGAATTAGAAAACAACTGAAAATGTATAAATCCACCCAAGAGCCAGTTCCTCTCTGGCCTCACCCCAGATCACCATTTTCCTTTTTCAAGACCATCCCCCTGAAGCTGGCAGACCACTATAGGCAAAGTTATTTTTCCTGAGAAGCAAATCTATAAAAATCTCCTAAGAAAGTTATTTCCTGAAATTAAATAGTTCCTATAGATGAACGGGCAATGGATTTCTGCAAAGAGACCAGTATTTGGGATAAGGCTTTGCTGCCTAAAATTAGGAGATTCTCAAACTGCCCTTTGGAAGTAGGATGTTTTTAAGAAAGCATCCTGTAATGTTTTTAGGGAAACAGGCAATAAGCCAGTGTCTGTGGGATCCTTGCCCCTCCCGCTAGGACTTTCCAGAGGCAGGGGTTAAACTATGCATAGATTATGGGTATAATCAGCCCATTAGAAAAAAGCAATTTGGAAGACCTCCATTCTAGTCAGAATCTCCTTAGCTGCACTGATGAAGGTGAAAGCATAAAAGCTTCAGAGGGAGCCACATGCCCAGAAAATCCCCTTATGATGCTACCCAGAAGAAGAGATACCTTGGCAATAAGTAGACTGGTGGTTGAGCATTCGCAAATATTTTCTTTACAACACTCTGTGCAGTAATAAAAACATAGAGGCAGTTCCCCAACGGTAATGTTAAAGTCACGCAGCAGTGTGTCCGTCCAGTGACATCTGGGCCTAGAGTCCGCCACAGAAGGACGCACGTGGTACCTCTGCAGGCGGGACTCTGACCCCTAGGGCCTTCCACGCTGGTGCCACATCTGTGAACACGTTACGCTACACATCAAGCGGGCATGAAGGTTGCAGGTGGAATCGAGGTTGCTAACCAGCAGACCCCGGGGTAGTGAGAATCTCCTGATGACCCAGGCAGGCCCCCTCTCAGCGCAGGAGCATTGAAAGCAGAAGAGGAAGGCAGAGCAAGTCGGAGATCGATGTGGACGTGAGACAGGAGGGGTCTGCAGAGTGAGAGAGACCCCACACCCCGTCCAGCTGGCTCTGAAGATGCAGGCAGGGGCCAGAGCTAACACATCCCTGTGGGTGGCCTCTGGAAACAGGGGGCTGACTTCAGCTGACAACAAGGACACGGGGCTTCGGTCCCGCAACTGTAACATCTTGATGTGAAAGAAAACCACTCCCCACGCAGATCCCCGGAAAGAAGGGCCAACGGCCGACACCTCAGCCTTAGCCCAGAGAGACCCGGAAGGAGGGCAGGCTGCCGACACCTCGGCCTTAGCCCAGAGAAACCCGTGTTGGCTCATGACCTGCAGGACTTGGCTGAGGATAAACGCCCTGTTTTAAGACACTAAGTTTGTGGCAGTTTTTATGACAGCAACGGAAAACTAACAAAATATTTGGGAGAAAAAAGGAAATTGTACAGTAATGCGTGCAGTGGGACCTCATGTTTATTGTAAACTACGCCCATATGTGTATATTTTTATACACACACGAAAGTGTCCGGACAGGATAAAGTCATGGGCAGTGGAAACCCCTGGCGATGGACATGCCAGAGACAGAGTGACACTCCACTTCACACAATTACGTGTGTTAGCTCTTTACAATGAGTCATAATTTTACAGTTTAAGCATCAGTTTAATAACTGATTTAATGAATGGACTGCGAGTGTATGGAGAGGCTGGCTACAGTACTGCCCAGGCACTGCCCACGGCTGGGTGGTGGGGGCACGGGGCCGCCAGGTTTTCCAGAGACGCATCTCTAGGGATGTCTCCCTGTGGTGAGCTCGCTAAGCTGCATTTCTTGTTTGCACCTGCAATGGCACAGTTGGGTTAAAAAAAGAAAAGCTTACGTGGTCTGTGGATTATGTGTTTTTCAGTTGCAGTTCGCCATAAAAGTGCTGGATGGTAAAAGACAGCACTCACTACAGCCCCCTGAACTGACAGCCCTAAGGAGTATTTTTTTTTCTTTTTCGGTCTTTTGCCCAGGCTGGAGTGCAGTGGTGCAATCTCAGCTCACTGCAACCTCCGCCTCCCAGATTCACGCAATTCTCCTGGCTCGGCCACCTGGGTACCTGGGATTACAGGCACGGGCCAAAATGCCTGGCTAATTTTTTGTATTTTTAGTACAGACAGGGTTTTGCCATCTTGGCCAGGCTGGTCTCAAACTCCTGATCTCAAGTGATCTGCCCGCCTCCGCCTCCCAAAGTGCTGGGATCACAGGTGTGAGCCCTCATTCACAGCCAGGAGTATTAATGAACAAACCAGGCGCCAGTCTTAGGAGCCTCCCTCTTAACTAAGGTCTTCATGAAAACAATATCAGTTGTAGCAGGCCAAAAACTAGATGTTGAAGTAAAATATGAGAAACATAGAAATAACAGAAAAGAATAAGTAAAGCACAAAATTTAAAAATGGAAGTTTTTAATTTGTCTTTCATTGTACTTAAGTTTTTGATTTAACGTTAAGGACATTTTTTCTAATAGAAAAAAGTTAGAATAAGACTAGAGTTGGTATGCACAAGAAGAAAGAAATGAGGTAAAAAGTGAAGAATTTACTAGAGAAACAATGAAATCCATGAAGAGATGTAAGGTAAGATACTGGAAACAGCACGAAACAGGTGGATGGATAATGTTCTGGTGCCCTTCTTCATGGCTGCCTGTTGGGTCCGCCGGGTGTGGGGTGAGCTGCTTCCCTGATGGGCAGAGACCCCCAGGAGCAAGTGCCAAGTGCCATTCGAATCCCCAGGTCCTCACCTCATGCCCAGATGCCTGAGCTTCTGAGGAGAGACATCGTCAGGGACCTGGGAACCCCTAGGGCTGGACCGATCAGAGTGCAAATGCTCTCTCTGCACGTGCTGGCAACGGTTGCAACACAGGCTGGACCAGAATCTCCCCTCCGCTTCCCTCCAGCTGAAACTAAAAATGAAGAGCCAGCAGCCCACGGTAGTGGAGGAGACTGTGAGAGAGGATGCCTCCTCCCCAGGAGCATATGGCTTCCTATTAACTGAAGAACTGCAGGTTGCAGGTGTGTGGCATGCACGAGGAGTCTGGCGTCTGCTCCCGTTTTGACTAATAGAACCTAAAGGAGCTTAAGAAATCAGGTGAATGTGAATCAGCTTTGCACACGTCTTTTAAATTGATTATCTTTATGTTTAGGCTCTAAACAGGATTACTTTATCGGCGTCGCTAATAGCAGTTCATTTATTAAGTTGATTATCAATAATCCCTGACAAATGAGTCATAAGACGATGGTTTTATCCATTCATCCAGTGTGTGAGGAGCACATATAATGCCTCACAGTGAAGGCGCAATGGCAATGATAAATGAGACAGCTCTTGCTTTCAAAGGCTATAGGGACTCTCGGGAAAGCAAACAGGCATGTGGTAGAGACAAGCACGAGCAGTGAGGAAATATGCTGCAGGGGACGTAACTCCAGGGAGCCTTCCCAGAGGAGGCAATCAGAGCTGGGCATGGAAGGATGACCGGCAGCAAGGAGGAGACGGTGAACAGCCGACTTCAAGTCAGAGGAGCGAGGAGGAAGAAAATTGTCAGGGGAACAAGGCTTTCCGGGGGCAGATCACGAAGGATCTGCACTGGGATCAGGCAAACCCCTGCAACCAGCGCGTGGAGGGTCTCAAACAGAAAGCTGAGACGTGAGATCAGCCTTTGATGTGAGAGGCAGGACTTGGAGCTGGTGGCCGAGAGGTGCTAGGAGCTGAGTGATCTGAAGGAAGCTGTGAGAGCCCAGATACCAAATGGAGTCTCAGCATCAGGAAAGGCAAAAACGTCAGGACTGCTGGGCTTAGAAACACAGGAAGTGGCTCTGAAGGGTCTTTCATCTTTCTAGATGGATTCTGCAAAAACTGTGATTTCTTTGAAAGGCTTCTTAATCAGATGTCAGCCTGACTCTGCAAGGTCTCAAAAGCAGCCCCGACGCTCCCTGCCTACGGAGGCACAGCCACCCGCCACAGGCCAGTGGATGCTAGGAGATCCCCAGGCCAGGTACCCAGCTTGCCCAGCATGGTGGTGTTACGCTGTGTGGAGCAAAAGGTGATCCCAGGGCAGGCTCATGGGCCAGAGGAATATCTGAGCCCGTCTTCTGAGCTCTTCTCAGATGCGTCCATCAATAGCTGGTGTTCTCTTGGTTACTCACTTGATCACCTCACCCAACCCATGGCAGATGGGAGGGAGAAGAGGCTTGGAGCCATCTCATGACTTAAATAGCCTACTCACAAACATATCCCAAAACGGAAGTGTCAGGAGGCTGAGGTATGCCCCTTCTCTTCCCGTACAAGAATACAGTTTATTTCTCACCTTGGAGAAATGGCTTCACAGGATTCTGTTTTATCCTCCACGATCCATTGTTTCATAAGATTCACTTTTGCAGCTCTGGTTCAGATGCTGAATGGGTCAGTGCGTCTCACTTTCTGCATGGCTGTAAGAATTTCCGCAAATGCACGGTCATGCAGCCACCACCAAAACCGAGACATGCAGCCCTCCCTCTCACTGCAGTTCTAAGTTCCTGCTGCCCTCTTCTTTCAGAGCCATGCTTAAAGAACTTCCTTTCTTAGGAAGCCGAGGAGGGTGGGCCATTTCAGGTCAGGAGTTTGAGACCAGTCTGGCCAACATGGTGAAACTCTTGTCTCTACTAAAAATATAAAATACAAAAATTAGTCGGGTGTGGTGGTGCACACTTGTAATCCCAGCTGCTCGGGAGGCTGAGGCAGGAGAATTGTTTGAACCCAGGAGAAAGAGGTTGCAGTGAGCTGAGACTGTGCCACCACACTCCAGCCTGGGTGACGGAGCGAGACTCCATCTTGGCGGGGGGAAAGAAAAGAACGAACTTCATTTCCTATTTCTTGCAGTACTGGTCTGCTAGCAATGAATTTCCCTAGCTTTTTTTTTTTTTTCCTAAGGATGACTTTTTTCATTTTGATTTATGAAAGATATTTTCTCTCATTCTAGAATTCTGGGCTAACGTCTTTTCCTGTTTTAAGTATGTCACTTTACGGTGTTCTGGCCAGAATCATTTACGATGAAAAGTGTGCTGTAATTCTTTATTCTTCTGTACATAATGGTCTATAATTTTCTTTCTTTCTTTTTTTTTTTTTTTAAGGTTTTATCTGTATCCTTCACTTCTGGTAGTTTGACTGTGGTGTGTACATGTGTGTGGGGCTTGTCTGTATCCTTCACTTCTGGTAGTTTGACTGTGGTGTGTACATGTGTGTGGGGGTTTGTCTGTATCCTTCACTTCTGGTAGTTTGACTGTGGTGTGTACATGTGTGGGGTTTTATCTGTATCCTTCACTTCTGGTAGTTTGACTGTGGTGTGTATGTGTGCGGGGTTTTGTCTGTATCCTTCACTTCTGGTAGTTTGACTGTGGTGTGTAGACGTGTGTGGGGTTTTTTCTGTATCCTTCACTTCTGGTAGTTTGACTGTGGTGTGTACATGTGTGTGGGGATTGTCTGTATCCTTCACTTCTGGTAGTTTGACTGTGGTGTGTAGATGTGTGGTGTTTTGTCTGTATCCTTCACTTCTGGTAGTTTGACTATGGTGTGTATATATGTGTGGGGGTTTGTCTGTATCCTTCACTTCTGGTAGTTTGACTGTGGTGTGTAGACGTGTGTGGGGGTTTGTCTGTATCGTTCACTTGTGGTAGTTTGACTGTGGTGTGTGTATGTGTGTGGGGTTTTATCTGTATCCTTCACTTCTGGTAGTTTGACTGCGGTGTGTATATGTGTGGAGTTTTGTCTGTATCTTTCTGGTTGACTGTGGTGTGTAGATGTGTGTGGTGTTTTGTCTGTATCCTTCACTTCTGGTAGTTTGACTGTGGTGTGTGTATATGTGTGGGGTTTTGTCTGTATCTTTCTGGTAGTTTGACTGTGGTGTGTAGATGTGTGTGGAGTTTTGTCTGTATCCTTCACTTCTGGTAGTTTGACTGTGGTGTATATATGTGTGGAGTTTTGTCTGTATCCTTCACTTCTGGTAGTTTGACTGTGGTGTGTATATGTGTGTGGGGTTTTTTCTGTATCCTTCACTTCTGGTAGTTTGACTGTGGTGTGTGTATATGTGTGGAGTTTTGTCTGTATCCTTCTCTTCTGGTAGTTTGACTGTGTTGTGTCGATGTGTGTGGGGTTTTGTCTGTATCCTTCTCTTCTGGTAGTTTGACTGTGGTGCATATATGTGCGGGGTTTTGTCTGTATCCTTCACTTCTGGTAGTTTGACTGTGTTGTGTAGATGTGTGTGGGGTTTTGTCTGTATCCTTCTCTTCTGGTAGTTTGACTGTGGTGTGTAGATGTGTGGTGTTTTGTCTGTATCCTTCACTTCTGGTAGTTTGACTGTGGTGTGTAGATGTGTGTGGGGTTTTGTCTGTATCCTTCACTTCTGGTAGTTTGACTGTGGTGTGTGTGTATATGTGTGGGGTTTTGTCTGTATCCTTCACTTCTGGTAGTTTGTGGTGTGTGTAGATGTGTGCAGGGTTTTGTCTGTATACTTCACTTCTGGTAGTTTACTGTGGTGTATAGATGTGTGGGGTTTTGTCTGTATCCTTCACTTCTGGTAGTTCGACTATGGTGTGTAGATGTGTGGGGTTTTGTCTGTATCCTTCACTTCTGGTAGTTTACTGTGGTGTGTAGATGTGTGGGGTTTTGTCTGTATCCTTCACTTCTGGTAGTTTGACTGTGGTATGTAGATGTGTGGGGGTTTGTCTGTATCCTTCACTTCTGGTAGTTCGACTGTGGTGTGTAGATGTGTATGGGGTTTTGTTTCTGGTGTTGATCTGTCTTTGAGATTTTCTCAGGTTCTTCAGTCTGTGATGTGATCTATCTTTCTAATGTTAGAAACTCCCTGGCATTAGTGCTTCCCACGTTTCTTCTGTTCTGCTCTGCTTTCGTCTTTCTGGCTGGGATTCAGGTTCTATGTGTGTGAGAACATTTGATAGCTCTCTGCAGCTCTCGGATGCTCTTTTCTGCCTTTCGATTCCCACGCTTTCTCTTCGAGCCTCCGCTGGGTAATTTCCATGAACCTATCTTCAAGGTCACTGATTTCTTCGTTATGTCGAGCCTGCTGATGACTCACCAGCAAAATCCTTTATTTCTGAAACCATGAACCCCATCTGTGGTCTTTCCCTCTGCCTCTTTCTTAGAGTTCTCCTCTCTCCACTGCTTCCCATTTAGCCAGGCCCACTGTGCCGCTGCTTGATCGCATAACTATAGTTACTTTCACGTTTTCTCTGAGAGTTTGAAGGAACATCCATGTCACTTCTGAATCTTGTATTGATTGCCCTGTGTCTTGAGAATGAGCTTTAATTTTACGGTGTCTCCTAAATTTTGATGAAATCTTGGTCATCGTGTACAGAACAGTGGGAATGGATGTGAATGGTATCAGTGCTGGGAAATGGGCGGGGCTCTTATTCCATCAGGCTTTCGGTGGAGGTGTTGAGGCCATCAGGTCAGGTGCAGAGCTGGCTGAGTCGTGCTGCCCTGCGGCTGCCTGTGCTGCAGCACACACTTTACCTCCTCCAGAGCAGCCTTTTGCTGAGGGTGGTAGCAGCGCATGGTGGGGGCTTCCTTAGTGCCCCCACATCACCCAAACCAACGCCCACGATGGGCACTTAGGCAATGTACCGTGTCACGCAACGATATGTAACACAATAGTGAACGTGGCTGTATTTTTTACGTCTTTGCATGCTTCTCAGGAATTTCTCTAGAATAAACTTTTAGATTTTCAGTTTTAAATGGCATGCTCTCCAAACGTTTTAGTTATTGATAAGGTAGATGAATAGTCTTTGCTTGGCCTTTATTCATTTTTGCACTGCGTCATTCATTTTTTTCTTTATTGATTTGTAAGGCAATCTTTATATATTAAAAATATAAACATTTGTTACTTATATTGAAAAACTCTCAGGTTTTTATTATGATTTTACTTTGGCGATATTATTTTTAGTTTGCTTGTTGGCTTGTATCATAAATAAGTTTTTAATTTTATGAATTTAAAGTGGTATCTTTATAATTACGCCCCATGGAATCATGCCCAGATACGTCTTCTCCACCCCCAGAGTACAGAATACTCATATACATATGTGTCTATATATATACACACATATATGTGTGTGTATATATACGATTTTAATGCTTACATATTTAATCCATCAGAATTTATCTTTACATATGATATGAAGTATCTTTGAAATAAGCTCTTTTTTCTTTATAAATTTAAAGTGCTACCTTCATTAGAGAATGACCCAGAGACATTCAAAATTATTAGAGCTTTGACTTTCTAATTGAACTAAGCAGAAAAAAAAGCAAAGGCCTCCAAATGAAATTATTTGGTCTACCTTTCATCACAATCAGAATTGAATTAGTTATTCAAGTATTTCAAATGTTAATATATAAGCAAGTCCAGTATCTCAATCACTAATACATAAGCTAATTTAGAAATGCAGTAAATTGGATTCAGTAGGACTTGGAATTTGCATTTCAATTAGTTGATAATAATTCTAAGTGGTGCTCTGCACGTGGGCAGGGTCTGACCCACAGACGGGGCCATCAGCCCTGGGAATCTGACCTTCCCGATCGGGGACACAAGGCCGAGGGTCTGTACACCAGGGCATGAGACAGGTGGGACAGGATTTCTGCTTGTTTTTATTTTTATTTTTGAGAGCAAAAGGCCTTCTATTATCTTGCACTATGTTAGAGAACATAGCAGGGTATAAGTGAAAACGCTTATATATATAATTAGGATGTGCATATTAAGTGATTAACGAGAAGACTGATTTTTTCTCAGTTTTACAGCAGGAAGATAAGATGGTTTTTAACAGAATAATTCTGGCATTGTTCCAAGAGGTGGAACATTTTGAAGCAGAATTCCTGCAGTCTTTGCAGGAGTGCTCTGCTCTGTGGTTTAGAAGGAGGGCTGATAACAGCCAATTAAAGACCCAACCTTCTTCCAGTCCCGTACCAGGCAGTCAAAAAAGAACTGCTGACACGTTCCATCTCACGGGACGGCACAGTCAACGCAGGTGCCCAGAGCCTCCCAAGGACTTGGTGTGCCCGATAACTTCCGGGGTAAGAACCTGAACCCATACCTATCACATTAAAATTAAATACAATTAGCAAGTCGATCTTCCCATAACATTTGCATTCTTAACTATTGTTCAGGTGAAGAGAAGTTGTTCATGTACACCAAGAGGAGAATAAAAGCCTCATGGAGACAAGCAAACATTCATTATCATTTTTATCATTTGAATCACTTGGAAACGTAAAAGATTTTGTCAGTCAGCTCCTGCTGGGAAGCTCTTTTGTGCAAAAAAGAGAAAAACACTCAGTGCACTGTATCCAATTACTTTCAATTCTGTTTAAAATACAATTATAGAATCACCAATTTTGTTTAAAGCAGACTTTGGGTATAAGATAAACTTAGTATAAGAGTGTCTACGTAATTTACCAACAAAACGTTATCAGATTACATTAATGCAGATTTCCACACCTTGCCTCTGGCAGCTATGAGCACTCGCGCTGGTGCCAGTGGCACCTCGGAGGCACCGGGCGGGGCTCAGGACTTGCGGGGCCAGGGGCAGGTTGAGGAGGAAGGTCAGTGCTGACCACGCTGAGTGCTGCCCGTTCCCCAGCATGCTGTGTGCCCCTGTGGGAATCCGAGGTTGCTGCTCCTTCCTGGGTCCTGCAGGCTCCTCTCACTCCCCTGGCCCCGGGCTGCTCTTGACACCTGTCCCTGCTGCAGGGACACCAGGCTGCAGCCTCCAGCAGGGATGCCTTTCCTCTTCCATTTCTCACAATAAACCTCTTGTTGGATATCCTGTGGCATTTACTTGCTTTAAATTTTTTTTTTTTTTTTTTTTTTTGAGAGAGAGTGTAATTCTGTGGCCCAGGCTGGAGGGCAATGGCACGATCTTGGCTCACTGCAACCTCCGCCTCCCGGGTTCAAGTGATTCTCCTGCCTCAGCCTCTCGAGTAGCTGGGATTACAGGCATGTGCCACTACACCAGCTAATTTTTGAATTTTTAGTAAAGATGGGGTTTTGCCATGTTGGCCAGGCTGGTCTCGAACTCCTGACCTCAGTTGATCTGCCCACCTTGGCCTCCCAAAGTGCTGGGATTACAGGCATGAGCCACCGCGCCCAGCCCCTTAAAAAATTTTTATCGTATATTGACAAAGTATGTGTATTTACGGGGTTAAAAAGTGTGTTGTGATTTTAAGTACAATGTAGAAAAATGAAGTGAATTAACACAGCTATCAGCTGAAATATTTCACATTTTTTGTGATGAGAACATTAGAAATTCACTCAGTGATACTGAAATGTGCAGTACTCATTTACTTGCAGTATTCAGTGTGCTACTGATCTAAAAACATGAAGAATATCCTCCTGTCTCGGTTACTGTAGCCTGTAGTATAGTTTGAAGTCAGGTAGTGTGATGCCTCCAGCTTTGTTCTTTTGGCTTAGGATTGTCTTGGCGATGTGGGCTCTTTTTTGTTTCCATAAGAACTTTAAAGTAGTTTTTTCCAATTCTGTGAAGAAAGGCATTGGTAGCTTGATGGGGATGGCACTGAATCTATAAATTACCTTGTACTGGTACCAAAACAGAGATATAGACCAATGGAACAGAACAGAGCCCTCAGAAATAATACCACACATCTACAACCATCTTATCTTTGACAAACCTGACAAAAACAAGAAATGGAGAAAGGACTCCCTATTTAATAAATGGTGCTGGGAAAACTGGCTAGCCATACGTAGCTGAAACTGGATCCCTTCCTTACACCTTATACTAAAATTAATTCAAGATGGATTAAAGACTTACATGTTAGACCTAAAACCATAAAAATCCTAGAAGAAAACCTAGGCATTATCATTCAGGACATACGCATGGGCAAGGACTTCATGTGTAGAACACCAAAAGCAATGGCAACAAAAGCAAAAATTGACAAATGGGATCTAATTAAACTAAAGAGCTTCTGAACAGCAAAAGAAACTACTATCAGAGCGAACAGGCAACCTACAGAATGGGAGAAAATTTTTGCAATCTACTCATCTGACAAAGGGCTAATATCCAGAATCTACAAAGAACTCAAATAAATTTACAAGAAAAAAATAAACAACCCCATCAACAAGTGGGCGAAGGACATGAACAGACACTTCTCAAAAGAAGACATTTATGCAGCCAACAGACACATGAAAAAATGCTCATCATCACTGGCCATCAGAGAAATGCAAATCAAAACCACAATGAGACACCATCGCACACCAGTTAGAATGGCGATCATTAAAAAGTCAGGAAACAACAGGTGCTGGAGAGGATGTGGAGAAATAGGAACACTTTTACACTGTTGGTGGGACTGTAAACTAGTTCAACCATTGTGGAAGACAGTGTGGCGATTCCTCAAGGATCTAGAACTAGAAATACCATTTGACCCAGCCATCCCATTACTGGGTATATACCGGAAGGACTATAAATCATGCTGCTATAAAGGCACATGCACATGTATGTTTATTACAGCACTATTCACAATAGCAAAGACTTGGAACCAACCCAAATGTCCATCAATGATAGACTGGATTAAGAAAATGTGGCACATATACACCATGGAAAACTACGCAGCCATAAAAAGGACAAGTTCATGTCCTTTGTAGGGACATGGATGAAGCTAGAAACCATCATTCTGAGCAAACTATCACAAGAACAAAAAACCAAACACCACATGTTCTCACTCATAGGTGGGAATTGAACAATGAGAAGACTTGGACACAGGAAGGGGAACATCACACACTAGGGCCTGTTATGGGGTGGGGGGAGGGGGGAGGGAAAGCATTAGGAGATATATCTAATGTAAATGACGAGTTAATGGGTACAGCACACCAACATGGCACATGTATACATATGTAGCAAACCTGCACATTGTGCACATGTACCCTAGAACTTAAATAATAATAATAATAATAATAATAATAATAAAGAATATCCTCCTGTCTCACGGAGGGTGGTTCTTTTGACCCTCAACTCTCCATTTTCCGCACCCCCAGCTTCTGTAACCTCCATTCCACTGTCTGCACCTGTGAGTTCCATTGTTTTAGGTCCTGTATTTAGGTGGGGATTTGCGGTGTTTGTTTTTCTGTATTTTGGCTTATTTCATGTAACCTAATGCCCTCTGCTTCCATTCACGTCTGCCTTCCCACGTTTGCCACAGCACTGCTCACAATCGCCAAGTCACAGAGTCAACCTCTGTCATCAAAGGGTGAGTGGATGAAAATGCAGCAGATACGGTGTGGAATACTAGTCACTCCTAAAGAGGAAGAAACTCTGTCGTCTGTGATGATTTTTTGTATTGTTCATAGTCTCTTGTTGTGCGTTATTATGACCTAACATTGCGTTTCTCCCTCGCTTGCCTCTCTCTGTCCCTGTGTAGTGAGTGTGTGCACACGTGTGTGTTTGTGGAAGATACTCAGTCACTAGCAGGAAGCACAACAGTGGATTCCAAATACAATTCTTAGGCGAAGAAACATCTTCAAGACTCATTAGGTATTTTCTCAATGCTTGCAAAATCTCATGAGTCACATATTTATGCAGAGTGAGATGCCTGTCACACGTATGTTCGTGGGTTTCCTTTCTTGTGTCCGGAATGATCAGGTTGAACCATATACAATTTCTGCTTTTAAATATTGGCTGATTATTGGCAGTTTAATGTGGGTCAACCAACTTTATCAACTCAGCACAGTAAAGGTGCTTAGCTCAGCCTAAGTGGAAGCTTTTATTTGCAGTAACACATGATTTGGGTCATAACAAAATGGAAATGTCAACTAACTGTTTAATAAATGTGCTTGCTCGATGGTATTGAGGCTCTGGTGGGAAGACCACACACAGGACTCATCACCGAGGGAGGTGACTCATCACCGAGGGGAGATTCTGCTGCCTCCGGGGGCAGGGGGCAGCATGGTTTAGCCGCGTAAAACTGAGAGACCTAGAGTTGACTTCCGGTGGTGTGACTCGCTGAGACAGGGTCTTCATCTCTAAGGCTTGGGTCATGGTGTTGGCTTCAGCACAGTTACCAGAGCGGCGAGGGCTGGGATGGCTGTTGTTCTTGGTGTATTACAAGTCCTGCAATTATTGCCGGTGCTGTGCCTAGTTCATTGCTCTCCTGTCTCACGTTACCCCCCATACACTAAAATCTGGTGACGCAGAACCTGTTTCCATTTTCTGATTGCACCTGAGTGATTCAACAGAGTTGGCATTCAACATGAAATAGTGTTACTATAAAATATTATTTCCCTCTCCCGTAAATATGCTGTCTTTGGGAACTTGGTCCTGCTCTGTGCAGGGCTGATGCTCTCCTACCCACCGCTTACCCTAATGCTCTAGGGTGGACCCCTCAATGCAAATGTGAGTCTGCAGGGAGACAAGCCTGGAGCTCCCAGAATGGGTTAGGAGTCCTGTCTCACGCATTTAGAGAGCACCTCACTTTACACTTGTAAGTTACCTACGCCACTTATGACTACTCACTGAAGTGCACTGGGTCTGTTAGATTCTAAGGGGTCAGCTCACACCTTCTGTAAAGGCCCAGATGTAAGTATTCTAGGGTCTGCCGGCTGTCGGGGTGCCTCACACCTGCTCAGCCCTGCCTGAAGCTGGGAGGTACCCACAGCAACATGATGACCAGTGAGCGGGCCACATTCCAATAAAACTTTATTCACAAAAAAGGCCCTTGGCAGGCCCTTGCTTGCCAGCATCTGGACTGAAAGCTCCATTCTCTGGTGTTAGTTTACCTGCATTTGGGCACCAGAACAGCACGTGATGTTTCCTGCATACTTCCCGAATAAACGAGCTGTTATTATTGATGACTAAATATAACTTAAGCAAGAATATGCTCCCCAAGCTGTGAAACCCACGGATGGCAGTCAGGGGTCTAAAGGACTTTTCTCTCAGACACTCTTCACCCTTTCTGTCTTCTCAATCCCATTAGATGCCCCCACAGTTCACCTTCTCTCCTCTCCATCTCATCAGACGCCCCCACAGTTCACCCCTCTCTCCCCTCCATCTCATCAGACGCCCCCACAGTTCACCCCTCTCTCCCCTCCATCTCATCAGATGCCCCCACAGTTCACCCTCTCTCCTCTCCATCTCATCAGACACCCCCACAGTCCACCCTCTCTCCTCTCCATCCCAGAAGACGCCCCTCCAGTTCACCCTCTCTCCTCTCCATCTCATCAGATGCCCCTGACACTTCACCCTCTCTCATCTCCATCTCATCAGATTACCCCTCCAGTTCACCATCTCTCCTCTCCATCTCATCAGATGCCCCCACAGTTCACCCCTCTCTCCTCTCCATCTCATCAGATGCCCCCACAGTTCACCCTCTCTCCTCTCCATCTCATCAGACACCCCCACAGTCCACCCTCTCTCCTCTCCATCCCAGAAGACGCCCCTCCAGTTCACCCTCTCTCCTCTCCATCTCATCAGATGCCCCCAATACTTCACCCTCTCTCATCTCCATCTCATCAGACACCCCTCCAGTTCACCATCTCTCCTCTCCATCTCATCAGATGCCCCCACAGTTCAACCCTCTCTCCTCTCCATCTCATCAGATGCCCCCACAGTTCACCCCTCTCTCCTCTCCATCTCATCAGATGCCCCCACAGTTCACCCCTCTCTCCTCTCCATCTCATCAGACGCCCCCACAGTTCACCCTCTCTCCTCTCCATCTCATCAGACACCCCCACAGTCCACCCTCTCTCCTCTCCATCCCAGAAGATGCCCCTCCAGTTCACCCTCTCTCCTCTCCATCCCATCAGTCGCCCCCACAGTTCACCCTCTCCTCTCCATACCAGCAGACGCCCCCACAGTTCACCCTCTCTCCTCTCCATCTCATCAGACGCCCCCACAGTTCACCCTCTCTCCTCTCCATCCCAGAAGATGCCCCCACAGTTCACCCTTCTCTCCTCTCCATCTCATCAGACGCCCCACAGTTCACCTCTCTCGTCTCTATTCCAGCAGATGCCCCCACAGTTCACCCCTCTCTCCTCTCCATCTCATCAGACACCCCACAGTTCACCCTCTCTCCTCTCCATCCCAGAAGACGCCCCCACAGTTCACTCCTTTCTCCTCTCCATCTCATCAGATGCCCCCACAGTTCACCTCTCTCCTCTCTATTCCAGCAGATGCCCCCATAGTTCACCCCCTCTCCTCTCCATCTCATCAGATGTCCCCACAGTTCACCCTCTCTCCTCTCCATCTCATCAGACACCCCCACAGTTCACCCTCTCTCCTCTCCATCCCAGAAGATGCCCCTCCAGTTCACCCTCTCTCCTCTCCATCTCATCAGACGCCCCCACAGTTCACCCTCTCTCCTCTCCATCTCATCAGACATCCCCACAGTTCACCGTCTCTCCTCTCCGTCTCATCAGACGCCCCCACAGTTCACCCTCTCTCCTCTCCATCCCAGCAGACGCCCCCACAGTTTACCCTCTCTCCTCTCCATCTCATTAGACGCCCCCACAGTTCACCCTGTCTCCTCTCCATCCCAGCAGACGCCCCCACAGTTTACCCTCTCTCCTCTCCATCTCATCAGACGCCCCATAGTTCACCCCGTCTCCTCTCCATCCCAGAAGACGCCCCCACAGTTCACCCTCTCTCCTCTCCATCTCATCAGACGCCCCCACAGTTCACCCTCTCTCCTCTCCATCCCAGAAGATGCCCCCACAGTTCACCCTTCTCTCTCTCCATCTCATCAGATGCCCCCATAGTTCACCCCCTCTCTCCTCTCCGTCCCAGAAGATGCCCCTCCAGTTCACCCCTCTCCCCTCTCCATCTCATCAGACACCCCACAGTTCACTCCTCTCTCCTCTCCATCCCAGAAGACAACCCTCCAGTTCACCCCTTTCTCCTCTCCATCTCATCAGACACCCCACAGTTCACCCCTCTCTCCTCTCCATCTCATCAGACACCCCACAATTCACCCTCTCTCCTCTCCATCTCATCAGATGCCCCCACAGTTCACCCCTCTCTCCTCTCCATCTCATCAGATGCCCCCACAGTTCACCCTCTCTCCTCCCCATCTCATCAGATGCCCACACAGTTCACCTCTCTCCTCTCCATCCCAGAAGACACCCCTCCAGTTCACCCCTCTCTCTTCTCCATCTCATCAGACACCCCCAGAGTTCACCCTCTCCCCTCTCCATCTCATCAGATGCCCCCACAGTTCACCCTCTCTCCTCTCCATCCCAGAAGATGCCCCCACAGTTCACCCCTTTCTCCTCTCCATCTCATCAGATGCCCCCACAGTTCACCCTCTCTCCTCCCCATCTCATCAGATGCCCCCACAGTTCACCTCTCTCCTCTCCATCCCAGAAGATGCCCCTCCAGTTCACCGCTCTCTCTTCTCCATCTCATCAGACGCCCCACAGTTCACCCCTCTCTCCTCTCCATCTCATCAGACACCCCCACAGTTCACCCTCTCTCCTCTCCATCCCAGAAGACGCCCCTCCAGTTCACCCCTCTCTCTTCTCCATCTCATCAGACATCCCCACAGTTCACCCTCTCTCCTCTCCATCTCATCAGACATCCCCACAGTTCACCCTCTCTCCTCTCCATCTCATCAGACACCCCCGCAGTTCACCCCTCTCCTCTCCATCCCAGAAGATGTCCCTCCAGTTTACCCCTCTCTCCTCTCCATCTCATCAGACACCCCCACAGTTCACCCCTCCCTCCATCCCAGCAGATGTGTCCTCTCTTCATCCTTCTCTCCTCTCCATCCCAGCAGACGCCTCCACAGCCAGCCTCTTGGGCATTACAGCGTCTGCACCTACACTGTGGTGAACATGTGAAATCCAACTGAGCCTTCTCAAAGCTTAGGTGGGAATGGTCAACTCAGGAATCAATTTTAAAACTAAGACAAATGAGGAATTGGATTAGGAGAACATGTTTGGGATATGAATATTCACCTGCTACACGTTAAAAATGCTGATATTTAAATGTGCCTAGATTGAAAGAGCCCCCAGGAGTGAACATTATGAAAGGGCTGTGCGTAATGGAACAGGATGCAGAGACGACATCATGGTGCCAGCCACAGTCATAGGGGGTGCTGGGCGTTCACGTGGGTGAAACCCAAGTCGTTCCCAGCACAGTTAACATGACCCTGGAGGCCAGCAGAATGAAGACGGCACATGGATGTGTATGTGCCTCCCCGGTCTTGTCTTTCCTGTTTAATCTGAGGTCCCTATGATGTGCTTCTGACATCTCCACTGTTAAAATCTTTCAAGAGAATTTTGTCCACACTCACTACAGCTCAGCGTGCCCTTGTTTCCTGGAAACACAGGGTTACAGAGTGACAACTATGGGAATTCTCCCAGTCCTGGCCGTTTTCTTCCTTTCTCTCCTCTCCCCACAGTATCTACCCTGGCCTCCGCCACTGCCCTCCACAGAGCAGTGCCATGGGGTGAAGATCTACCCTGCCCTCCACAGAGCAGTGCCATGGGGTGAAGATCTACCTGCCCTCCACAGAGCAGTGCCATGGGGTGAAGATCTATCCTGCCCTCCGCAGAGCAGTGCCACAGGGTGAAGATCTACCCTGCCCTCCACAGAGCAGTGCCATGGGCTGAAGGCCACGGGGCTTGGGGCTGAGCTACCTTCAGCTGAGAGCCTTGGTGGCTTGTGCAGCCTCCAGCACCTCATTTCCCTGAGTCATGTTTCTGTCCATAAAACAGGCATCATGAGAGCTTCCCTGAGTTACAAAGCTGAGCTTCAGCAATGTCATCTAAAATGGAAATAAATGAATTACGTTGGAATCCATAAAACGTGAAGGAATATAAGATAAACTAAGATGCGAATAGGCTACAGCAAAAATGTGTTGATACCTCCTGGTAACATAATATTTTTTTTTGCAGAAACTTTCATTACATTAACCCCCAAAGAGTGACTCAGAGGAGTTTCGAGGACTTTCAAGTTAGCAGGTCCCTGGCAGGCAGGTCGCTGTCCAGACCCATCACATGGCTGCTTTCTCTGCTTTATTATCTACAACACGGCGTCAGATTTAGGGAAAAAGAATGATTGGGGCACGTATAAATCGAGTTTGGCAGAATGCCTGACATTTGTTGGACTCATCAATGGAGTGATAAATCCTGGATAAATGGAAGAATGGACCCAACTGTTGCACCATCTCTGCTAAGTGGACAATGGCATGGGGGCCATAGGCAGAGTGGATTTGTGTCTGGTGAGTGGGCAGTGGCATGGGGGCCACGGGCAGAGTGGATTTGTGTCTGGTGAGTGGGCAGTGGCATGGGGGCCACAGGCAGAGACGGATTTGTGTCTGCTGAGTGGGCAGTGGCATGGGGGCTGCAGGCAGAGTGGATTTGTGTCTGCTGAGTGGACAGTGGCATGGGGGCCACAGGCAGAGATGGATTTGTGTCTGCTGAGTGGACAGTGGCATGGGGGCCACGGGCAGAGTGGATTTGTGTCTGCTGAGTGGACAGTGGCATGGGGGCCATAGGCAGAGACGGATTTGTGTCTGCTGAGTGGACAGTGGCATGGGGGCCACGGGCAGAGACGGATTTGTGTCTGCTGAGTGGACAGTGGCATGGGGGCCACGGGCAGAGTGGAATTGTGTCTGCTGAGTGGGCAGTGGCATGGGGGCCACGGGCAGAGACGGATTTGTGTCTGCTGAGTGGACAGTGGCATGGGGGCCACGGGCAGAGACGGATTTGTGTCTGCTGAGTGAACAGTGGCATGGGGGCCACGGGCAGAGACGGATTTGTGTCTGCTGAGTAGACAGTGGAATGGGGGCCACGGGCAGAGTGGATTTGTGTCTGCTGAGTGGACAGTGGCATGGGGGCCACAGGCAGAGACGGATTTGTGTCTGCTGAGTGGACAGTGGCACGGGGGCCACGGGCAGAGTGGATTTGTGTCTGCTGAGTGGACAATGGCATCGGGGCCACGGGCAGAGTGGATTTGTGTCTGCTGAGTGGACAGTGGCATGGGGGCCATGGGCAGAGTGGATTTGTGTCTACTGAGTGGACAGTGGCATGGGGGCCACAGGCAGAGACAGATTTGTGTCTGCTGAGTGGACAGTGGCATGGGGGCCACGGGCAGAGTGGATTTGTGTCTGCTGAATGGACAGTGGCATGGGGGCCACAGGCAGAGACGGATTTGTGTCTGCTGAGTGGGCAGTGGCATGGGGGCCATGGGCAGAGTGGATTTGTGTTTGCTGAGTGGACAGTGGCATGGGGGTCCACGGGCAGAGTGGATTTGTGTTTAGAACAGGAGTAACGTAGGCAGCACATCTCACCCATTTTCCTCACATCTGATCAGATTTGAGGCCATGGAATGCTTTCTGGTCAGGTGTTAAGGGCTGTTGGTGAGTGAACTCCCAGAGGGTTTCCCACTTGGGCAGGGAAGGGTCTGGCCAGTGTTTAGGTGATGCTGTCAGGGGGCCTCAGGCTCACATCCTTCCGCTGGTTTTTTGAAGAGTTTCAACTACATTGGGTGATGGTGTGAGTTTTGCCAGTGTAAAGTTCTGAGAGTGTCCTTTGAACATTGTTAGTACTGGAGCCTCGTACAGGACTCTGGGCCAGTCCCTGATGTGAAGAAAGGAATGAGACACCGTCTCTGCCACTGAAGAATGAGGTGATAATGATCCTGGGGGACCCGTGGCAGTGATGGTGAATGAGTGGAAGAAGGAACCCGTCAACAGGAAAACGCCGTTCGTAATTCTTAAAACACTTAGTCCCTGCCCATGGTCTAAAAAAGGCTTTGGTTTTTTCATGTTTTGCTTTCAAACATATAGAATTATGCAATGAATCACAAACATTTAAAGTGGGAAGTTAACCAATGGCTGTTTACCTGGGGGTCCAAAACCCCAGGACTGAGGCTGGCCTTGGAGCCCTGGACCCACGAAGCATAGCTTCTGCATGTGTGTGCTTTTCCCCAGAAGACGTTTCAGATAATTCATAATTCTCCTAATGTCTTTAAGTGTGCCAAATAAAAGGTGGGTGAGAGCTGACATCCAGTCCAATCCTTCACTTTCCTGCTGGAGCAGATGGGTCAGACAACTTGGCTCTGCTCCCAGCTCTGTCCAGCTCCCCAACCCCTTCCTGGTAATCATCTTTCCTGGTTATTTCCTGGCTTACAAACACCTGCTCCCCATTTCCTTCCAACAAGTCTAAGAGCTTCCCCAGGGCAACATTTTGGCTTTGTTCTCAGCCACTCGTCCCACAAGCTGGCACTGACCACCCTCTGTGGAGGGAGAGGAGATGGATGGGCCTGGGCTGGGCAGACATGCGGCCCGGTCTCAGGGCATGACTTGTCTGGCATTCCTACACCATAGCTCTTGAATTTAGCTGAACTAGGCAACAATGATAGAGTTCGGATTTGTGAAGTTCTAATTTGTAAGATTTGGTTTCAATTTAAAATTTCACTTTTTCATCTTGTAAGCCAACAGCGATGAATAACTAGATGTATTGGAAGAGGTTATATGGTCACTGGCTCATCACTGGGTGCACTCGGCGTGGATAGAGACAATACAGGGAGGGCCCTGTGGCCCAGGGCTCCCTGTCTGATGTGTGGGTCATAATTAATAACTCTTATGTGGCACTGGCCAAGGCTGAGAAGCAGTTCCGCCCTGCCTATCCACTTGCCCAGGACCTCACAGCTGGCCGCAGAAGGCAGGGGTAGCTTCCAGGCAGTTCTTGGCATTACCACCCAAACTAACTTGTGGGACTCAAGATACACAGCAGCGTGGCTGTTGACAGTAACAGTCATATTTTCATGGTTCATAGGAATTGCTGATTTCCCAAAGAGTTTTATCTGTCTATATTTTCAAAATTAAATTTATTAATAATAAATTTTGGGCAAATATGTAAAGTGTAGGGTATTATATTTATAAAGCTAGTCCATTTCCTCCCTCCTCTACAAAAAAATGTGTTGCCTAGAAATGCACTTACAAAGTTATAGTCAACAACAAAATTCCGTTAACGAGTTTTACTCACAAAGACATTCAAACACACACCCATACGCACACATTCATACAAACAGAGACATGTGCTTGTCCTGAGGATAATCTGAATGATCAGAAAGATACGATGGCTCATGTTGGCTTTATAATTTGACAAGGAAGTTGCCCAAGCACACTTCCTTAATTATTATGTAATTGATAAATAACAAAAGCTCTGGTTGTTCTTTAAAAAAATACTTGAAAATTGACAGCCATGGGTCTAATATTTTCAGCTTGGGAATTTAGTTTAAATGGATGGCACTCAGCTCACGGTGAAGTGGTTTTGGAGAGGGAGCTCGCAGGCAGTGGGAAAGTGCTTGGAGTGGGAAGGCAGCTGGTCTCACTTACGTCTGGTGCTCTCCAAGCGGTCTCTGTCCGATGGACTTCAGCAGCGGCTCTTGTAGGATTGCCGACTTTGGTGATGTCTTGGGGCTGGAGTCTGACTCTCCGCTCTCCTCGTCCCCCATGGCTTTAATGTAACTCCCACTTCTCATTCTCCTGCAGGGAATCTCCTCATCTTTGCCACCGGTGGGGTACCCTCCCCACTCATCCTGAGGTACCTGGGAGCAGACAGACATGAAACACGCATCAACTTTGTCACTGAGAACGGCAGCATCAGCTCCTTTTTGGAAACAAATCCTCTACAATTCCATAAAGATACACCTCTTTACAGTCATTTATCAGTTAAAGTCAGATGTATAAAAATGCATACCCTAAAAGGAAATGAATATAAAAATGTTGGTTTTTCTTCATTATAAGTGATAGGTAAACACTATGGATAAAGTGAGAACATGTGAGAAAAGTAAGAGAAGAAGGGACACTTGCAATCTCAGCAGCTGGGACAAAGCACTGGCTAAAATTTAGTTTTATTTCCCTCTGGTATAAGAGGAAATTGAAAGTTGAGAAACTGAACAGAGAAGAAAAGGAAAAAAAAAAAGAAAACAAGGGAGAAAATGCCTATCTTATTGTATACTTATATCTTAATTGCAAGCAAATAAAAGAGGATGGTTTTAACTCTAGAAGCCAAGTTCTATCATACATGCAAATTCTCAGTACTCAGAGTTGCAAAAGGATCTTGCCCAGCCACATCACATTCCACCTGACATATCACCAAGCACCTGTGCATGGAATATGTCTGCCTGTTACAGAACTCAGCACCCGCTCATGTTATATATCTGGGTGGTACAGAGCTGATCACCTGTGCGTGTTATACGTCTGCCTCGTACAGAGCTGAGCACCCATGCATGTTATATGTCTGCCTGGTGCAGACCTGAGCAACCATGAATGCTATATATCTGTGTGGTATGGAACTCAGCACCCACGCATGTTATATGTCTGCCTGGTGCAGACCTGAGCAACCATGAATGTTACATATCTGTGTGGTATGGAACTCAGCACCTGCCTGTGCATGCAATATATCTGTGTGGTACAGAGCTGACCACCTGTGCTTGTTATATGTCTGCCTGGTACAGAGCTGAGCAACTATGCATGTTATGTGTCTGCCTGGTGCAGACTTGAGCAACCATGAATGTTATATATCTGTGTGGTATAGAACTCAGCACCCGTGCGTATTATATATCCGCATGGTACCAAACTGAGCAACTGTGCATGTTATACATCTGCCTGGCACAGAGGTGAGCACCTATGCCTGTTATATATCTGCCAGGCACAGAACTGGGCCCATGTACTTGCTATATATCTGCCTTGCACAGAGCTGAGAGCCCATACATATAACCCCCCTGTGCTGTGTATCTGACTGTTCGAGAACTGAACCCACGTGCATTTTATATATCACCCATAACGGCCCCACAGGCTGCCTGCTGTGTGTTTGCGTTAAGTGTCTCTCTGAGGGGAGGGTAAACCATGAAGATGACAGTGCAGGCCAGTATTCTGTTTCCATCCACCATCTGTGAAACTGGAAACCCAACATAGCCATGAGCAAAAAGTCATGGAACTGGAACACAGTGGTTTGCGTTGCGGGAGCTGCTCCCTGCAGGTCAGGACCTGGTTTCTTTTCCCCACGGTTCATTAGCTTTGAACAGCTCCCCAGAGGCTCTGGGTAAAGTTCACTCCATAGGTCAAACTCACGTTTACAAAGGCAAAAGAACACAGCATGCAGTCGCTGAGTGTAGAGAACTCCAAAGCTTTCCACAGCAACTAGCTCATCACCCACAGTCTGTAGTCAAGGAACTAACATAGCATGTTTTTCATGTAGGAGAAGAGAATCTCCCCAAATGCTGTTTACAGAGAAAGAAAATAAAAAATTTCCATATTTAAAAGGTCTTCAGACAGGGTATTTTTTTTCCTTGCTGTAAAATACTTAGCTACTGAGGTATACTACTTATATCATCAGAAAAGGAACCTGCCATCTTTCCAGTGTCCATGTTGCCTGTGAGCCAATCGACAGCACTACCAGCAGGGATCTGCGTGGCTGGTGGTGAAGGCAGGTCTTCTGGCTGAAGGCCCCTGTATTCATTCCTAAATGCCATGCCACACCAGCGCTCCGGCAGATCTGATATCTTCCACATTGCAGCCCAGGACAGGAGCCAAGGGAGAGGGAGAGGCATGCTCATTTCTGTCACTCACATATCCTGGACTTCCAGCCTGGACGAGCAGGAGCTCCCCTTACCATGGACCCCGTGTGGCAAGGAGTCCTCAACACCACACAGTCCCGCAGCAACGAGGCGCGGACACCCGGACACTGCACAGTCCCCGCAGTAACGAGGCACGGACACCCCAACACCACACAGTCCCCCAGTAACGAGGCGTGGACACCCCAACACCACACAGCCCCCCAGTAACGAGGCGCGGACACCCCAACACCACACAGTCCCCCAGCAACGAGGCGCGGACACCCCAACACCACACAGTCCCCCAGCAACGAGGCACAGACACCCAACACCACACAGTCCCCCAGTAATGAGGCGCGGACACCCCAACACCACACAGTCCCCCAGCAACGAGGCGCGGACACCCCAACACCACACAGTCCCCCAGCAACGAGGCGCGGACACCCGGACACTGCACAGTCCCCCCAGTAACGAGGCACGGACACCCCGACACCGCACAGTCCCCCAGTAACGAGGCGCGGACACCCCAACACCACACAGCCCCCCAGTAACGAGGCGCGGACACCCCGACACCACACAGTCCCCCAGCAACGAGGCGCGGACACCCCAACACCACACAGTCCCCCAGTAATGAGGCGCGGACACCCGAACACCACACAGTCCCCCAGTAATGAGGCGCGGACACCCCAACACCACACAGTCCCCCAGCAACGAGGCGCAGACACCCAACACCACACAGTCCCCCAGTAACGAGGCGCGGACACCCCAACACCACACAGTACCCCAGTAACGAGGCGTGGACACCCCAACACCACACAGTCCCCCAGTAACGAGGCGCGGACACCCAACACCACAGTCCCGCAGGCCCCTGTGGGTCACGGTGCAGGTGGATCACAGCTGTAGCACCCCCAAGGTGGCCCAGGCACACGGCAGCTCACAGTGACACCCTAGCACCACGCACACTAGAAGATCCAGATGCTGTGATGAGGAGAGGGTTGGACAGGATGGGAAGTTCCAGATTCTCCCTCCACCCAGATTCCAAGAGGCCCAAAGGCTCAGGACAAGGATCCTGAACTGTGACCGTGAGCTGGACAGGCGGTGTCTGTGGTGCTCTCCAGCCGGGTTCTTCTAAAGCCTTTATGACCTGGTGCCTTGTGCCCAGGTCTGCACGTGTTCAAAGAGGAATACAGACCACGCTGAAAGGGAACTGGAGGTATTGTATGCGTCTCTTCTCACACTGCTAATAAAGACATACCCCAGACTGGGGTATGAGGTTTAACTGACTCAGTTCCACGTGGCTGGGGAGGCCTCGCAGTCATGGCAGAAGGCGAATGAGGAGCAAAGTCATGTCTTACATGGTGGCAGGCAAGAGAGTGTGTGCAGGGGAACTCCCTTTTAAAAAACCATCAGATCTCATAAGACTTAGTCACCATCATGAAAACAGCACAGGAAAGACCCACCCCATGATTCAGTCACCTCCTACTGGGTCCCTCTCATGACACATGAGGATTATGGGAGCTGCCAGGCAAAACGAGATTTCGGTGGGGACACAAACCATATCGGGTATTAATGACATGGTCAATGTAAATGTCCCACAGATGACACCGCAGAGCTGCAGAGCTGTAGGTCAGGTAAGAGACAGGCCTGGGGCCTCAGCCACAGCAGGTTCTCTCAGCAAGAAATCAGCAGTTAAGAAAACAGGTGTACATTTGCCGATGTTTTGTTCACATTTTGTCCGTGTGAATTTTGGTTTACATTTCCTGACAGTGAGGAAGTTTGAGCACTGGAAAAAGATGACTAAGGAAGAATAAAGAATTCACAACTTTGGGGACTTGACAATTCTTATCTCCGTGTCTTCAGGCCAGGTGGCGGGCAGTGGAGCGCCCGGTCTTTCTGGAGATGACTGGAGGCCTTCGGACTGGTCATGTCCTTAGAGTGGGCAACTTTCCTTCCATGAAGCTTCCCCAAGACAATGCAGCCCAGGGTCAGGGACTGGGGAATTGGTAATCAGGGAAAGAGGAGAAATGACAACAGTACTGTATCATAGGGGATGGCTTACAATATTTATTAAAACCACAGGATGGATACTACCCAGCTACCAAAAATACTATTCCAGAATGTGTATTTAGCGATGAAAAGATGCTCACGAGGGCGAAAAGCACAGGATGGATACTACCCAGCTACCCAAAATACTATTCCAGAATGTGCATTTAGTGATGAAAAGATGCTCATGAGGGGGAAAAGCAATTTTTAAAGCACTTGACATTTTTATGTCTTTTAAAGATGTAACTGTGTTATGTGCAGAAGCAGCCAGAAGATGTGAAACAGGGACCGTCACTAGGAGATGAAGATTACAGGGTTTTCAATGACTTTTCTTTATATTTTTAAATTGTCTACATGAACCCTATATGACTTTTGTAATAAACACCCTTATTTTTAATTTAAGAAAAGCCACAGTTCTCAATGACATTACAATTCGGTACAGGAGATGGACATGAAATGAGTGGTAGCATCATCAGGGTGGAGAAGCCAGTGTGGAGGGGACACGTGTTGAAGGTCACTGTCGGCTGACGGGAGGGGCCAGGATCAGGAAAGGTCCTGGGGTGAGGTCCGGGTTTACTTTTGTCTGAGCTGGACCAGCAGAAGGTGCAGGCAGAGGCGATGGGGCAGAAGGAAGCCCGGCCACCCAGTTCCTGGGCACGGGGGAGCTCGCGCTGCCACTCTCCTGGGAATGTGTGAAAAGCTCAGTTCGGGAAGGGAGGCTGAGGCTGGCTGGTGGCAGATGGAAGAGCAGCTCCTCTGCCATCAAAGAAGAGATTCACTTTGGCAGGTTTATGGGATTTTTTTTGTGAATTAAAAACATGTTTCCATAAAAAACAAAGTAAAGATTTTTTTCTTCAGCAGCCTGCACATTAACTAACAAATGAGACCAGCTTGTATGTTTCTGTTTCTGATTTAAGAAGCCAATTTCGCAGGCTTTGACAGAAGAAATTTCAATACAGAAAGAATGTCAACCAGAGTCAATTTCAAAGCATGAATTCAAGTACCAAATCCCCATTCCAAAGCATATGTCTGGAGACTATCAAAAGAACAGAAGAGCAATACTAAAATGCCAGCCTGCCTCAGCAAACAAATCTCTCTCCGTTATGTTACAGCGTTCGAACCCTGCAGCCCTCAGCCCAGGGTGGCCAAGTGCACGCTCTGAAACCAAAATGGCTTTATGGCCTTCAGTGAAGGAATGAATAAATTTCTTTCCACGACGGCTACCAGACTCTGCAAATCCAGTTTGCAGTCCCTGCTGCATTTAACGCCAATCAATTACCCTAATTACCTCCTTGTACCTAGTGATGGGTGATGTTCATAATTTCTAACAAAAAGGCATTTTCATAAGGGTGACATAAGCATACATTTTGACGTCTCCTGTTACTTGCTTTAGGGATAGTTCAACACTGCACAAACTGGAATATCTTTTCTTTCTTCCAAGCTGCAAAGCCCAGGTGAAAGGGGCCAGGATTATATCATCATATTCTCTTGGAGGCACTGGAACCGAGGAAAAACATTATCGTCCATTGCTGTGCGTTCCCACAGGGAAATGTCTTCTGCATTCCTTTAAGCCGTGTGTGTGTGTGTGTAAAGTACGTATATGTGTATGTGTGTGTGCAGGTATATGGGTGTGCATGCATGCCCATGTGCATATGTGTGTTTATGTGTGTATGTGTAATGTGCGTATATGTGTATGTGTGCAGTTATATGGGTGTGCATGCATGCCTATGTGTGTATGTGTGGGTATGTGTAATGTGTGTATACGTGTATGTGTGCAGGTATACGGGTGTGCATGCATGCCTATGTGCATATGTGTGTTTATGTATGTGTAATGTGCACATATGTGTATGTGTGTGTGCAGGCATATGGGTGTGCATGCATGCCTATGTGTGTATGTGTGTGTATGTGTAATGTGCATATATGTGTATGTGTGCAGGTATATGGGTGTGCATGCATGCCTATGTGTGTATGTGTGTGCATGTTTGTATGTGTCTCCCTCCTTCCCAGAGACTGTGGCAAAGGCTCCTGCCCACGCTTCCCTCTTCTCCTGCCTCCTGACCCATAGGTGTGTCCCCCAGGCCTGGGGTGTGGCCTCACTCTCTTCTGGGGCTGTGAGTTGTGAACTGTCTTTCCTATGGCCATCTCCAAACCTGTGGGCCACACTACAGCTGAGTGTACAAAACCCCCATCTAAGCCGCCTGCGACTGGGCACACGTGACTGGGCCCTTTGGCCCCGTCCAGCTCCTATCGCCCTCATGCTTGGAATGGGAGCCACGGGCTCATGGACACCAGGAGGCCACCAACAGAGGCGCTGCATGCCTGGCATAACCCCACCCACATGGGAGCCCCCAGGATGCGTGGATGCCACACTCACCCCTCGAGGACCAAGGTGCCTGCTCCAACCTGCCAGGAGGTGCCAGCCAATGGCTGAGTCTCTCCAGGGCATGCCCTCAGCCATTCAGCGGGAGAAAGCTGCCTTCCCCACGCCCCTCCTTGGGAAGGACACACAAGTTATGGCCTGAATTGTGTTCCTCCAAATTCCTATGTTGAACCCTAACCCTTGGGACCTCAGAATGTGATTATTTGGAGATGGGACGTTTACAGAGGTGAAGAAGGTAAAATGAGGTCACCAGGGTGGGCACTGATCCTGTCTGCCTGGTATCCTCCTAAGAAGGGGAGATGAGGTCACAGACAGACAGAGAGGGGGCAACCCTATGAGGACATGGGGAGAGGACGGCGTCTGCGTGCCCAGGAGAGGCTCAGCAGGAGCTGGCCTTGGGACTCCACGGTCTTGGGCACCAGCCACCAGGACCCTGCGGAATGAATGTGCCTTTACACGCCCCCCGGGTGTGTATGCCCGTCATGGCACCCGAGCTGACTCACGCACCACCCAGGCTGGCGGCATGAAGGCAGGACGGCCACTCCTTGCCTCGGTGCGGAGACCCCTGAGTTCACACAGCACCTGAGTTCTCTCAGAATCGGCCGAGACCTGTCCCCGCTGCTCACCCCTGCCCTCTGCCCCATCCTGTGTCCTCACCCCTCAGCCACCATCTCCTTGTTGAGAGGACACCCGTGGCCATCGGCACGTCCATCTCACCAGGGGCTCTTTCCGGGACCCTGAGGGAGGTCAGGCAGGCACAGTTATAGCCATTTATTTCCATGGAAAGCCCCTATTGTGAGCCCCCCGGCTGCACAGCTTGTGAGAAGGTTCCACGCGTCTGTCTTGTTCTAAAGCTCACGCTCTTTGGATGACACCAGCAGTTCCCAACCAGGTAATTCTGCCCCCAGGGGACATTTGGTGACATCTGGAGATATGTTTGGTTGTCACTAAATGGGGGTGCTTCTGGCAGGTAGTAGGTGGAGCCCAGAAATGCTGCTCAACATCCCCCAGTGCATAAGACGTACCCCACAAGCGTCTCCCAGCCCCCACCCCCGTGCTGAGCTTGAGAAACGCTGGGTGCATGGCTGTGCTCAACATCCCCCATTCCATAAGACCGACCCCACAAGCATCTCCCAGCCCCCATCCCGCTGTGCTGAGCTTGAGAAATGCTGGGTGCATGGCTGCTGCCTCCCGGGATGTACATCTCAGCTGAAGAGATCTTCGCGATGCTGCTCAAATCCACCCTGGTGTCCCTACAACAATTTAGCTTGGGTGGGAAGTCTTTCCTTTCCTGTTTGTTTGTTGTGGTTTTTCCTCTGAGCCACTGAAACCAAGTCAGAGTTAGGTTTAGAGTTCAGCTGCCCACTTTATTTTCTTAAGGACAAACTTGATTCCATTCCACTCCTTAACACCAAGACAGACAAGGGATAACTTAAATTGCAATTCACCGGCCTGAGCTCCAACAGCTCCTAGTCCTGCTGTACTTTGGGTTGGGTCAGCCCTTCCAGGATCATTCACAGAGCAGTACTGCATGTGGACCACCAAGTCTGAGGCAGGAGACACAGACTCAGCGGGAACAGACAAGCCTGGGGCATCCACTGCCCTAGGAGGGAAAGAACAGAGCCGGACTCCGCCCAGCTGCACACCCACAGGAGCAGACCCCTTAGCTGCCCTGGGAGGAAGAGGTCAGAGCCAAACCCCGTCCACCTGCACTCCTGCAGGAGCAGACCCTCAGCTGTCCTGGGTGGGAGAGGACAGAGCAGGACTCCGCCCACCTGCACACCCACAGGAGCAGAGCCTCATCTGCCCTGGGAGGGAGAGGACAGAGCCGGACCCCATCTACCTGCACTCCTGCAGAAGCAGAGCCTCAGCTGCCAAGTTGAGGGCACTGTGCCCAGAACAAGGTGACCACTCGGTGGCCGTCATGGCATAAATGCAGATGGTTCCTCAGGGTCTTAGATCACAGAATCCAAGGACCCAGTCACAGGTCACAAGGTTTCTGCACCCAGTCACCATGAGGTCTCTGCATCCACGACCATCTTGAGTTACATGTAGGCCATGTCATTCTCCCCTGGTAAACCTGGATAAAACAGCGCATGTACCCACCCAGTGTTCCATGTTCACATGAGTTATGATTTCCAATGTGCTTTTCGGAACACTGTCTTGAATCTCACCACAAACGGAGGCGTGAAGGATTGAAGAGGCAGAAAGATTTACCAGACACGAGGCTGGCCAACAACCCAAAACCAGACACCCTTCAACATCCATCAGCATTTCAACAAACATTGCTGGAATTTCCGTCATGGGGATAAGAATGTGTTGGGTCCTAAGATGATGTCACTGAGATGTGACACAGCCCAGCGATCTCCCTGCCTGCCCGGCACCAAGCTGCTCCCAGCGATGACACACCGAGTCCCAGGACAACTGGGGGGTGATGGAGGAGTCCAGCCGGGGAGACAGTGAGAGGCTCGAAGGCACAGGCCCAGCTCCTGCACTCCTGCAGACGGTCCCTGATTACACGAACGGGCTCGGTGAGCACCAGCGAGATCCTGCCAAGCCCTGTGTGACGGTACTCAAGGTGGGAGAGGATTCTGTGGCAGTCGGGGCCGGGGGGAAGCGGTGGCCCAGAGGCAGGGCAGTTGTGGAGGAGCCCCTCACAACACAGGCTTTGCAGTCAGGAAATGGTGTGGCCTGGGCCACAGGACAGGGAACACAGAGTGTGGGGGGCAGGCACACGTGGCTCCTGGAAGCGGAGGTCACCGCTTTGTCTCAAGGAGGCGTTTTAGGACTCACACTGGACGGATGGGGCAGCTGGTGGCTGGGTGTCAGTGCAGGAGAGATCCAGACCAGAAACTCGAGGGGCTGCGGAAGGATTGTGCAGGGTTGTGCGTCTGTGTCCAGAGTGGCTTAAAAGGGGATGAGAAGCTCCTCCCGGACCTGCTGTTCCACTACGGGATTGGAAGTGAGGTGTGGCCACACCCCAACTCTCCTATCCATTCACGGCCCCAGATCTATACCATGAGCCACTTAAAACAAAAGCCCTCCTTTCAAATTGCAAACGTGCATTAGAGTGGAGCACAGCCAGGCTGGCCAGTTCTTTCATTCTGCTGAGCACTGGTATCGCTAAGGATAGGAACCAACCACAGCAATCTCCTTTCTCCCTCTTTTGCCCCTAAAACTACAAATACAGAGAAGTTTTCTGAGAAGCATGTTAGAACTATTTGTTTTCTGGAGTTGAAAGCACCCCATAAGCCACAACGCCAGCCTTCCTGAACTGGTGGGGATACCGTGAGGGTGGTGGGCGCGGGGGAGGGGGGGCTGGGGCGCGTGGGTCCTTCCTGCTTGCCAAGTTCTGGAACATGGGACACCTAGGTGCCCGGAGAGACCCTTATGCTCAAGCCAGCGTCCTCTGGAACGCTGCAGGATACAGGTGCCCCTCGCTAATTGTTACTGAGTGTGTTGGACCCTCCTAGATACAGGGGCAAAGCGGGACAAAGACAGGACCCGGGCTCAGGAGGCAGATGGGCAGCAGAGGGACCCTCAATAAAGGTCAAGGTGGAGGCCAAGCTGAGCTGAGGGCGTGAAGGAAACCAGCAGGGAGGGGTCACCCAGCATGTGGAGGTGGGCCTGTGGCAGGAGGGCCAGAGGTGGCCCAGGCTGTCCCAGGCCACCACACCCAACTCTGATGAGACTCAGGTTCCACCCCAGATCGGGCAGAAAGAAGCAAATGGCCAGCATCGTGCATTCCATGACAAACCATTTTATTTATTTATTTATTTAATTAATTTATTTATTTAGAGATGGAGTCTTGCTCTGTCACCCAGGCTGGAGTGCAGTGGCGTGATCTTGGCTCACTGCAACCTCCACCTCCCACGTTCAACCAATTCTCAGCCCTTGGCCTCCTGAGTAGCTGGGGCTACAGGCACTTGTCACCAGGCCTGGCTAGTTTTTGTATTTTTAGTAGAAACAGGGTTTTGCCATTTTGGCCAGGTTGGTCTTGAACTCCTGACCTCAGGTGATCCACCTGCGTTGGCCTCCCAAAGTGCTAGGATGACAGGTGTGAGCCACCGTGCCTGGCCCTGTGACAAGCCTTTTAAATGCTTATTGTAGAGACAAGAAACAGGGGAGCCTGGCTCCATTTTGTAAAAGATGGATGATTTTTCTAAACTACACCGCAAGGATGACCTGTTGACCTGGGAGATGGGACTTTTAAGATGTGTTTTTGTACCTAACTGGAAACCTCACAAATGCAGTAGCTGAGCCTGAAAGCCAGGGATCTGCACGGCCTACAAAACAGACACGTCGTTCAGAGAATGGCTGCAAGGAAAGCTCAGAACTCGGTGATGGGACCCGCAACACGTCCTTCAGCGAATGGCTGCAAGGAAAGGTCAGTACTCAGTGATGGGACCGGCTGCAGAGGGCGGGAGCAGGGAGAGGTTCTGAAACACTTTACACGCAGGGAGGGAATGCTCAGGGCTCCCCGTTTTCATCGCACCCCCTCCCCTCTGTGTTCTTTTCTGCCATTTGCTTCCAACACGTGAACATGTAAAAAGCCTGACAGGTAAAACCCAAAGTCTAACGGGGCTGCCCGTGAACACGCCAAGCACAACGGGGCTGCTACCTGTGAACACGCCGAGCACAACGGGGCTGCTGACCGTGAACACGCCGAATAAAACAGGGCTGCTGCCCGTGAACACGCCAAACAAAATGGGGCTGCTGCCCGTGAACATGCCGAATAAAACTGGGAGTCCGAACCTCTTCATGTCAAATAAAGAGTAGGGTCCGAACCTCTTCCCCAGGAGGGCCAGGGTTGCGGCCGGGCGACGCCAGGTGGGGAAGACACTAGAAGAGGAGAAAACCAGGAGCGCAGGACGCGGTGGGAGACTGGGAGGCTGCAGAGAGGAGGCCTGAGGACAGGAGGGAAGGAGGCGGGGACAGAGGCCGAGGGCTGGAGGGGCTGCCGGGTCTTCTCTGGGATGCAGCAGGGGCCCCGCTGTCCCTCCATCTGATGCCGCCAGGAGCCTTCCCGGGGAGGCGGCGTCTCTCCCTCCCTGCACGTCCCTGGGAGTTTCGGTGGACTGTGGCATAGAGAGCCTTTGGCATCCTGAGCTAAGCCACGGCGAATCCGTTCTGCATTCCTACAATGCTCATGAAAAGTTTGACCTTAGATGCTTAGTCTGCTGATGCAGAAAAGATGAAAACAAGAGCTTTGTGAAAGAATAACGTGAGGCCTGAATTGCCTTTCAATTCCACTTATTCTCCGTTTTGACCTACTTAAAAACAAGAAAAAAATCTTCCTCTAATGTGAACCACATACTCTGTACAAACCAAGGGTGAAAATGAAAAGTGATCCTGTCGTTCAGCTGCAAGTGCTCCTAGTGAAAAAAGGAAGAAAATTTATAAACATTTATTTCTCTCTTCTTATTCTTTTAAATCTTATCCGTACACTAGGACCCACAGACAAATTCCTTTAGTTTCCCTGTTTCCTGGCTGCGAAATAAAATCTGGGGTTGTGAGGACCCAGAAACCTGTAGTTTTCCACCAGAAAGTTTAATGCAATTGACAGGAAGGGACAGCCCTGCACAGGCATCTTTGAAAATGCCAGACGTCAATCCAGCTGAGTCCTAGGACAGAAACAGCCCGAGGAGGTTGCACACAGCTCCTGATATTCAGCTTCATAGATCCTTCCATGAGGGGTCCAGCAGCAACCACTGGGGGACAGTGAGGAGGGGAGAGAAGTCACCGAGCTGCATGCCCCGAAGAGGTGGTTTCACTGGGAGGCGGATGTGGGGATGGGGGAAGCTTGCTACTGCAAGAAAACGCCCTTGTGAACGAGCGCCATGAAAGCCGTGGCTGCTCCCTGCAGACGTCCTTCTATCCTCCGATCCTCCGGGCAGTGCTTCCCAATGTCGGCACGATAACGCTCTGTGTTGTTTCCGAGGATGTGTCATCTGAGTGGACGTGAGAGGGAGGCCAGTGGCGTCAGGGCAGGGAAGTCCAGGAGTGGGTGGCTGGCTGCAGAACAACAGGACCAGAGTGTCTGGAATGACCCCATGGCACGGAACTCAGACTGACAGACACAATCAGACCAACCAGCTGGTTCCAAACAAAAAAAATCTAGGGGGAGGAAGAGAGGAAAGAGAGGAGAAACCTCGGGCTGAACGAGATGAAGAGGCTCATCAGCAGCTGCCAGGCGGGCCCCTTCTCTGGATCCTGATTCAAATAAAAGCCAACAAGAGACAGTGAGCCCTCAGGGGAATGTGACCACTGACCAGGATGATATAATGCAGGTGGTTATGTTTCAAAAGAAAGCGTACTCATCATTCCGTGTGGATCTCTGGGAGATCAACACAGGCATATTTACAGTTGTATCTGTCTGTCGTGTGGGATTTGTTGCAGTGTAGCCTGGGTGGGAAGGCGTGAGTGCAGATGGAATGAGGTCACTTTCGGAGGGATGGTTTTTGAAAGGGGCTGACGGTGTGTGGGTTCATTCTGTCTCACTTCACCTTTGTGGACGACTGGTATTCCCTGCACCTAGACCGTGGAATAGCTGTTGGAGGCAGAGAGAAGCGTGTTCCTGGGAGGAAGTGGGTGGAAGAAGCTCCTTGGAGAAGGCAGGTCCAAGGGGCACAGGACCTGTGGAGAAGGCGCAGCTGGAGGGGCTTGGGGAGAGTGGCAGGCATTGGAGGCAGGTGACCCTGGGGCAAAACCTGGAGGCTCTGACAGTGTCCTGAAGTGCTCATTCAGGGAACACTGACTATCCACACCAGGCACAGACAAAAACAAGAGAGCTATGTGTCTGTGACAATGAGGAGACAGATCAGAGTGAACCCCGATTCTTTCTACCAGGCTTCTCTAAACAAGCAGACACAACTTTTACATTTGGATATGATTAGGGTTTGCCGACGGCAAACAAAATTTATGCCTCTTCCATTGCTATAAAATAATATTTTATGCAACTACCAATTTGTCTCTGAATAAATCTGCCTGCAAAGGCAATTTGGTTAGCATTTCCTTTCAAAACAGAGCTGTTGAGATGTGGACGCTGGACCTGATGGTGACGGTGCCACTGGAAGGATTTGCCACCACGACTCCCAGAAAGAATCACGGCTGCTAGTCCCCCTGTCCCATTAGTTGACTGCCTGTTGGCTCAGCCAGCAATGGCCCATTACTCCATGAAGATGTCTCTAAGCTGATGCGAGGCCCACAGCCGCTGCTCTAGGCAAGCAAGAGTGATTTGTGAGTTGGGACACACATGTTATGTTTTTTTTAACAGCGCTATCGACTGATGGAAGTCACTGAGTGGCATCCTCAGAAGTAGCGTGTGCCTCCCAGAGAGCTTCTCCAGTAAACTCAGGCATGGCACAATTCAGAGACAGAGAGTGAAATCACATAAAACAGGGAATTCTGCAATATGCCAGCTCTAGGGATCTACCTTCTTTGTTTTTGCCTTTGGTAAATTCATTTAATCCACACCCCAGAGACACAGAGGCCTTTTCCATAATCAGGCTTTTTGTAGTGGGGGGTGCTTAGAGAGGCTGTGGCCAGGTGCAGGGAGTGAACTCACGAATGTCGCAGGCCCACTTCCATTAGGCCGGTCCATCAGCTCTCACATGGAAAACACCCACATGGGCAAGTCTGTGTTTGCTGTGGTTGTTAAACCCTCCAGCCTTAGAGGCCTTAAAGAAATGGCCCACTGTGTTTAGAGGGATGGTTCCAAGGAGGAGTCGGGATCTTCAGAGGCCCTCCCAGAGCAGGCCAGACTCACGCATGAGAGCTGCCCGTAGATAACGTCCCGCCATCCCTGCAGCCCCGCGCACAAAGCCATAGCGTGCCGTCAATCCTCGAGTCTCCCGGCAAATGATGGATAAAGAAGATGCGGTACATACACAGGGGACACTACTCAGTCTTTGAAAGAAGGAGATCTGCCATTCTCCACAACACAGGTGAGCTGGAAGAAACTGCAAAGCAGGATGAGCCCGGCGCACACAGACAGAGGCCACATGGTCCCTCTCACGGGTGGCATCTGAAACAGCTGAACTCATAGGAGCAGAGAGTGGAACCGTGGTTACCAGAGGGACTGGGGATGGGGAAGAATTGGGAGATGTTGGTCAAAGGACAACATTTCAGTGAGGAGGGGTCAGCTCAAGAGACCTGTTGGCCAGCACGGTAACTGCAGTTAACAACCACGTATTGAATAGGTGGAAATCATCCAGAGTGGATTTTAAGTGCTCCCACCAAAAAAATTACGTATGTAAGGTAATGCGTGTGTTAACAGCTCAGTGGAGCTGTCCCAGAACATATCCGTAGCTCAGAACATCCTGTTGCACAACCTAAATGTGTATGCAGTTGTTATCTGTCAATTAAAAAAGGAATAACGACAATACCACCTGCTGTGCCGAGACGGCCTCCACAGGGCCGTGAGCCTGCTTACCTGGAGGTAGTGGCACGGCCTCAGGGCGGGCTTGGCGTCCTGGTGCAGCAGCGGCTTGTCCAGGTTCAGCGAGCTCTTGCGGTAGGCCTCCTTGGCCTGGCTGACCGTCAGCGTAGACCAGGAGCTGCGCTTCAGGTACTTGGCGTCGGGCGTCAGCGCCAACCCCTCACAGGCCGAGCACTTGACGTCGTTGTTGCTCTTGGAGGTCTTGAGGGACAGGTCCCCGAAGGGGCTCTGCAGCGCGTCGGGGTAGCAGTGGGCCACGGGGCCCAGGTGGTGCCGGTTGAGCACGCTGGGCGTCCGATAGGTGCTGTCGCTGTCCAGGTTGTCGTCCGAGCTCCACCAGCTGCTCATGCCGGGCCGGGGCTTGCCCTCCGGCTTGCGCTCCTTGCTCTTGCTCCTCTTGCTGTGCTTGGCGTGGTGGGCGTGGTGGTGGTCGTCCGCCCGGCCGTCCGCCTTGGTGCCGTTGGCGTTGCTTTTGGAGGAGCCCTCCAGCGAGTGCGACTTGGTGAAGAGCTTCTGCACGGAGTGTACCAGGTGGCGGATCCGCCCGGGGCTCTCGCTGCGCTGCTCGGCGGCCGCGGACGTCCTCTGGTACTGCAGCGTGTGGAAGCCGTCCCGGTGCAGCGGCAGCTGCTTCTCGAACTGGTCCAGCAGGTTGGCCGGGATGCGGTTGATCTTGGCGCCCGCGTGGGCCACAGCGCAGTCGTCGCGCGTGTCGTAGTGCGAGCTGTAGTGCATCCGCGGGAAGGTGCTGCTGGACACGTGGTCGCCCAGCACCACCGGCATCATCACGCACTCCGAGTGCACCGAGCTGCGCGGCGAGCAGCGGTGGCGCCCCCCGGGGCAGCTGTCGGCGGGGCTCAGCAGGTAGGGCGGCCGCGCGTCGGGCCCGTGGTGCAGGTGCTCGCAGTCCTCCGGGGGCGCCAGACCACACGTGTGCCCGGAACACAGCGGCGGCTGGGTCCGACTTCCGGAAAGGCCCTTCATGCTCCTGGGCGCGGGCGAGTAGCGCTCCTCATTGAAGTGCTGCGTGGGCGACCATGAGTACTGCGGGTCTGCGGGGAAACAGAAACGGCATTCAACACCCGGAAGCGCGGCGGAAACCCTCAGGTGCGGGGAATATGTGACCCCCACCGTGGACTTCATTAATCAGTGTCCATGTCTGGCCTGGGCACTCGAGAGGGCAGATTTGTGGGTTTTTTTTTTTTTTTTTTTTTTTTTTCTGAGACAGTCTCGCTCTGTCGCCCAGGCTGGAGTGCAATGGCGCGATCACGGCTCACTGCAAGCTCCGCCTCCCGGGTTCAAGCGATTCTCCTGCCTCAGCCTCCCGAGTAGCTGGGACTACAGGCGCCCGCCACCACGCCCGGCTAATTTTGTATTTTTAGTAGAGACGAGGTTTCGCCATGTTGGTCAGGCTAGTTTCAAACTCCTGACCTCAGGTGATCCACTGGCCTCAGCCTCCCAAAGTCCTGGGATTACAGATATGAGCCAGGACACCCGGCCAGGCAGTTGTTTTTATATCGCAAAGTGTGAGGAGTGGAGAGGAAACACTGATGTTCCCAAATGGTTAATGACCAAGATTTAGCATCTAGTAGATTGAACAGGTCTCTTGACAGCCGGATTTTGTGGTATTAAAGGAAATTAACAATTTGGGGGAAAAGCATAGTTGTATTTCACATAGATTTCAGTTTTGTCGTACAGCTTAAGAAGTTTTAAAAATAGCATCTGGTACTTGATGGGTGATATTGTCTAGTAAGCTCATGTATCACATACACAGGTATTAATCGTGAAATCGTTTGTTCAGTCCACACCCTTACAGGCCAGTGAGGATGGGAGGAGCTTTCTCGAGGTCCCATCTGTGTGGGGGCAGCTGTGCCTCCTTCCCCAGAGGAATCCCGCTTGACTCCTCCCTGTGTCCTTCTGCGGCCTGTGATGGGCTTTCCCTGAATGCCTGGAGGAGCGAGGCTGTGGCTACAACAAAGCACCACCTGTCTTATGGCCACTGAGCCACCAAGGGGCAGGTCGCTTGCTCTCTCCTCTCTCCCTGGGAAGGCGGCTGGGCGCTGGGGTGACCTGCAGAGAAGGAGGATCTGCCAGCTCCACGGCCTGTTGCTCCCCTGGTCTCTGCACTCACACCTTCCTCCTTCTGGCAGGCCCCCCTCAACCCCACATCTGCCTCCTCCATCCCAGGCCCCTCCTGCCCCAGACCCTCCTCCTTGTCACCAGGACCATCACGATGGCCTCCTCCTCTCTCTCCCTCTCCCCCTGCCTCCACCCAGACACAGCTGTGGGGCTGACCCCCTCAAATGCACCCCAGCCCATCCACCAACTTTTAGGGGAGCCCTGTTCTTCTCAGCCTGTCACCCAGGGCCACATCTAGGACAGCAAGCTCCCTGCGGGCACAGCTGCCTTCCTTGTGACAGCCACGGGCCATCCCGCAGCAGTGCCAGGCCCAGACCAGACGTCCAAGCTCTGTGATGACCAGAGGAGCTGCCGAGCCTCCCTCTGCCCCACGGTCCGCACGTCCCTGTGAGTCTGCTGAGCCTTAAGCACACCCGGCTGCCGTCATTTGTAGATGTCGCTGCCCGGGTCCTGCCGCCTCTCCTCCCAGGCCTGGAATGCATCCCTGCATTCACTCCAAGACCCGGCTCCACACCACTCGGCCTTGCTGTGTGCCGTCCTCGAGGCCAAAGACCCAGACAGGAGCAAGAAGTGGCCACCTCGACGGCTGAGCGTGGCCGTCTCCTCAGGAAGGGAACTATCCCCCCACACGTTTGTCCAATACCTGCCTCTCCTGGACCACCTCCATGCCTCGGATCCCGGAACGAATTCCTGCCTGCCAGCTCTCCCGTCACCATAAGCGTCTCTCCCACTTGCTCCTCTCTCGCCACCACCCTAAGCAGCCTGAGATGCACCCCTGCTTGCAGTCTTGGGGTGAGTCCATCATGCCCTGCGCTTGGAGAGCCACCCACTCTGACTCCCTGAGCAACATGGATGCCAGGGAAAGCAAGCAGAGTGATGGGGAGTGAGAGTTTTCCCATCGTGTCCAACCCCAACCCTCCAGGTAACCAAGGCAAAAACAAACAAACAACAACAACAAAATCCCCTGCTGATAATGTTTACCAAGTGACTAGTCCTAGGTATGGCCTCAAAACGTCGCAGATTTCAGGATCCAGGACGGCCAGCCGTCTGGGCCAGCATGGCCATGGAAACATGGGATAAGGAAGGGATACGATTTCATGAGTCCCTGGGAAGTCAGGGACCGGCTTCTCACACCCAGGTGTGAATGCAGAAGGGAACGTAAAGATTTCCTGAGGGATCCCGAGAGACTGACAGCAAGGTGTGGGGCTGTTTCTCCCACTGAGGCCAGCAAAGGGATTGCTCCTGCATATTCTCACAGTAAACAGTCCCCAGTTGAAGGATAAAGAGATCCTTTAACTTCAAGGTGAGCCTCACTGTGTTATATTTCAGGTGCCTACGCTGTCTCACAGGAGCACCTACACTGTAATGGCCGGCGGCGTCTTCCTTTCTCAAACAGTCAAATTATAATGAGAGCACTTTAATATATTGGGGGAATATTTAGATATTATTTTAATATAATTAAAAGCAAATTTTCAAATGAAATTCAATATTCAACTGCTAAATAGCAAAACTATGTGCTGTAATCCAGACTTTACAGCTGCATAAAGTTGTCATCCTATTATCTTTTGCTTTGTTTTTCCATTAACGTGTAATTTAATACAATTTTAATCTTCCTTCATATTAAAAAGAGAGTCCATTACTGCCCCACTCACGTATCCTACTTCTGCCTAATGTTTAGCCTAGAAGCTATGTTATGAATGTGGCTTCATAAAAGAATGGCATAAAAGATAAAATTTAACTGAAATGAATTAAATTTGATTATGCCACATGTTGATACCACATTCTCATTTCCACTATACAGGACTGGATTTCCTGATGGATGCATGGAAACATGTACTTTAAAATATTATCACAATAATGACAATGGCAGCGTGCTGTAAACAATGGCAACACTAGAACATGTAACGAGCACTAAGCTAGGTCTCCGGGTTTTTTAGGTGTGCACAATGTGTAATAAATACTTAGGGGCTGGTAATTTCTTTTTGTGAAAATGAGGTAGCAAACACAAAATGCGGAAAGCGTCTTAGTTTCCTAATTTCCACTGCTTCATGACACCATTTTTGTCATTGAGAGAAAACAGCAATTATAGTCATTTATTCATGAACGTACAACCATCTCCCCAAATTCAGAATAGAATGTAAATGCACGTCTTACTGTTGCACTTATGGGGCGGCCGGCCTACCCAATCTAAATAGCATATTGTAAGTATAACAATAAAAATATGAAGAATGCAGCAAATGTTTACAGGGTGCACGCCGTGCTTGTGGGACGAAAAGTTCAGGACCAGATGGTGTCACAGGTGAATTCTATCAATATTTAAAAAAGAATTAACACCGATCCCTCTCAAAGTCTCCCAGGACTAGAATAGGCAGGAATGCTTCCAAGCCCATTCTATGGTAATTCTATCAGGGCCAGAATTACCCTGCTAGCAAAGCCAGATAAAGACAAGAAAAGAAAACTATAGATTAATATCCCTTATAAATAGAGATGCAAAAAGCCTCAAAAATAGGCCAGGTATGGTGGCTCATGCCTGTAATCTCAGCACTTTGGGCGGCTGAGATGGGTGAATCACAAGGTCAAGAGATCGAGACCATCCTGGCCAACATGGTGAAACCCCATCTCTACTAAAAATACAAACATAAGCTGGGCATGGTGGCGCATGCCTGTAATCGCAGCTACTCAGGAGGCTGATGCAGGAGAATCGCTTGAACCCGGGAGGCAGAAGTTGCAATGAGCCAAGATTACACCACTGCACTCCAGCCTGGCGACAAAAGTGAGACCTCTGTCTCAAAAAAAAAAAAAAATCCTCAAAAATACTAGCAAATCAAATATAGCAGCATATGAGGAGAATTATATACAGTGACTATGTAGAATTTATCCTAGCAATGCAAGGGTGGTTCAACATAGGAAAATCAATCAATGTAATAAATCACTTTAATAGAACAAAGGGGAAAAGGCCACATACTCAACACAATTGATACAGAAAAGGCATGTGACAAAGTACAACACTATTTCATGATAAAAACACTCAGAGAACTAGGACTGGAGGGAACTTCCCCAACATGATAATGGGCATTTATGGGAAACCCACAGCTAACATCATACTCAATGCTGAAGGGCTGAAAGCTCTCCCTGTGAGAAGAGAACAAGACAAGGATGCCCACTTTCACTGCTGCTCAGCAAAGGAGCAGGTTACAGGAGCAAAATAAAAAATCAATTGTATTTCTATACATTAGCAATGAGAAACCCAAAAAGGAAATTAGAAAAGCAATTCCACTTAAAATAACATCTAAAAGAATAAAGTCCCTGGGACCGCCTAACCAAGGAGGTAAAAGAGGGCCAGACGCAGTCACTCACACCTGTAATCCCAGCACTTTGGGATGCTGAGATGGGGGAATCACTTCAGCCCAGGAGTTTGAGACCAGCCTGGACAACATGGCAAACCCTGTCTTTAAAAAAAAATACAAAAATTAGCCAGGCATAGTAGTAGGCACATGTAGTCCCAGTTACTTGGGAGGCTAATGTGGGAGGATTGCTTGAGTCTGGGAGTTCAAGGCTGCAGTGAGCCAAGCTTGCATCACTGCACTCCAGCCTAAGTGTCAGAGTGAGACTTTGTCTCTTAAAAAAAAAAAGAAAAAAAGGACGTGAAAGATTCGTACACTGAAAACTAGAAAACATCGCTACTGAAAGAAATTAAGCAAGACTTACGTAAATGAAAAGACATCCTATGTTCATAGATTGGCAGACTTAATGGTTAAGATGAGGTAGGTCCTACCCCAAGTGACCTAGAGATTCCCTGAAATTCCTGTCAAAACCTCACATGGCTTTTTTGCAGAAGTGCAAAAGCCAATCCTCAAATTCATATAGAAATGCAATGGGTCCTGAGAAGCAAAAACAATCTTGAAAGAGAAGAACCAGGTTGGAAGACTCACACTTATGGATCCCAAGAGTCACAAAGTGATAGTAATCAAAAGGGTGGGGCCCCACACAAGGATGCACACATGGACCCATGGAACTGAACTGGAGTCCAGACATGCACCTGCACATGTGATACTTTTGATAAGGGAGACAAGGTCACCCAGAGGGGAAAGAATAGTCTCTCCTACAAATAATGCTAGGATAACCCAATTTCTACACACCAAACAATGAATTTAACCCCCATCTTACAAAATCTGCAAAAATGAACTCAAAGTGGCTTAAAGACAGAAAAGGGCTCAAACTATAAAGCTATTTGTAGAAAACATAGATGCATTTCTTTGTGACTGTGAACCAGGCAATGGTTTCTTAGACATGTCACCAAAGCACAGGAAAAAATATAGATAAAATAAACGACCTAAAATTAAAAAGTTTTATGCTTTAAAAGATGCCATCAAAAAAATGCAAAGGCCATCCACAGAATGGGAAACATTTTTGTAAATCACGTATTTGTGAAGGAACTTGAATCCAGAATATATAAATCTGACAACTCCATTATAATAAGACAAATAATCCAAATAATAATGGGCATAGGAGCTGAATATTTCTCCAAAGAAGATGTCCTAACGGCGAAAGAGCACACAGAAAGGCGTTCAGAATCACTCACCAGTAGGGAAATGAAATCAAAACCACAGTGCGGTACCACTCAAGCCCCCTGGAGTGGACAGAGGGAAAAGGACACAGTTCCAAAGCTTGATGAAGATGCAGAGAAACTGGAACCTCGCACGCTGCTGGGGAAGGGAGAACAGGCTGGAGGGTCCTAAAAAGGCTGAACACAGAGTCACCAAAAGCCCCAGTGAGTCTACTCCGAGGTGCACATCCAAGAGAAATGAAAACACATCCAGGCAAAAGCCTGTGTAAGAATGCTTACAGCGACATCATTCATAGTTGCCAAAAAGTGGAGACGACCTCAATGCTGCCCGACGGATGAATGGACAAACATGGGGGCTGTACCGCACAATGGAAATGTTTTCAGCAATTAAAACCAATTAAGCCCAGAAACGTGCTGCACCAGGGAAGGGCCTTCAAAACCTTATGCCATGGGAAAGAAGCCAGTCACAAAAGACCACCAATGTACAATTTCATTCATATGAAGTGTGCAGAACAGGCAGATCTCAAAATGGAAGACAGATTGTTGATTCCCAGCATCAGGGTAGGTGAGAGGGCAGGCGGCTGCTAAGGCACAGGGTTGCTTTTTGGGGTGAAGATGTTTTAAATTGATTAGAGCGATGGTTGCACATACCTGTAAATCTACTGAATGCTACCGAATTGTACATCCTAAAGCGTGACTTTTATGGTGTGTGACTTATATCCCCATAAAGCTCGAATAAAATAAATACACGCATGTGATGAAGGAAGACATACACAGAAACTCAAAATTGAATATAGACACACTTCACTTAAAATTTTTCTTCACTTGCTTTAGAACTCAGGAAAAGATCTGTTTCATAACATTTAGGAAAGCAGTTATGTTTATTTTTTGCTTCTAAATCTCCTCCTTCTCCACAGAACAAAGAATGTGGCTGAAGCTGTTTCCTGTGTTGCTCTGATCACTATATGGCTCAGAGAAACATCTGAGGCTCTTAAATCAATAATCAAAGGTCCTGTGACAGTCATATACATCTCTTTTCTTTGCCTTCATTCTCACTTAACGTTCCGTGACCACGATTGTGGATTCAGTAGACATTCCATCATTCCATTGTACACGTTTCTGTTCTCGCTTCAGTTCCTCATGAAAAGAAGCAAGGTATAAATTAGTAAATCTGTTAACTGACCCGATAATGTGAGTTTGAGTTACACACAAATGGCTGATGGTTACTTAATCCACCATCCAGATAACTGCTGAGGAAAGCTTAAGGGAAATCCTTAGATCTCGTCTGGGTGAGCTGGCAGAGGTTCTAGAACCCAGTGGGCTCTGCTGGTTCCCAGTCGTGGGATCCAAGATCTGGTCCTGGGACAGCTCACTGAGATCTTGCATTTCCTTATCTGTTTGAGGTTTGCCTTTATTTTTCCATAGTTCAAAGGGCTTTAAACCGAGGCTATACCTCAGCATCACCCAGGAAGTGTGTAAAGGACAAATTTCTGGACATCATCCCAGGCACAGTAAGACCATACCTCTGGGGTGCAGCTCAGGATATTTACTGATATCAGTAAATATCAGCAGCTACCAGGTTTATGCTCTGCCTTGTCTTACATTAGTTTTTATGTTTGATATTGTGTCTCCAACGGCCATTTTAATCTGAGTCATGCTGTATACTTAGCAGAATGTCTTAAACTACCAACAGAGGTCTCAATGAATGTTTGATAATGGAATGAATAAATAAATGTATTAAACAAATAAATGGATTAAACACAAAGAGGAAGTGTGCATTAGGGGCTCAGTGGAGGTAAGAATTTGGGTGAAGCTCTCCCCTAGGTTAGTTGGCAAAGTTTACATCCTCCGCAAATTTCCAAGGCTGGAATTGCTCCGAATAACACATGGTTAATATTCTCAAGTACTCTGATGCTCTTGAGAGGAAGGGCTCCGTAGAAAATCCTGGGCTCTGTAGAAAATCCTGTGCTGGTTACCAAACTGTGGATCCCTGGGCCGAATTCCGTGGAAACGATTCTGCTGCTGTGCTCACAGGAGCCGCTTTGTACTTTCTTATTTAAATGTTTTGTAAGAAAAATTCTACTGTTTCTAAAATCTTAGCCCCAAATAGATGAGACCTGGATGTTTGTGTGGTTTCAAACCATTTTCAAAGGTGGAACTGTATTATCCAGAAATGGTTGTATGGTTGCCATATTTCATATTTCCAGAAGGTACAGGCAGCTTCTGAGAGGAAGCACTGCTGGTCACCGCCGCCCACGCTGGGCTCTGTCCGCAGTGATGCCCCCTCCGTGGGGTAAGACACCAGCATGCGTCCAGCTCCCGGCAGCTCCCTGGAGTGGTCTGCAAGGCAGCAGAGCTGTGCAGCCACACCCGACTCCAGCGCCCAGCCCGGCAGGAAGTTTGCTACATTATGGTCACTAGGTGGGTGTTTTTTTTTCTTTTCTCATGAGGTCATAGAATTACAGAATTGGAGAGGTTTTAGATAGATCTTCTGTGGTATGAGTTTTAAAAGTGTTTTCCTGCCTTCCTTTCTCTCTCTTTCATTAATGACTCAACCCAGCCATTCAAACAAAATTTACAAAGCACCTGCTGCAAACAAGGTACCGTGGTAGACAGTGAGTGAAACAGCCCCTGCTCCAAAGCCTTCAGTTGGGTGGTGGTACCGGCAATAAACAGATAAACAGGCAAACGTCAGACAGTGACAAACACTCTAAAAAACGCGGGGCAAGGGGCTCATCACCCCATGTTTCGGGCCTTTACCCGCTGGGACAAGTGTGGTGGGGAGGGCTTGACCAGGGCAGAGACCTAAGGAAGTAGGACGTATCTCTGAGGGTCCTGGGTGGAGGGTTCCAGGCACGGTGCGTCCACAGCTCTGAGTTGGTGCCTGTGGCGGCACTGCCAGGGAGGAGGACCACAGGGAGAGCAGGCAAGAGGAGGCCCTGTCTGGGTCCTGAAGGGTGGGGCTGGCAATAATAACAGGACTTTGCTGGGCTTCTGAGTCTGGAGGCCATAGGAGCAGAGAAGAGATGGGAAGCCACTGATGCTTGAGGGGGTCTCCCTGGCTGTTGAGGATGGACTGAGAGGCCTGGGGGGCACAGGAAGAAGGCAGGGAAGGGAGGCCCTACAAGGACACGGGCCGTGGTGCTCATGGCACAGCTGTGTCCCACCTGCTGGCTCTGAGGTGTGTCACACATCCACACAGAAGGTCTTCTATATCAAGCACAGCTAGACATGCAAAGCGATGCAATGTGGGCAGGTCTCGCTGTCGGCATCCTCCAAACAGGAAAGTGGAGTCTGGAGAGGGAGAAGGTGGCCCCTTCACAGCTCCTGGTGAGGGCGGGCATCCTTCAAACAGGAAAGTGGGGCCTGGAGAGGGAGAAGGTGGCCCCATCACAGCTCCCGGTGAGGGTGCGGGACCCTGGCAAGGCTCAGTGCACCCCAGTCCACTCTGCGTCGCGCTTCTGGCTCCAGGCACAAGTTAAATTCTCACTCAACTCGTGGGGATGGGCTTGTTATCTCCCAGTGCACCGAGATTAGAGCCGTCCATCATAGGAACAGTCGCCAGTGTTGTAATGGTGTGGCTAACCACGTGGTAACCTGTTTTCCTCTTCGGAGTCCTCACCCAGATGGACTTGACAACTTGTCTGTGGATTGCATCTCAATGTGGAAGGCATCCGGCCAACAGCAGCGATTAAGTCCCAGAGAATATGTGCTGCCTGAGCTCTCTCAGAGTCTGTTGGTGGACATGCTGTTAGTTATGAAAACAAACGAAAAAAGATGAGTGACAGGCCAGGTGCCGTGGCTCATGCCTGGAATCCCAGCACTTTAGGAGGCTGAGGCAGGTGGATCACTTGAGGTTGAGAGTTCAAGATCAGCCTGGCCAACACGGTGAAACCCCATCTCTACTAAAAATACAAAAATTAGTCAGGCGTGGTGGTGTGCACCTGTAATCCCAGCTACTCAGGAGGCCGAGCCATGAGAACCACTGAAGCCTGGGAGGTGGAGGTTGCAGTGAGTGGAGATCGCACCATTGCATTCCAGCCTAGGCAAAAGCAAGACTCTGTCTCAAAAAAAAAAAAAAAAAAAGATGAGTGACAGCTGTCATGACACGAGGGGCTGTGCCTCAGGGTGGGGATCTGAGGGTGCTGTGCTGATGATTCACACACATGTCCACCCGGGGCGTGACTCTCTGGAGTTCTGAGTGGCTGTGGCCACGCTGCGGGGAGGGCTGCACCCTGGGGCTTTGCCTCTGATAAGAGAGGTTGGAATGACAATGGTACAATCCAATTCCTAGAAAAGAGGGCCAGGGCATTCTAGACACTCGCAACAGAAAGCAAGCGGTGAGCATGGGAGCGGGGGAGGAGGGACGGAGACATAAGCCCCTCCCTATCTGTTCTGTACCTGCACAGAATGCGCCCTGCACGGAGCAGCTTTCATCTTTTCACAAAATGGTTATCTTATCATGCAGTCTGAGCCCTGAGCCTGAAAGAAATCAGCCCGGGGATCTAAGAGGAAGTTAATATGTTCTTCATTTCCTCTCCATTCAATTCTGCTTAGGTGCTCAGGGAATTCTGTGTTTGTGGAGAGAACATGTTTTAAAATGTGCCCAGCCTTTTGGGGGCATAATGAAATTGGGGGAACGGACAGCCTGGAGGTCAAGGGAGTACTGCAGGTGAGAAATAACTTTTGAACACACTATAGAGATTTTAATTAGTTAAGTGTATTTGGGTGGATGCAGATAGTGATAAAAAGAAGAGAGAATTGAGAATGAATGGGAGAGAAAACAGGAAGGAAAAGGAAGAAAAGGCAGGGAATGCAGGGAGGACTGAGGCCATGCTGCATGGGACATGAGTGCATCGGCAGCCCCAGCAGCATCAGCAGCCCCGAGCCCTGCAGGTGCCCCAGGCCAGCTTCTCATCCTCAAATGCAGGCACTTTGCATGAGGCTACAGCTGCCCTTACCATGGACAGCAGCTCTCTGTTCCCCCCGCAGTATCTTCCTCTGATTCACCTCCTTACTTATGGCTACTCCATCCATCTTTAAGACCCATTGTAAGAGCTTTCTTCTCCTATGAGCATCTTCTTAAACTCTCCCACCTAAATTTAGCTCTCTTTTCTCTGAATATTAGAATTTTATCTGCACTTTTCCTATGACATTTACTCCATCCATCCATTTATCCATTTGTCCTTCCTTCCTTCCTTCCTTCCTTCCTTCCTTCCTTCCTTCCTTCCTTCCATCCTTTCATCCATCCATCCATCCTTCCATCTATCCTTCCATCCTTGCATCCATGAAGCCACAGGCATCACGAGTTCCAGGCTCCACAGTAGATGTTGGGGATAGAGAGATGAGCAGGATGGTCCCTGTCCTACGGAAGCAAGATCTGGTGTTCAAAGTCTAATAGCAGAAAAGGGTGAGTAAGCCAGTCCTTGGAATGGGGTTTTTCCTGCAGACAGAGAGAGGTACACGGGGTGCAGCTGAGAGACTGGGGCAGGGTGGTGGTGGCAGGCATGGGAGAATCAGGGAAGGGTTTGGCAGATATCATTTGGAACTCAAGGATAGGTAATCATTTTAATGACATAAAAACTGTCATGGCCTCCCCATTTTCCTGCCTTGTTCACCTCCACCCCAACACACACTCACCACACACACAGGCACACACAACTATGTGCACATGTGTAACCACACATGCATGATTATGCACATGCACAAACTTGCATGCACACGCAAACACACAGATGCACATGCTTTTGTACACACATATGCATGCATGCACACCCATTAGGTCGTAAGCTCCAGGAGAACCCAGAGGCTTGACAGCCAGGCTGTAGAGCTGCAGGGGTCTACCACATACCACACACCACACACCACACACCACATACCACATACCACATACCAGTGGTGCTGCCTTGGGAGACTTCCTGACTACTTCTCCTAGGTGTGAAGGGCCCGTAATCATTGTACCGGCCTTGGAGGGTCGTGGTGAGCATTAAATGAGCCAACAGAGGTAAACATCCTAGACCATGCCAGGCCCGCAGCAAGCAGATGACATATTAGCGACTGTGAGCACTGAATGCCCTCATGTCGCCTCCTGGGCCTGGCCAGCGCCTCCTACAGGGAGGAATTAGTTCAATGGTGTCAAAGTGAAATATTTGAATGGAAATAAAAATAAAGAGGTGGGAAAACTTGGGAGAGAAGTGGCAGAAAAGGAATGGGATGCTTTGGGCAAAAGGGAGACGAAATGAATATGAGACCAAACGCGGGTTCAGATTCAGAGTCTGCTGACTGCACCTGAGGACAGGGCTGGCCTTGACATCTTTCTCTAGAGAGCCCTCGGGGACAGTCAGAATGCAGGGCTGGCCCCATGGAATTTATACTACACTTTCGCAGAAGCACAAAGTCCATCACGCCAGGCTCAAAATGCTTTCAGATCAAGGTGGTGCTCTGGTTTACCGAATGGAAAAAGGAAGATCTTTTCGTTCACTTGAAAATTCAGAATTTTAATGCACCTGCCTCTGTATGGCTAATCTGACCCCATGGATGTTAGATAATCCTTTTTTAGGAATGAATAAGATATTGGTTCTCGGGTATGAAATGAGAGGCAGTTTTCATGGTTGTCGGCATGGTGCTGATTTCATGTGGTTCTGCTAACAATCCCAGGAAGTCGTCAGTCACTACCCATGACTGGCAGATGACAACATTACTGCTCCAAGAAGGTGACTTTCCCAAGTTCAGATGGCTTGTAGGTGCCCAAGTTCCAGCCAGAACCACGGTGCCCTGGCTTCTGTCTCTTCCACTCCATCAACCAACAGTTCTCCTGAATACTCAGGGTGCCTCCACCTGCCCTAGGTGCTTGTCCTGCTACACCGAGTTGACTGTCACAAACGGTTTAATTCCTTTAATGGAGAAACTGGGGCTAATGCTACTCATGTGTCATGACTTTTACATTATAGCCGACACACTAGACTCTCAGGTGAGCCTCGGAGAGGATGGCAACGTGTCTGCCACGCAAGGGATGTCAGAGCAGTGCTTGTGGTGCTTGTGCTGGCTGACCACCAACACCATCCATCCACAGCACCGTCCATGCCCTAGTCATCCAGGCTTGGGCCCTGAGAGCCGGCACAGGGCAGCCCACTGTCTGCCTTCAATGCCCTGCAAGTCTCTGGCACACATCGATGCTCAACAATGTGTCCTAAGTGGAGATATGTGAGAATTCTGCTCAGAGCTCACCTCCTCTTGCAACACCAGGGCCGTTGCACCAAGGTGGACGAAAACAACACTGTGTGATAAAACCACATCAAGAAATAGCACACGAAGTATGCCTTAAAAATAACTCCACATTTGCCATTTTTGGTAAAACCAAATCCATCACACATCTTACCAACAATGCAAGAGTTCACAACAACGTGTGTGCCAGGCATGCCCATCTGACCGCTTGAACACGTCTGTGCTAGGCATGCCCATCTGACAGCATGAACAACATGTGTGTCGACACACTCAGCCCCGTAAAATCCTGCCCTCTTGGCCATCGTTCCTGACCCATCGTGGGGTGAGGCCAGGCAAGCGCATTTCATGTTTGTGGGTGATTGAGAGGATAAATCACATCCTCTTTCTCAGGGCGTGTGAAATCCAGACACTGAGGGCAGGAGTTTGTCAGTGGGCTCACAGCAACATGGAGAACAATTCAGCTGCCAGGCTCAATTCAGCTGTCCAGGGCTGAGGCTGTGATGACCAGGGCTACAGCCCAGCCCTCTGAGTGTCTTCACAGAGGCGGCCACTACCCCTGGGGGGACTTCTGGGCATCTGTCGGGGAGCGGCCAGCACTTGCTGAGACAGGGCCTGCCTCCCTCGATTCCTCCCGTGGCTCCACAGGACCTTGCCCTACAGAAGGTGGCTCCGGGTGCCTGCCCTTTGCAACCAGAAAGAGCTTAATGAAATGAACGCTTGGGACACGAAAACAGTGCGCTCTGGCAAATGGAGTCAAAAGGCCACCTTGGAAATGGAGCTGGCCAAGAAGATTTCATCCATTCAACACAATCTCAGCTAATATTTAGGATTTCATTAACTCTTATAATGTGTTCCAGAGTGGGTCGTGCAAAGTCTGATTTCACACACACGCAAGCACACGTGCGCACACACACACACATCACGCGCACACACACTTACACTCACACACATGTACACGTGCACTCACACACATGCACACACAAACACACACAGCCTTGTGATTAATCTTTGACCAGCAGGTTCTCAGACCAGCAGGTTCAATAGCGAGATGGACAAAAAATCCATCTTTAAGAAACATCTTTAAAAAAAATCCCCACTGATTCCACATATATCAAAGTTCTAATTTTAAAGAAAAACTGCTCATAGATGTCTTTTGATTGGTACAAGGTGAACATAAGGAGTTTTGTGATTCTAAACTCAGGTGTTCAACTCTTCAACTCTTTCAGAATTTCATTACATTTTCGATTAAGCATTATGGTGAGCACATTTGCAACTTAATTGCCCTTGATTACCAAATGACATCTTATTTATAGGCAAAATAAGTAGCTTTAAAACAGATCTTTATTGTAACATTAGAAAACAATGACTTCCAAAGCACAAAAGAAAGCTGCTATCAGTTGTAAACCTAATCTCATTATTCCTGAAGCCAAAAGGTCATACCTTACTTTCTGTGCTAGAAAATTTGCCTTGTGACACACACTTTTCGCTTCACAAAAGTAATTATAATTGTTTCCCAAATATCTTCCTGAGTTTCCTTTGAAACAAGATCAGGGGCTCCTTAATTTAAACCAACCAATCAATCTTTCTCTTTTACCTTTTATACGGTTTTGGGTGATTATATTTTTGCTTTGACACAAATTTATAACCTGCTGACAATTTCCAAATGTATATATCAGAATACAGCAAAAGAAGAATGCTTGTTTTAAAACATTTGACTTTTAATAATTATTTCATAAGCAAATGTAATTTTGAAATATGTATTCATAGTATTTTATTTTTTTAGATAAAGTCTTGCTCTGCTGCCCAGTCTGGAGTGCAGTGGTGTGATGATAGCTCACTGTCGCCTCAAACTCCCGCTCAAGCAATCCTCCCACCTCAGCCTCCTGAGGAGCTGGGACAACAGGCTCAGGCCGCTGTGCCAGGCTATTTTTTAATTTTTTTGTAGAGACAGGGTCTCTCCACATTGCCTGGGCTGATTGACAGTATTTTTAAGGTACTATTGATGACCTTCTCAGTTTATCAACTTGAAGTTTTATGAAAATTAAGTTAATTTTAAGTTTTAAGATGACAGAAACTCAGAACCTTTGGTATAAACATTGCAAGTTAAAATCCAAATTTTAATTAAAATTTAAAATTTAAATTTAAATCCTGAAAGTAGTCAGACAGTATTTATTTATTGCCATCAGTGCACAGAGCATTTTTAGGAAAAACACATTCTTTTTTTTTTTGGAGACAGAGTCTCACTCTTTCGCCCAGGCTGGAATGCAGTGGCGCGATCTCGGCTCACTGCAAACTCTGCCTCCCAGGTTCACACCATTCTCCTGCCTCAGCCTGCCGAGTAGCTCGGACTACAGGTGCCCGCCACAACGCCCGGCTAATTTTTTTTTTGTTTGTATTTTTAGTAGAGACGGGGTTTCACCATGTTAGCCAGGATGATCTTGATCTCCTGACCTCATGATCTGCCCACCTCGGCCTCCCAAAGTGCTGGAATTACAGGCATGAGCCACTGCGCCCGGTTGAAAAACATATTCTAAAAATCAAATGATAAATAGGCAACATCAATATGGATTTATGCCGTTAATCTTTTTTTTTTTTTTTTCCCTAGAATCAGTGACTAACAACTGCACATTTTTTAACATGACAAATTTCTTCGGGGGAGAATATCTCATTTGGGAATCTATAAATCAGGCCTATGATTTTGAAAGAATCATCTGGAAATAATTTATATGCAAGGAGAGTAGACAGAAGTGCAGGTGAATGCATCTCAGAGCCCAACAAAGGTGTGATTTCACCGTGGGGCATACGTGGTGCTCGGCAGGTGGAAAGGCAGCCACGCTCATGAGGACTTTAAAAAGTTAGGCTGGACTTGTATTCCTCTCCTAGGAAGAGCCTTTTTGTGAGTTCAATTCCTTAAAATTGTTTCAAAACATTTGACTATAACCGAACCTCCTAACTGACGTCAGTAGAAAGCAGAGAAAGAGTATTTTCACAAACCCGATCTTTCCTTTCTACCTATTTTAAAAAGTAACTCTATTGTAAATTAAATTAAAAGTTTTTGCACATTTCTTTGAATCAAATACATACATTAAAAATTAAAATATACTGTTATGATTAGGATGCAGTAAAGCAAGAATTGATTATTTGAGGGCATTTATCAGTTAGTGTGACCTTCTGAGAAATAAATTGACCCAAATCTTAAGAGCCATAAAAATGTTTCCATCCTTTGGGTAGGTAATTATAGTATTCCATATGAAAATACTCTTAAACAAAGACACTGCAGAAGGATGTTTCTGTATCAGAAAACCAATCTCGTATTGCTTATTTACTTACTCCCTGACACATTCTAAAAAGGAGCTAATTTGATTTGCAAATACAAATGAGAAAGTCAGGTAAATTTATAAAGCATTTAGATATGAAGCAAGAGAGAGAAGGATCGGAATGGCAGTGGCATGGGAAGGAGGTTTCCACAAAGAGTGCGTTCCAGGACCTCCCCCATGTTATGTGAGAGGAAAACCTTTGGGCCCCAATATCACTAAGCTAAAGGGAAAAATCAGGCTGGGAACTGCTCAGGGCAAACCTGCCTCCCACTCTATTCAAAGTCATCCCTCTGCTCACTGAGACAGATGCATATGCTGACTGTCTCCTTCAAAGGGCTTATCAGAAACTCAAAAGAATGCAACCATGTGTCTCTCACCTTCCTATGACCTGGAACCCCCTCTGGACGGAACCAGTGTACTTCTTACGTATATTAATGTCTCATGTCTCCCTAAAATGTGTAAAACCAAGCTGCGCCCCAACCACCTTGGGCACATGTCCTCAGGACCTCTTGAGGCTGTGTCACGGGTGTGCGTGACAACCTTGGCAAAATAAACTTTCTAAATAAACTGAGACCTGTCTCAAATGTTCAGGGTTCACAGTTAGCTATGGGCATGATTTACATGTAGCTCTAACTTTCTGCCAGTCAATGCAAGGAGAGAAACAAAATTTAGTTATGCACACACCAAGACCACACGAGTTGGTCAGAAAAATACATTTCAAAATCAAAAGAGAATTTTCCTCTTAGAGAATATTAAAATATAAAAAAGGAAATATACATCCTAAACACTAATATATCTACTTTATTTTGAGACAGAGTTTCATTCTTGTTGCCCAGGCTGGAGTGCAATAACATACTTAATATTTAAAAGATTCCTGTAAATAAGAAAACATTTCCTTCAAAAAATTATCAGTATGAAATAATTTCATAGACATGAAAATACAAATTAATACCAATTAGCTGAAAAAAATTCTAACCTCACTAACAGTCAAACCACTGAACTAAATGAAGAAAACAGCTTTTGAAATACAGGTCCTTTTAGCAAGTAATTTGACCTGGAAACTTATTCTAGGAGAATACAGAAAGAAGCTTTTCCTTATCTCATTATTATCTCTTATGAAATTTGTCCCAGGTTAAGAACCTGAACACACACACACACACACACACACACACACACACACACACGCTCTCTAATAATATCTTACTATTTAATTAATGCACCATACTTAACCAGTTGCCTGCTTTTTTAGCGGGGAGGGGAGGAACTTAAGTTGCTTCAAAAATAAACTTAAAAAAGAAACAAAGTTTCAGCACTTTCAAGGGAATGTGGAATACATTTGGAAACTTTATGGTTTCTCAATATTTATTAAACAGAAAACATTGGAATGAACTTTCAAAGTGAGGAATGTTAGAAAACAAATTTTTGTACCTAACCATTTATATATGGAATCCAAAAATGTTCTTTACAGTTGGAATTTCAGCCTACTGAATTCCTGATAGACCAGATCACATCACTGGCTGATATTCACACATAGGAAACAGTCTCTTCTGACCCCAAGTCTTCACCTACCTCTGCTGGAAGTGGGGAAGGTATGCACGTGGAATTGTTATAATCACCACAACAATTTGAGTGTCTGTTGCAGGAAGTCAGGGACCCCAGACGGAGGGACTGGCTGAAGCCATGGCAGAAGAACGTGGATTGTGAAGATTTCATGGACATTTATTAGTTCCCCAAATTAATACTTTTGTAATTTCTTATGCCTGTCTTTACTGCAGTCTCTAAACATAAACTGTAAAGATTTCATGGACACTTATCACTTCCCCAATCAGTACCCTTGTGATTTCCTATGCCTGTCTTTACTTTAATCTCTTAATCCTGTCAGCTGAGGAGAATGTATGTCGCCTCAGGACCCTGTAATAATTGCATTAACTGCACAAATTGTACAGCATGTGTGTTTGAGCAATATGAAATGTGGGCACCCTGAAAAAAGAACAGGATAACAGCAATTGTTCAGGGAATAAGAGAGATAACCTTAAACTCTGACCACCGGTGAGCTGGGCAGAACAGAGCCATATTTCTCTTCTTTCAAAAGCAAATGGGAGAAATATCGCTGAATTCTTTTTCTCAGCATGGAACATCCCTGGGAAAGAGAATACGTGCCTGGAGGTATAGGCTTATAAACAGCCCCCCCAGGTGCACCTGTCTCCTGTGGTTGAGACTGTAGGGGTGAAATAGACCCCAGTCTCCCATAGTGCTCCCAGGCTTATTAGGAAGAGGAAATTCCTGCCAAATAAATTTTGATCAGACCGGTTGATCTCAAAACCCTGTCTCCTGATAAGATGTTATCAATGACAGTGGTGCCCGAAACTTCATTAGCAATTTTAATTTCGCTCCCGTCCTGTGGTCCTGTGATCTCACCCTGCCTCCACTTGCCTTGTGGTATTCTATTACCTTGTAAAGTACTTGATGTCTGTGACCCACACCTATTCGCACACTCCTTCCCCTTTTGAAACTCCCTAATAAAAACGTGCTGGTTTTTGTGGCTTGTGGGGCATCATGGAACGTACCGACATGTGATGTCTCCCCGGATGCCCAGCTTTAAAATTTCTCTCTTTTGTAGTCTGTCCCTTTATTTCTCAAGCTGGCCAACGCTTAAGGAAAATAGAAAAGAACCTACGTGAATATCGGGGCAGGTTCCCTGATAAGTGTCTGTTCAAAGAGTAATTATTTGCCATTTTTTCACATTGTTCAAGCTTAACTTCTGTAATTTTTTAATGTTCACCATATCAGCAGTTGTCTGGAATTTTTGGCAACTCGAGTCCCTGCCTTGGGTTTGACAGCACCTGGTGACTCACTCTCTTTGGGTAATTAATATTTTTGGTGCTTTCTATAAACATGAATTTTTCTCAGCATATGATGAACACTCCAACCCTCAGCTCTCCTGTTGCTTCTGAAGTCTTCGGTCCATCTTGTTGGCCACCACTGAGATAATCTGTGGCATGAAAGACATCATAAGAAGGTGATATGGCCAGGCTTTGTGTCTCCATCTAAATCTCATCTTCAATGACAATCCCTATAGTCCCCATGTTTCAAGGGAGAGACCAAGTGGAGGTCATTGAATCCTGGGGGCTGTATCCCCCATGCTGTTCTCATGATAGTGAGTGAGATCTCACAAGATCTGATGGTTTTACAAGGGGCTCTTCCCCTTCTCCTTCCTGCTACCTTGTGAAGTAGGTGCCTTGCTTCCCCTTCACCTTCCGCCACGATTGTAAGTTTCCTGAGGCCTCCCCAGCCATGCTGAACTGTGAGTCAATTAAACCTCTTTCCTTTATAAATTACCCAGCTCAGGCAGCTCTTTACATAAAGCAGTATGACAACAGACTAATACAGAAGGATTTTTAGCCACTATAATTTTATAAACATGAGGAAGGTTAAATATCACGTGAACATTTTAGGAAATGCTAGGAATCAATAAGTGAGGAAAGAACTGATTTTTAAAAATTGCAGAAAGGCTTTTACTGTTTCCTGAGCATCACTATTTTCTGCCTGGAAGCACCTAGGAAATCAAGCATTTGTTTGCTTTCTGTAAAAGGGGAGCTCCCAGTCCTTCCTTAAGATGGCAGGACATTCCTTTCCTGTGTCTCCTCCTTGGCTCATCCTCCTGTTTCCAAACAGGAAGGCCACGCTCCTTACTGCCAGGGCCTGTTTCAGCTCGGTCATCTGGTCACCCACTCACCTGTCCCTACAGCTGCAATGGCAAAGCCATGTTGACTGAGGACAAGAGGCTCCAGGCGGAAGGTGGTGACAGGAGACAGAGCCAGCATCACATTTATTCTCAGCATGAGAATCACCTGGGGTATCGCAGGCCAGCCCCCGGGTGGGCCCTGAGAATCTACATTTCTGTCAAGTTCCTAGCTGCTGCTGCTCCTGGTGGAGGCACCGCCCTTTGAGAAGTTTTCATAGATGTGAGATCTCCCAGTGCTCTGGGCTTAGGAGTTTATGACGTCTTCTGTTTTGCTTTACTTTCTTCCTCTGCCCTCATCCCTGGCACTGGGGTGGGAACAATGCCCTGTTCACTCCAGGCCTGGGCAGTGAGCCAGGAGTGTTCGTGGGCTCAGGTCCTCCTGGGATACTTGTCCTCCTGCCTGGGGTGGGCTCCTGCTTGGGCCTAGACCTGGCCAGTGGCCTGAGGAGGAAAGCTAGAAAGCCTCGGGGCAGCTGTTCCAGCAGTGGAACCCAGTAACCCAGGAGGAGGTGCTGTTTTCAAAGGTATCGCTGCGTCCGACGGGGTGGAGGCCTGGACCGCACAGCAGTCACTGCCGTGCAGTGGCTGGAAGCCACGTTATTGGTGGTTCCTCCAGGAGAGGCAAAGCTTTCTGTATTTTAAGCCTCTTTCAGTAAGGACTTTTTTCTTTTAGCTGAAGTGTCATAACTGTACAAAAAATGTCCATGAAAATTGTATGTAATACAATCAGTTGAATGAACTTTTTTTTTTTTGCAGATACTTAAAAGCATAGTTGAACATAAAGATGAGCTGTGTATTTTTTTTTTCAAACAGAAAATATTAAAAATGGGTGGACTTTCCCTTGGGCTTCAGGTAGCACATGTCCTGGGAGATGCTAAACGCGTGCACTGTGTCCCCCTGAGGGGGGTGGCAGGTAGAGTCCTGCTTGTCCTTGACCCCTCGTGCCAGCCCCAGTTACGCCGTGCATGCTGCATAGACACAGGCAGGAGTGTTTTACATTCTGAATATTTCCGTTCCGTTCCCACATAGATAGGTTATAAAAGGAAGCGTATTTCAGTTCTCTTCTTTCCTTAGGAAAAATAGAAACTTTTCTCACTCTCAGAAATGCACTGGAATTTACCCATTTTACTTCCCTCTCCATGGCAATGAATCTGTGCTGATCCCAATTAAAGTCTGACAAAGACCAGAGCTGCTGTGTGAGACACTAATTTCATGTTTGAACTTATTATGGCTTTCCACTGACATCCTCTTCCTGGCGCCATCTGTCCTGCACGTGAGAAGCGGGAGCTTGCCTGTGACGGTGACTTGACTCAGAGATGTGCCAGGTGGCCCCTCCCGGAGGGGATCAGTGGGCAAGGGCCTCTGGCTGGAGCCGGGTGGATGGTGGTGTCACTCAGGCATGGGGCAGCAAAGGCTCTGGTGAGACTTGAAAGCTGGGGTGGGACATTTTGTTTGTGAGAAGCCTGGACAAGAGGACGAGGTACACACCATGTCAGTCACGGATTTGTGAACTCACAGGAGAGGGTTGGATAGGGCGTGTGAACGTGAGCCCGCGGTGTAGACGATGTGAAGCTGTGGTAACGGGTGGGCTTGTGATGGCACCCGCTGCTCGCAGGAGAGGGTTGGATAGGGCATGTGAACGTGAGCCTGCAATGTAGACGATGCGAAGTCGTGGTAACGGGTGGGCTTGTGACGGCACCCGCTGCTTGCAGCCTAACTCGAGGCCACACCACGTTTCCTTTGCTCTTGCCCTGCCCTCTCCTCTCCAAGGTGGCAAAGCCACCGCCCCCTTTCCAGGCTCTGCTGCAGGAGAGCTGCCCAGAGAGAACCCTGGGCCTGAGAGGTAAATGGAAGTCACATAGGGGAGTCTCTGGGAAGCTCTGGGTTTCCAATAACAGGGATAGACGTAGCTCACACCACTGCAGCTCCCTCCTTCCTCTCTTGATGTGGAGTTAGTGGCTGGATACCTGGCAACCTCCTTGCAACCAAGAGGACTTAAAGTCAACCCAATAAGGATGGCAGAGTGAAAAGATGAAGAAAGCCTTTGTCTTCAGTGGCAGAACTCAGCGGTCAGCCAGGACTCACCACCGTCCTCCTCGGGAAGTCTCGCTATGAGAACAAACCAGCTTTGCTTGTTCAAATGATTGTAATTCAGGTGTTTCATCATCTGCTTCCAAAATAAAGAGGCAGCACTGCCCATGATTATGGTCCTGGGCTCCGGAGTCTAAGTTGAATGAGTCTAAATCCAGCTCCACCACTGACTGCCCTTGGACCCACATGCATTCCCACCCTCTGAGCCCCCAATTCCTCCCCTGTGAGTGGGGGAGACTCTCAGCCCTGCCGGTAGGCGTGCAGGTAAGAGGTAGGAAGGTTAACGCAGGTGAGGCGCTGTCACAGAGCAGGGCTATGGACCCGTGAGTGTAAAAACACAATCGCCACCGCAACGTCCACCTGGGGAGTCAATGCAGGAGGCTCCAGCAGAGGAGGGAACAGCGTTCAGGAACTGAAGCCCGTTGGGAACACCATGGGAACTGAGAAGCGCTCACAGCATTGTCATTACATTGTTACTCCCAAATCTGAAACTTACTGGCTGCCACGGTGACGCTCAGAGGAAATGCTCACTGGAGCGCTTTGGAGTTCAGAGTTTTGGATTAGGGATGTTCACTTGGCAAGTATGTAATGCAAATGTTCCCCATTCCAAAAAAATTCCAAATCTGAAACACGTCTAATGCCAAGCATTTCAGAAGAGGGATACTTAGCCTGCAGCATAAATCCACTTTACAGACAAAGCCAAGACACACCAAGGTCCCATCACCGCCCAACGTCACACAGGAGATGAGGCCAAGACATGCTGAGGTCCCGTCACTACCCAATGTCACACAAGAGATGAGGCCAAGATACACCTAGGCTCCATCACTGCCCAACACCACACAGGTGATTTGGGGCATTTTGCTAAGAGGCTGGGAGTGAGGATACACTGTATAAGCAGAGGTGAGATCAGGAAGAACCTCCCAGCATTAGAATCTCAAGGTGACTTTTTAAATCTACTATTCTTTCTGCGATTCGCACATGGTTGGATCTGGGAATTCACTAAATCTTTAGAAGTGTGGAGCTTCTGCTGTGTAAGTCCTGAGTTCTTCCATTTTCTGAGGACCGCAGCTTTGGGGTCTGCCCACCTCCCTGTTCTGCCATCGCCAGGATTGTACACTGGGACTCTGATGGTCACCATCAATAACTGCGCAGCTCAGAAAAAATGGATGGAAAATGCTCCTGTAATTCCACCAGCTAACAGCAATCAATTTCATTCAGAAAAATCCAACTAAAATAAAAAGCCATTAACCAAAAACTAAACATTAGATAATACATAGTGGTAGTAACTTGTCAGAAGCCTGGTTTGAATTTTGAACTCATGACTTTAAGGTAAGTTTGCTCCCCAAAAGTTTCAACAATGTCATATATCAAAAAAAAAAAAAAAAAAAAGACATCAGAGTCCTAGAGACACACCGGTGAATTGCTTTGAAGTTGTTGCCTCAGGAGACCTAACAACAGCTGAAAATCCAGAAGCTGTACAAAAAGGACCAAGGAATTTGAGCACACTCAGCACTTCTGAACAGAAAGAAAACAATGGAAGCAAAGTAAAGGCAAATGAAAGCCAGGGAAAGGATTGGCTGCTCCGCCATCCACAAAAGGACAATCTCCCCGCAAAACCACCAAGAAGTCAAGAAGAAAAATACCAACAAATAACCGGGGACAAATGGCCAAGGGTGTGCAGGAGGGTTAGCAGAACACAGCGCTAAAAGGTCCCAGGATCATGTGGGAAGATGCTGAACCCACGGGTGGTAAGAGTGATGCAGACGGAAGGACCTGAGATGTTCACAGAAAGCCCAGGTCTGTGGCAAGGCGGTGGGAAGACTGTAAGCTGGTCCGATGACTGTGTCCCTCTCACTGTGTGACGTCACTTGTACCCTTGGAAAGGCAATGAGAAGGTTTTTTATGTGATTATATGGAAAGAGCTCCAGGATCTATTTTTTTGAGAAGATGATATGGGGACACAAAAACGCACGGAGGGATGACGCTGTGAGGACACAAGGAGAAGATGGGGTTTGCATGCCAGGGAGAGGGGCCTCAGCAGGAATCAGCTCTGCCATACCTTGGTCTTGAACTGCAGCCTCCAGGACATGGGAGAATCAACGTCCGTTGTTTAAGCCGCCCAGTCTGGGCTCCTTAGTTAGGGCTGCCCAAGCTGACTCTACAGGGAGCATTTCAGTTCTGCAAACAACGCTAAATGTGACTCACACTGCTTGGAAGCACAGCTGGGGGTAGCCAGGCTCCTTCCTCCCAGTCAGCACCGGTGAGGGTCTGTGTTGTCCCCTAAAGAGACAACCTTCTAAGGAGATTGGTGGACAACAGACAGCAAGGAACAGGGTCCCTTCCTCCCTGCCGGCCTCTCAGATGGGCTCTGGGAACATGAGGCTGACCCCGACGCACACCCTGAAGATGTTCCCCTTTAAAAGCCCACTCTGGTCTCTGCTTGAAAGACAAGGCCAGCCCCGTCTGGGGATCAGTTCTGCCGTCCAGAGTGGAGGCACCGCTGAACTCTTACACGGGACGACGTCCCTGCAGATCAGAAACGTCTTTGGAAGCACACACAGCACAGCTGATCTGATGCCGAATCCGGACTTGCGGCAGAGTCTCCAAACGAATTCTGGACCTCAGATGTTTGTTTTCCCCACAGATCCAGCAGCTTAAGATTATCTCAGGCCCTGAACTTTTCAATTCACAAGTGAAATTCTATGCGGTTACTGAATTGAAGCTGAACTGTTTTATTCACTGGATTTCTTTTAAATGCTGTGACGTGCAGGAACTGCTGGGAGGCCACCATGGATGGCCCTCGGGAGCTTGTCTTTTAGGGATGTAACGAAGGAGCACAGACACTGCGGGATCTCTAGTAAAAGGACATGATTAGTGCCATAATTGACAAAAATAAAATGCAGACGGCTCCACGAGTGTTCCTCGGGGTATGTTTATGGACCACCAAAGCCCTGCCCTGCAGATCCAGAGGCCCCCAGATGTGGGAGCAGCTGTCCTCCAAACAGGACTCAATTTTCTACCCAGGGACTGTGCGGTGCCGGCCTGGGGCAGGGAGTCCTTCCCCCCCGTCTAAGGCACAGCTCCACAGCCCCATCCGGCCCTGAGATCTGGCCCGCCTTGGGGCTCCGTGTGTCTGATTGGGGGCATGGCTGGGGCTGCGTGAAGTCAGCAGTGGCTCGGCCGGCGTGAGGCCGGCAAATCCCCCGTCTGTGCTGTGAGGCGCGGGGTGGGAAGTGGGACGGTGACCCCGTGACGCTGTTCTCTGTCGTGTGTCTTGGTCCTTCCATCCCCACATCCTGCGCCCCAGCAGAAGCCAGACAAGCAAATCCAAATTCAACGTGTGTGTGAGGGAGCTACGTCTTCATGCTGTGGGCCCCTGGCAGGACCATGGGCCCGGACCACCAGAGGGGGGCCTTTTCCTCACTCCCGCCCCCCAAAACTTATCATACGCGTGGCGTGAAAGCTCCCAGGTCCCAGGAGATGCCGCACGGGCAGTGCCGTCTGCAGGTTCCCAGCCTGGGTGTGACCCCAGTGCTGCTGGTTCTGACCAGTGAGTCTCCAGCTGCCCCTGGTCCTTAGTTTATGTGGCTGACGTGAAGAGCAAAGGGTAATGCATTTAAGTTACTTTAAAACATATACATCCGTCACCCAGGTAAAAAGCTGCATCCCTTTAGCAATGTAGAGCTACTCCCTAATTTTCATGCCAAAATGCATGATATCATATCATATAATAGCCTCTTGATATCCCATGAGGCTATTAAAGAGAATAAATGGCTGTTGTTTGCTAATTAACCTGATTCATTTATTTAGAACCACTTGGCGCGTATAATTTGAAAGTTTACACAGCAGGTCACTGCCGTCTCCTGATCCTGAAAACTCATTCTCCCTCTTTCTGCTGAAAAAGAAGCTCCTCCACTCAGCTCCCAGGTTCTGCTGGTGACTTTACAGGCGTCCCCTTAAATCCTTGCAATGGCCACATGAGGAAACCTGTGCGTCCTGCTTCACTGAGGAGAAAACCAAGACGTAAGGAAGTAAAGGATCTACTGATGGCCGGGGGCCCAGCTTCCCGGGCATGGTGATGACCCAGCACCCGTGCGTGAGGCTCTGACTGGCCTTGGCCCCAGCACTGTGGATCCCGTGCTCTGAGCAAAAGGAGGTCCCCCAGGCCCCTGTGGGTGTGATGCCCTGGGCCCCGGCTGCTGCACACCTGCCAGCTTCCCCATGCACTCAGCTGTTTCGGCTTTCAGCAAAACTACCACAAGGCATATTTCAACACAGAAGACACAGCTTGAAGAAACAGAACAAGCATCAGAACCAGACTGTTATATGGCAGGATGCTGGTGCATCAAACCCAACTGGGAAAAATGGGCGAAAGGTCTGAGTGGACCCCACCGAAGAGGACACTCAGATGCCAAGCGTGGAAACCAAAGATGCTCCACACCACGTGCCACCCGAGGATTCCAAATTAAAACAAGTGTGCAAACCAGAGACACCCCAAATCACCTGCCCCCGAGTATTCCAAATTAAAACAAGTGTGCAAACCAGAGACGCCCCAAATCACCTGCCCCCGAGTATTCCAAATTAAAACAAGTGTGCAAACCAGAGACGCCCCATATCAGCTGCCGAGTATTCCAAATTAAAACAAGTGTGCAAACCAGATGCCCCATATCACCTGCCACCCGAGTATTCCAAATTAAAACAAGTGTGCAAACCAGAGACGCCCCAAATCACCTGCCCCCGAGTATTCCAAATTAAAACAAGTGTGCAAACCAGATGCCCCATATCACCTGCCGCCCGAGTATTCCAAATTAAAACAAGTGTGCAAACCAGAGACGCCCCATATCAGCTGCCCCCGAGTATTCCAAATTAAAACAAGTGTGCAAACCAGATGCCCCATATCACCTGCCGCCCGAGTATTCCAAATTAAAACAAGTGTGCAAACCAGAGACGCCCCATATCACCTGCTGCCTGAGTATTCCAAATTAAAACAAGTGTGCAAACCAGATGCCCCATATCACCTGCCGCCCGAGTATTCCAAATTAAAACAAGTGTGCAAACCAGATGCCCCATATCACCTGCCGCCCAAGTATTCCAAATTAAAACAAGTGTGCAAACCAGACGCCCCATATCACCTCCCGCCCGAGTATTCCAAATTAAAACAACAACAAGACACCACCACACCCCGAACAGAACGGCCAGAATCCAGACCCCAACAGTACCACACGCCGGCCAGGACGCGGAGCCTCAGGAACTCTTTCATTACCCGTGGGAGTGCAAAGCGGTGCAGCCACTTTGGAAGACAGTTTCGTGGTTTCTTACAAAACTAGGCACTCACCATGCAGTCCAGCAATCACGCCCCCAGGTATTCACCCAAAGAAGCTCAAAACTTACATCCACACATCAACCCGCACACAGATGTGTATAGCAACATTGTTCACAATTGCCCAAACTTGGAAGATGTCCTTCAGGAGGTGAGTAAACCGTTACATCAGGCAGTGGAATATTATTCAGTGCTAAAATGAAATGAGCTCCCAAGCCATGAAAAAGCCTTCACACTCTTTGAATCCATGGGTCATTCTGGAAAAGGCAGAACTACAAAGGTAGCGAAAGAGTCAGTGTTTGCCAGGGGTTGGGGGCAGGGAGGGATGAATAGGGGGAGCACGCAGGATTTTTAGGGCAAGGAAACTGCTCTGTGTGAGGTGGCAGTGGGGAGTCCACACCATTAAACACTCGTCCAAACCCACAGGGTGGACCATGCCAAGCGTGACCCCTGACGTGAAGGATGAAGGATGGCTTTAGTCACTAACACATCAATCCTGGCTCATCAATTGTGACAGATGCACCACGCCAGTGCGAGGGGTGAAGAACACGGGAAACCACTCGGAGTGAACCTCCTCCTGCTCCCCAAATACTTTCTGGGTTCCCCGATTGCGTCGCTCCCCTCCGTGTGCCCCAGCGTTTTCCCATCTTCTTCCCTCTGTGAACCATGAGCTCCGGGGTTGGGGCCTGCAGCTGTTCTTCTCCTCAGCCATTGTGGACAACCCATCGATAGCTGATGAACCATTGATCTCGTCAGATAATCACTAACATGTTCATCAGGTGTATAGCCCATGGTATGTTGGGAAGCAGAGATGGGGACAGCGTGCCCAGCACTCCAGGGGCAGAGAGAGCTCTCAGTGGAGAAGGCCCCTCCTTCACATGCAGCCAACAGCGATGGCCCACACCTCCTGCTCCTGCGAAGCAGCTGGGAGCTCCTCCTCCTCCTGCAGACTGGAAACCGAGGCTCCCAGGGCAGGTGTGGGAGGATAGACCCAAACCCAGCCACGCCCCTTTGGTCTAGGATCCCCACCCCACCCATGCTCCCCTGCTCTGTGCCCCCAAAGGAAGCCATGGGCGGCCCTGCCGGGGCCATCACCTGCTGAGCACAAAACCCACTGTGACAGGCAGCACAGGGCCAGGTCCCCAGGATGCTGACATCCCAGCTGGGCCAGGCCCGCAGGCTGGCTTCTTACAGGCAGGCAAGTGCATACGGATCCCAGGCCCACAATGAGTTCTGGACTTTTCTTCTGGGGTCTGGAACATTTAATCTAGTTTAGGCAAGAGGTGGTGTCCATGGGGAAGGTGCATGGGGAGAGCCAGGCTCAGGGCCGTCAGAACCGTTAAACAAGGGGATCAGGGTCAGAGAATGCAGCTTGTGCCTCTCTAACGAAAGTCTCTTCCTGGAGAGGAAATAAAGTATTGACTTGAAAAGAGAGCTTTATCAGTTCCATATTCTATTTTCTGATGGATCCAACCTTGAATTGCAAAGGCCCTTTCAGCAGCAGGTTAATGAACTTGTCTCGCAAAACACTGAATTTCGGGCAGTCAGTGAACCTGGAGCTACTGTTTGGCACACAAAGCACATGTTTAGATTTTTTTTTAAGATTTCCAAGTAGACAAGGGTTCTATGCTTTTTGGTTTTCAGGCGTAGGATGGGACATGCCGCTGCGTAAAGCTGAGCTAACTTTGGTGTTCTTCACTTTCCAGGACAGCGTTGCTCATTTTCCAGAAGCCCCTTCTGTTTCTTCCCAATTGCAGCTGAAATATTCTTCCCTTCTGACACCTTAGCACATCACATGTGAAAGCCAAGCCTTCGTATCCCTTCCTGGACTGCCAGCTCCTTCACGGCAGGGACCACAGGCTCCTATCTGTGGCTCGTTGTTGAGATCCTGGCACTCAAAATTTCGGAATTAGCTGGAGGACACACGGTCGGGAGGGCCTGGGATGGACAGGACCCTCCAAGCAGAGTTGGTCTCATCTTAGCCACGCAGAGGGAGAAGCACGGGCACTGGCGTGAGAATGTGTTTTACTAAATATCCAGATGCCGCTCAGTATCCACTGAATGCTGATGTGCACACACATACAATCATTTCCAGTAGCCAAAGACAGTGACTAGAATGCAAATATCTAACATGGGTTCGATATGGTTTGCAGAATCACTGTACAATTTATATATTATCACAATATTTGGAGCCTGAGAAAAACAAATCTCAAAGACTCCATAATTTACTCAAGAACCATTGTCCATGGCAGGGAGAACCAAATTTATATGACTTGAGCTCAAGTCTACTAGGAACATAAGGGTGTCTGGGCCGAAATCACCACGTGGTCATTTATTAGCTGATCAAGGTTGGATGAGACTCAATTTCTTCATCTAAAAACTGGACAGTCACCACAGCCATGCTCTTATGAAACTCAAACGTTATATAAATGTCAGCTTTGTTCTATGTGCCTTGTAAATGCACAAGCATACATGAAGTGACTTGCTTTTTCCCTTCATAATTTGTATTTAAAAGTCCATCTTAAACCTCCACTCGGTTTGCCACAGCCACAGAACCGACAATCTGAAGACAAAAACAAACAACAAAACCCATAAGAGCTAATGTGCTGTGTCCTGGCAGATGAGGATGAAGCAGACAGATTTCATTAGGGCCAGAATGCAATTTGGGAGCAGTCGCCATTCCAGTTAGGGCTGAACGCTAGCAAACTCGATTCCGTGTCCAATTGGGAGGCTAAATGGTACGGACAAGTCACATAACACAGAAGCGTAACACTCAATAACCTAGACATGCCCACAGACTGTTCCAAATAAGGGCTGTCTGAGATGCACCAGACTCCATCATCCGGCAGCAGCCATCAGTTTTAATCACTTTTAAATTTTTCTACAGATGTCATTTCAACAAAATAGTCCACAAATCTGCCTTGAGTGAAATTCAGTTAGTGTGTGTTACTGACGATGAGCACTTGCTCCAGAAAGTTCCCAGGTCCAAACAACATACCGTGGGGGATGGTTATTTTGTGCAAGGCTCCCCAGTCCCTGTCTTATTCCATGACCCTGCCCCCAGGGCCACACTATCATGCCAATGTCTTGTTTTTGGAAAATAAACACACATTTGTGATCCCTAATCCAACAAGCAGCTGGACATCGACTTCTTGCCTATTTCCACCACACCAAAACTCCAAGCGTAACTGCAGAGAGGCTTGCAAATGCTGCTGCCTGCCACAGGCAGGGCTCTCCTAGCCAGAAACGGGAGGCTCTTCTGCTGTGTGGTGCATTTTAGCAGGTGTGTGCCTGCATTCGGATGGAGGGGCCCCTTGCTGGTGGATGGGGAGAGCACTGACTCGGAGGAGAGCTTCTCAGTTTTCCAAAGAGGAGCGGCTCTTCTGCTCTCTCTCCCTGAGGATGCACAGCTCGGTGGAGGAAACGAGGCCAGGGTGGGAGGCTCTCAGTGGAGCAGGGGGTGGGGAAACGCCCTGAGACGTAAGGTGTTGCAGGACCAAGCACTGGGCGCCCAGGGGTGCCCCTCACCACGGCCCCTCCCTCATGGCGTGCTCTCTGCTCCTCCTGGGCTCCACATCCGTTCTTCCATCCCTGCCTAGGTCTGGCCACTCCAGGTCTAACTCTTCAGGGTCCTTTTTCCAAGCTCCTGACCCCACAGAGGGCTCGACTTCTTCCTCCCCACAGCTGCCAGAACTCACTTTCTAACATCACCCCTTTCAAAAGACAGAATGAAGCACTACGTCCAGGACTCGCCCTCCACCCACAGCCATGGGGGTCCCCAGCTCATGTCTTCAACCTGGGGAATGAAGACTTGGACCTTGAGGCTGCGGCCTTCAAGATGGGGTGATTCTACTGAACCTCGATTCCTGGTGACCGCGGAGGTGAGAAAGCCTTCCTCACCTCTGCACCCTGGGGCTGGTGGGGACTGGCAGGCTCTCGCTGCCTGAGACAGTGGATGAGGTGCTTCATTTTTTATGTATTTTATTGTTTCAAGCAAACAGAACAAAACATATCTCCTCATCCTCTTGAAGCTGTAGGGAGTTTCACCTGCTTAAAACTAATTTCAGCACAAAAAAAGGCACAAGCCTGATTGTGCCTTTCACTCATTCATGCACTCACTCACTCACTGATTCACTCACTCATTCGTGTACTCTTTCACTCAGTCACCCACTCATTTTCTCAGTCACTCACTCTTTCACTCAGTCACCCACTCATTCACTCAGTCACTCACTCTTTCACTCAGTCACCCACTCATTCACTCAGTCACTCACTCACTCATTCACTCCTTCCCTCCCTGATTCACTCACTCATTCATGCACTCATTCACTCACTCATTCACGCCCTCCCTCCCTCATTCACTCACTCATTCATGCACTCACTCACTCACTGACTGATTCATGAACTCATTCACTCACTCATTCATGTACTCTTTCACTCAGTCACCCACTCATTCACTCAGTCACTCACTCTTTCCCTCAGTCACCCACTCATTCAGTCACTCACTCTTTCACTCAGTCACCCACTCATTCACTCAGTCACTCACTCACTCATTCACTCCCTCCCTTATTCACTCACTCATTCATGAACTCATTCACTCCCTCCCTCCCTCATTCACTCACTCATTCATGCACTCATTCAGTCACTTATTTGTGTGCTCTTTCACTCACTCATTTACTCAGTAACTCACTCATTCACTCACTCATTCATGCACACATTCACTCATTCTCACTCAGTAACTCACTTGGTCACTCATCCAATCACTCACTCACTCATTCCCTCCCTCTTTCCTTTCCTCACTCAGTCACTCATTCACTCAGTCACTCATTCATGCACTCATTCATGTACTTTTTTACTCACCCACTCACTCATTCACTCAGTTACTCATTCACTCACTCACTCATTCATGCACTCACTCACTCATTCTCACTCAGTAACTCAGTCACTCATCCAGTCATTCACTCACTCGATCATTCCCTCCTGCACTCATTCACTCACTCATCCATTAAGGGAACTGCACATTGTAATAAGCCCATCCCTCTGTGAGATGTGGAGGAAAAGGGAAAGGAATTAAAGAGTCCATAGCACAGTACAGAGGGAATGGGAGCAGGGAACAGACTGGAGGGGCAGACAGGTCAGGTGTGTTGTATGTGTTTGTATGCTTGTGCATGTGTGTGCATACAAGTGTGTGAGTGTGCCTATCTGTGCATGTGTTTGTGTGTCTGCATATTTGTGCATGTTGTGTGTGTCAACATGTGTATGTGTATATTTCATGTCTGCATGTGTGTGTGCTTGTGTCTGCATGTGTGTGTGCATGCACGTGTGTCTGCATATTTTTGCACGTCTGCAATTGTATTTTCATGTCTGCTCGTGTTTGTGTGCATCTGCATGTGTGTCTGCATGTGCATGCACCTGTGTGTGTGTGTGCACATTTCTGTCTGCATATTTTTGCATGTCTACAATTGTTTTCATGTCTGCACGTGTGTGTGCATGTGTCTGCGTGTGTGTGTGCACATCTGTGTGCATGCCTGTGTGTTCATGTATGTGCATGTGTATGCTGACTGCCCTGTCTGTCTTAAGGGAAGGGAGAGGACTCCTTTTCTCTGTGCCCCTCCCAGGATGCCTCCATGATGGTTTCTCTGGCCCAGGTCCTTTTTCCCTTCAAAAGAAAGAAAGACACCTTGGCCCTGAAACTCAAGTGCAGGGTGGGTGTGCTCATCGGCTGCAAAAGAATCAATGCAACAACTCTCCGTGATTTCCAAGGCTGCCTTCCATGTCTCCTCCTTCCTTGTTTTCTCTTTGGTTGGATGCATCCATCCCATTTCAGGCCAAACATGCGTTTTCTGCATGTTGGTCTCCCTGCAGGGATCGGTATCCCTGCACGTCGGTCTCCCTGCACGTCGGTCTCCCTCCATGTCGGTCTCCCTCCACGTCAGTCTCTCTACACGTTGGTGTCCCTGCACGTCGGTCTCCCTGCGTGCTCCTGCCCGCTGGCTGTGCTCTTGTAGGGGCTCTTCCCCTCGTGGGGCTGGCTTTCATCTCCCCGGGGTCCTGCCATGCAGCTCTGTCAGACTCTGGGTGGCATCACGCTGAGCGCCACCCTCCGGACTCAGGCCGGCCTTCCTTTCCTGTCCTGCTGAGAGATGCAGCAGCTACATGGACTAGGAGCTTGGGCCTCCACCTGCAGCGTGTGCCCATCCTCACTGACTGTGGGACTCGTTCTGTCACGTGCTGTCCCCTCCTTTAGAATGGGGTGACAGCAGAGAGGCCACACAGCTGTGAAGGGATGAGTGACATAGGTGAGTATAAGCAAAGTTCTCTAGCGGCGCCTGGAGGTGAGAAACACCCATAAATGGCTGATAGAAGTTTCACACTCCTGACCACATGTGTAGCTCTTACTGAAATATTAACGCTATTCATATTATTTCCTTTTATATTCTCCAACACAATATTTTCTCGCTGTTCCTTGATACAGTAGCTGAATTTTATACAATTTCATTAAGTTTTAAAAGTGGAGCTTAAAACGTGCTCTGGGGTTCTGTGTTATGTGAAACAGAAAGCAGGAACCATGTGTGCCATTGAAAACACCTGGGCTGTTGGGGGTTACCCTTCGCTTCGCAGGATGCGGGAAGCCTTCTGGGAATAGTGGCATAAGAAAAAATGAGAGTTGCATTTAAATTCAGGCAGAAAGAGGACATTTGTACTGGAGAGAAAACATATCTCTAATTATGTACAATTCCTCTTTCCCGTCACTGTGAATTCCTAGATGTCTAATTGGGTGCAGGCTTTGCTTCACCTGGGGCTGCTCGTGTGGCCACAAGACACCACCCAATGCCTGCCTAGCTCTTCTCCAGAGTGGTGGGCGCTCAGAAGTAAATTATTTAAAGCAAATCTGTGCCCCATATCACGTAAGATAACCCGGGAAGGGGAGGGGATGTGTGAGCTCCTGGTACCTTTCAGTTCAACATCTCAATCACATTGCGTAGGCAGCAGGGTTTCAGTAAATGCTGAAATGGATGGATGAATGAAGGAGGGAAGGAAGGCAAGGATGGGTCTGAGAGTTCGACCGCCATTGTCTGGAAGAAGGATGTTTCGTGTTGGACCTTGGACTGTACGAACGTGACCATGGGTGAAACTGGGGGAAGGGTGCCCAGGATTTCTCTGTATTATTTTTGTAACTTACGCATCTATAATTGTTTATTAAAAAGTGTACTTTTAGGGAATTGCATATGATTAGGAAGCTTTTACTGAGAAAAGCTGCAGTTCCCAACGAGCTTACATACACGACCAGGAGGGCTTAGCAAGGTCTCACCTCAATTTTTAGGTTAGAAATTCAATGCTGCAATTTTCCAGGCAGTATTGTCTCTGGGAGATGGGCAGGTGCTATGCCACAGAGGCAAACCACTTGCCACTGATGGGGGTGACGGCCCCTCTGAGCTGGGCTGTGCTTGCACCGCTCCCACCAGCTGTTCCCAGGGAAAGGCGGACGTGTATCCCACCGAGCCTCCCTGGGGCTGGCCTGTGGCCTCTCCCTTCCTCCTCTGCACTGGGAAAGGCAGTAGCGTATCCCACCGAGCCTCCCTGGAGCTGGCCTGTGGCCTCTCCCGTCCTCCCTTGCACTGGGAAAGGCAGACGCTTATCCCACCGAGCCTCCCTGGAGCTGGCCTGTGGCCTCTCCCGTCTTGCCCTGCACTGGGAAAGGCAGATGCTTATCCCACTGAGCCTCCCTGGAGCTGGCCTGTGGCCTCTTCCGTCCTCCCTTGCACTGGGAAAGGCAGACGCTTATCCCACTGAGCCTCCCTGGAGCTGGCCTGTGGCCTCTCCCGTCTTGCCCTGCACTGGGAAAGGCAGATGCTTATCCCACTGAGCCTCCCTGGAGCTGGCCTGTGGCCTCTTCCGTCCTCCTCTGCACTGGGAAAGGCAGACGCTTATCCCACTGATCCTCCCAGGGCCTGGCCTGTGGCCTCTCCCATCTTTCTCCGCTGTGGCCTGGGACACCAACGTGCACACACAGATGGCACAGGGTGGCGGTGCGACCATGACCCGGGGCCTCACTTTCCAGGATCAGGGTCATTCGGAAGACAAATTAGAAACCTAGAGTGTGACCTGTCTTTAGAAAATGTTGGCAGTAGTCACCCAGTTTGTCTAATTAACCTTTAGATTGATAAGTCAAAGCTGCGAAGTCTGAGATCTCTACTCCATGGACACAGCGAGCTGGGGTACTCACGCATTTGCTGTCAGCTGAACCTCCTAGAATTCTCAGCAAGAAGCGTGCTTGGCTAAAACAACTGCCATGGTGTTTGCTTTTAACGGACAGCCTCAGTGCAGGCATTTCGCTGCTGTGGCAGGCTGCTGTGAGGTGTTGGCCTCTCTCGGGGGAGTGCGTCAGTCACACGTGCAACCCGAGGGTCTTCTGGGCTGTGATTTTCCGATGCTAGACTCCAGAGCAGGAATGCACCGAGGTCAGTGCGGAACTGCCACACCCACGGCTGACACCCACGCTGGCCCCGTCCCTATGCCGCCGACGATTTCCACCATTTGTCTGAACCGTGATCACTAGCTGGCGATTTCTGCTTATGAAACCGTGTGAAATAAACAACTTTGATCATGTTGTCAAGGTAAGTGTAATAACATTCATGGGTTATTTTTAAGTTTATGGGACATTTGTTTCTTTGAAATTTATGGGGAGGAGCACACATTCTTCTACAATGGACATCTGTTTGCTAGCAACAGGCTTTCTGCAACGTGAGTGCACTCTAACCCAGCTGTTCCCAGCAGGGCTTCTCCCACTGAACTGTGGACCAGACGCGTTAGGGAGGCCGTCGGCCCTCAGCCCTGCCTACCTGGGCTGATGCGTCACAGGGCTGAGGAACACCGTTCTCAGGGAGACTTCTGAAGATTGTTAGTCAGATGTGTAATTACTGCTAACTGCAGCTAGTATTCATCCAATACCAAACCCGAGTGGTGGTAGAAAGTGCACATAAAACACGCACGCTTTTTGTCAGGCTCTGATAAGACTTGGAGCCTAATGTTTCTCTTTCCAATTCCTAAACAGATTTTGGGGTTCACCTTTGCTCATGTGACCTACTGTCTTACACTAGACAGCCCTTACATCTATGGAAGATGGTCATCTACTGATTGTCCTACACTAGACAGACCTTACGTCCATGGAAGATGGTCATCTATTGATTGTCTTACACTAGACAGCACTTACGTCCATGGAAGATGGTCATCTATTGATTGTCCTACACTAGACAGCCCTTACGTCCATGGAAGATGGTCATCTACTGATTGTCCTACACTAGACAGACCTTACGTCCATGGAAGATGGTCATCTATTGACTGTCTTACACTAGACAGCACTTACGTCCATGGAAGATGGTCATCTATTGACTGTCTTACACTAGACAGCACTTACGCCCATGGAAGATGGTCATCTATTGATTGTCCTACACTAGACAGCCCTTACGTCCATGGAAGATGGTCATCTACTGATTGTCCTACACTAGACAGCCCTTACGTCCATGGAAGATGGTCATCTACTGATTGTCCTACACTAGACAGCCCTTACGTCCATGGAAGATGGTCATCTACTGATTGTCCTACACTAGACAGCCCTTACGTCCATGGTAGATGGTCATCTACTGATTGTCCTACACTAGACAGCCCTTACGTCCATGGAAGATGGTCATCTATTGACTGTCTTACACTAGACAGCACTTACGTCCATGGAAGATGGTCATCTATTGATTGTCCTACACTAGACAGCCCTTACATCCATGGACGATGGTCACCCACTAGGGAAATTTATTTTCGGTTCCACAGTGTGGTGAAAATGACGATGCTTGTATTATAAGAAAGGTTTCAAGCTGAACTAACTGATGCCCTGGGGAGAACAAATACTGTTTGAGAAAATGGAACATTCTCACAGATTTATCTGGAGAAGCCTAACTCATTAGCAAAGGGAGATGTGCCAGATTGATTGAGCAAATTATCTTATGTGCAAGTTCCTTCTAGGTTTACTCCAAACACAATTCCTTATTAATTATGTAACACCGACCTCAGTTTCAGGTGTCAAATGCAAGGTTTGCCTTTTATTTGTTGAGTGGACCTCCCGGGCTTGGACATGTAATATTTTAGTTTCCTTGGGGAAGCAGTGTGGATACTCAAAAGGTCCTACAGGGTTTGGCTTGGTTCAGACCTAGACTGGCCACTCATTCACTAATGACCTTGGAGAACTCACCACTCTCTCTGTGCCTCAGTTTCCTCACCTGCAGAATGAGAATGCGCGTCCTGTGACCTTCATGTTTGCTGTGGCGTTAAGCATATTGACCAAGGCACCAGAACGCAGGGAGCCCACGCAGAGTGACAGGTGGGAGGCAGTTCCTTTCCTTGTCCCTCCTTCGTCGTGTTCAACCCTTGGACCTGCCACAAAACTGGACCTTCCCATCCTTGACAGCACTTTCACGGAGTGGCCCAGGCATCACAAACTGATGACGTTTCTCAGCTCTTCAGAGGATGCAACAATACGTTCGTCACGCACTGCAGAGTTCCTCTGGAAGCCTGACATCTGGGGCAACGAGGCTGGCAAGGTCCCGACAGCGGACCTTCACTTCCTATGAGCCTGGAAGCCACACTTCACAGCCACAGGCTGACCTCCAAACACATCAGCAAGTTATCGCTGTTGTCCAGGGAAAGCCAGCCTGTTTCTATTTAATTTTCCATCTAAATCACAAATACCTCCCAGGGACAAATTCCGACTCCTTTTCGAATGCCCATTTGCACGGGAGCGTGCTTGTAATTTACAGGCAGTTAAAGGGGCAAATCCTTACAAAAAACTCTTCAGAATCTAAAATTACAGAAGTCTGTGTTTTCAGTTACTGCAATATGCAAATAAATTAGTTGTCATGGAAATCATGTTCGGGAAACACATGAAGTTAACGTGGACATCTGTCTGGAGTATTACACCGACTCCTCTCCGCGGCCGCGTCCTCCAGAGCTGCACTCCTGAAACCTCCTGAATGCACCTTTAAACCTGGACAGTTGATGCTGGGTTACCTGGTCACAGCGTATGAGCAATGATGACAATGATACTAATCATGGTAAAAACTGACATTGAACACTTGCTGTGAGCCACACCTTGCTCTAAGGTCTTATATTACCATATTTAATTATCTTAAAATTCCAACGAGGTAGGAAGGTTACGATCCCTTCTCTTTTTGTTAACAAACAAAGAATGAGAAGAACAGGAGAGGTGGGTGAATTGCTCAAGTTCCAGTGTATGTGCGGAGGCTTTGCCTGCAGAACCTGCCTCTGAGAACCCACGACACGCACTGCTTCCTGTTTCAAACACCGAGACAGCACAAAAGCGACTTCCTTTCTCTGCACCACCCTGATGGCTGCAAGGTATTGCTCCTGCCAAGGGCTTTCAAACTTTTTGGATTATATTCCACAATAAGACGTATATTTTACATCAGAACCTAACACACACACCCACACGCACACACCCAAAAAATGTTTCATTAGACATGTGCTCTTATTATCCAGAGTGTACTTTGGTATTTTCTAGTCTATACGTTTTTTTTTTTTTTTTAGACGGAGTCTTGCTCTGTTGCCAGGCCGGAGCACAGAGGCGTAATATCAGCTCACTGCAATCTCTGCCTCCGGGGTTCAAGCAATTCTTCCGCCTCAGCCTCTCGAGTAGCTGGGATTACAGGCGCCCGCCACCATGCCCGGCTAATACTTTGTATTTTAGTAGAGACGGGGTTTTACAGCTTTAGGCAGGATGGTCTCGATCTCCTGACCTCGTGATCCGCCCGCCTCGGCCTCCCAAAGTGCTGAGATTACAGGCGAGAGCCACCGTGCCCGGCCTAGTCTATACTTCTCTGTTGTATTTTTGTTTCCATTTAAAAATTTGCTGGCAGTGACCAGTAACTTGAATTCACGGGTCATTAATGAGTTGCAGCCCATGGTTTAAAACTCAGTGCTCTAAAGAACTGCAGAACAGAAAACCATTGAGAATGTGGCAATATTAGATCCTTAACTACAAATGATCCCCTCCGGAGATCCTACGAATCCCCGGAGCCCGAGCCTGGCCCCGTCTTCCCCGTCTTCCCCGGGCGCTTAGTCCGCACTCATTTGCCTGCTCGGTGTTTTTAGGGAACGCCGTCAGCGCCTCCTGCGGGCACTGGGTTCATTTCCCTCCTGTGCGCAGCAGTTGTGGATTCCATTTTTCCTTCCAACTCCCCCGCCACGTTGAGCCTGCTACGTATGTCTAGGAGCTTCCAGGTCATTCTTACTGGCACATCCCACAGAGGAGAAAACACCAGCAATTGCTGTTTGAATGGATGTCGGCGCGCGTGGAGGCAGCAATGATCAACAGCGATGTGCGCGTGGTGGCGGGGGTTTGCGGGGGGTGGTGAGGGGTGGTGGGGGGTGGCGGGGGTTTGCGGGGGGTGGCGGGGGTTTGCAGGGGGTGGTGAGGGGTGGGGGGTGGTGGGCGTTTGCAGGGGGTGGCGGGGGTTTGCAGGGGGTGGCGGGGGTTTGTGGGGGGGGTGGGGGTTTGCAGGGGGTGGTGAGGGGTGGGGGGGTCCTCCTGCCTAAAGCTGTAAAACCCCGTCTCTACTAAAATACAAAGTATTAGCCGGGCATGGTGGCGGGCGCCTGTAATCCCAGCTACTAGAGAGGCTGAGGCGGAAGAATTGCTTGAACCCCGGAGGCAGAGATTGCAGTGAGCTGATATTAAGCCTTTGTGCTCCGGCCTGGCAACAGAGCAAGACTCCGTCTAAAAAAAAAAAAAAAACGTATAGACTAGAAAATACCAAAGTACACTCTGGATAATAAGAGCACATGTCTAATGAAACATTTTTTGGGTGTGTGCGTGTGGGTGTGTGTGTTAGGTTCTGATGTAAAATATACGTCTTATTGTGGAATATAATCCAAAAAGTTTGAAAGCCCTTGGCAGGAGCAATACCTTGCAGCCATCAGGGTGGTGCAGAGAAAGGAAGTCGCTTTTGTGCTGTCTCGGTGTTTGAAACAGGAAGCAGTGCGTGTCGTGGGTTCTCAGAGGCAGGTTCTGCAGGCAAAGCCTCCGCACATACACTGGGTGGTGGGCGTTTGCAGGGGGTGGCGGGGGTTTGCGGGGTATGGCAGGGGGCAGCCCGGGAGCAGGCACCGCCCTTCAGGAGGCCAGAATGGGACGCGTGATGTTTAGGAGAAAAGCTGTAAATGCACCCCAGAAATTCAGATGAAAAGCCCTGGCATCCTAAGTTCCACAAATGTTAGATGTGTCTAACTTTAAAGGTATCTGATGTGTTTGTGTGGAAATAAAATTTAAAAACGGGGTTGTTAAAATGCAGTGTGCCCTGGTGAGCTTTCATGTGATTAACTGACAATGACCCTCCCCTGCACCTCAGGGCCCCTTTCCTGTGCCACAGACTAGGCCTTTCATGTGACCACGTGTTTGATGTCACAGTGGGGAAGGAGCCTTCTCCTAAAATGTGTGGTCACGATGCTCCCATTGGGCAGTGCAGGAAGGTCAAGGCTGAAGCCTGAACCTCCCAGGAAGTGTGGTGGTGGAGGCTACAGGATGCCTGGGAGGGAGGGTGGTGGGTGGAGGGAGGGTGGTGGGTGAAGGAGGGTCGTGGGTGAAGGAGGAAGACTCGGTGGCTGAGGACCTGGGTGAACGAATGCCTGGGAGACAGGAGGGTGGACTGCTACCTTCTTTCTAGACAGAAGCTCAGCACATCACTGCTTCTGAGAGGTGACAGCATGCTGGCAGCCCTCACTCACTCCCGGCGCCTCCTCCGCCTCGGCGCCCACTCCGGCCGCACTTGAGGAGCCCTTCAGCCAGCCGCTGCCCTGGGGGCTGGCCGAGGCCGGAGCCGGCTCCCTCTGCTTGCGGGGAGGCGTGGAGGGAGAGGTGTGGGCTCATGGGCCAGCGCGAGTTCTGGGTGGGCGCGGGCTCCGCGGCCCCGCACTTGGAGCGGCCGGCCAGCGCCAGCGGGGCAGTGAAGGGCTCAGCACCTGGGCCAGCAGCTGCGGAGGATGTGCTGGGTCCCCCAGCAGTGCTGGCCCACCGGCGCTGCACGCCAAATCTCCCCGGGCCTCAGCTGCCTCCCCGTGGGACAGGGCTCGGGACCTGCAGCCCGCCATGCCTGAGCCTCCCCCTCGCGGTGGGCTCCCGCGCGGCCCAAGCCTCCCTGATGGACGCTGCCCCCTGCTCCGCGGCGCCCGGTCCCATTGACCCTCCAAGGGCTGAGGAGTGCAGGCGCCTGGCAGGCAGCTCTGCCCGTGGCCCCAGCGCAGGATCCGCTAGGGGAAGCCAGCTGGGCTCCTGAGTCCGGTGGGGACTTGGAGAACTTTTATGTGTAGCTAGGAGATTGTAAATGCACCAATGAGAACTCTGTGTCTAGCAAAAGGTTTGTAGATGCACCAATCAGCACCCTGTATCTAGCTAATCTGGTGGGGACTTGGAGAACTTTTATGTCTAGCTAGAGGATTGTAAATGCACCAATCAGCACTCTGTGTCTAGCTCAAGGTTTGTAAATGCACCAATCTATGCTCTGTGTCTAGCTCATCTAGTGGGGACTTGGAAAACTTTTATGTCTAGATAGAGGATTGTAAATGCACCAATCAGCACTCTTTGTCTAGCTCAGGGATTGTAAATGCACCAATCAGCACCCTGTCAAAACAGACCAATCAGCTCTTTGTAAAACAGACCAATCAGCTCTCTGTAAAATGGACCAATCAGCAGGATGTGGGTGGGGCCAGATAAGGGAATAAAAGCAGTCTGCCTGAGCCGGCACTGGCAACCTGCTGAGATCGTCTTGGGCAGTGTGGATGCTTAATTTTTACGCTGTATGCACTAAATCTTGCTGTTGCTCACTCTTTGGGTCCGCACTCCTTTTATGAGCTGCAACACTCACCGCGAAGATCTGCAGCTTCACTCCTGAGGCCATTGAGACCACAAACCGACCAGAAGGAAGAAACTCTGAAAACGTCTGAACATTAAAAGGAACAAACTCCGGACACTCACCCAAAAGGTCCACAGCTTCATTCTTGACGTCAGTGAGACCAAGAACCTACAATGTAATACACTTCCGCTATTTCTATAAATTTCCCTGAAGAAAATAAGTATGGACGATAAAATGACAAGTATAGGTAGAGCTGGGTTTTTGTTTTTTGAAAGAACACACAAAAATAAACATCCCAAGGGGAATTCCTGTGAGACAAGATATGTATTAACATTAGAATGAGACATTGGTGCACTTAAATGCTGTGGAGATGATTAAAGCTATGCTAGCTGATGTTCTATTATATAAAAACATGTTCACAATCTATGTGCCTGCCAGGTGGAAGGCTCTAAGTATTATTTTAATATTCAGGTATTTCAAAATTACACAGTGTGTACATTTTCTCAGTGTTGTGCTGCATATATAATATGTGCTTAATATACTTTGATAATTTAATCTGCCAACTTTTTAAAATTTCATTTTGCATTCATTTATCAATGCAAAATTTGGGTCAATATAGCACTCTTCATAGATGCAAATAAATCACCAACTCTTTACAGCTGATTTAAATATAACATTCGGGAAAATGAAAAAATGCCATTCTTAGAAGTAACGTCATAATGAGCCAATGTTTCAAAAGTTACTAAGAGAGCAATTTAATTCTAGTGTGTCTGAAGGTCTTCCCTAGAAACATTTCTTCTGGAAAAAGTGAGGTTTTTCTCTTTCAAGGTATTCGTTTTGAATGTGCTACATTAATTCATTTTATCAGTGACTTTAATTTTATGGAAAACTTCCTTATCCTCCTATATTTCACAGCCATTTTCCCCATCATAAAATTACTTTTCATACATTACACTCTATGAGCTTCAGAGAACGCAAATGCTCTTAAGAGGTAATGGCTAATAACACAAGTGTGGGCGGTTTTATTAATTCATCTGGCACTAATGGTATCTTAAGCTCTTCAGCCAATGCTACTCAGCTTTCCTTGGAGCTTTTGAAGACTGAGGGGAGTTGGAAAAAAAAGATTGATGCTTTGAAATAGGACCAGAAGCAAATGTCACTTCATTGCTTTATGACTTTAACCTATACTGTGCTGTAAAATGTCCCACAGCATTTTGGAAATGGTAGTTACTCAGTCACTATAATAGCATCAAGATCATTATGAAGTGTTTTTAATTTTAATTTGACCCAGTAGAATTATAGATCCATAAATTCGTGACTGGGAAGATCCCTTAAAAATCATCATTTAACCCTCTCAATTTAAAGATGAGGAGATTGGAACACTCAATTTGGAAAAACAAATGTCTAAAATAATGCTATTTGCTCCCAATGTTGTTATGATAGTGTTGGGAACATAACTCAGATATCCTTCCCTCCCTCTTTCCTTCCTTCTTCCTTCCTTTCTTTTTGTGTTTTTTGCTTTTTCTCTTAATTATCCTTTCATATGTTTTATATCAGGATTCTCAATCCTAGGGGTACATTAGAATGATAAAGGAATAATCCAGGAATCCCACTTCTGGGTATTTTTCTGAAGGGAATAAAATGGATGTGTGGAAGGGGTATCTGCTCTCTCGTGTTCGTTAAGATGCTGTTCACCACAGCCAACATGCAGAACCAACCTCAAGCCCATCAGCAGAGGCACAGACAAAGAAAATGTGGAATACCTACTCAGTCTTAAAAAGTGAGAAATCCTAGCATTTGCAACAACATAGATGAGCCTGGAGGACATCATGCTAAGTGGAACAAGCCAGGCACAGAAAGACAGGTGCCGCGTGACCTCACTTACACGTGGAATCTGAAAGCACAGAACTCAGAAGCAGAGGGTAGAACAGTGGTCAACAGAGAGAGGGTTGGGGGGAACTGGGAGGATGTTGGCGGAAGGGTGCAGCATTTCAGTTAGACAAGAGGAGTAAGTGACGAGGTCTATGGTACCACGTGGTGGCCACAGTTAAATGGTTTGTTTACTTGAAAACTGCTAAGAGATGAGATCTTAAATGTTCTTAAAAGCACAAGGTGATGATAAGGATGTGAGGTGGCAAGATGTTAATTAGCTTTGTTGACTTATCTCACAACGTATACCTGTATCAAAACATCACGTTGTATACTATACACACAATTTATATCCGTGAATATAACTTAATAAAGCTAGAAAAAATATTTTTAAAGTAAAACAAGAAGCGTTTCTTCCATTAAAAAAAAAAGCATCAGGTAAAGAACTTTTAAAGACGACAATGGCCAAGTCCTTTCTCAGACAAATACATCAGGTGGGGCCTGGGCACTGGAATGTTTTTAAACTTTCCCCAAGTGATCCTGACTGACATAGAACCAGGGTCAAGACCTAATATTTGCACGAATGGGCTAAAAGGCCTCCCTGGAACCAATGCGTCCACCTTCCTCACGAGGTGCACTTCTGCACAAATCTTGTGACTCCAGGTCACCGTGTGCCTGCACCTGGCTGCTTCAGGTCCCTGGGCTCACCAGATGGCTACAGCAGTTCCTCCCTCTCCCTCCAGAGTCCTCCACCCACGTACCACCCCAAGAGGGGAAAGCCAGGCACGTGTTTGAGGGTCCTCTCAGCCAACCGTCACCAAATTCTCTCATTTCCTTCTTTCCAGAGCTTCTAACATCTGACCCTTCTCATTCTTACAATGGCCAACCCCCACCCCATGGCAAGACTGTAGAGGCAGCTCGCAAAGCACACCCTGTCCCTAAGCAGTGTGGAGGTTCCTCAAAACGAGGAAGCATCGCTTCACCATGGGATCCACCAATTCCACTTCTGGACATTTACCCAAATGAACCGAAAGCAGTGACGTGGAGAGAGAGCTGCACTCCGTGTTCACAGCAGTACCATTCACACTGGCCAAGGAGAAGCGACCCGGGGTCTGTCCACGGAGGAATGGAAACCAGTGTGGTCCATCCACAAAGTGCAGTGTGGCTCAGCCTTCAACAGAAAGGGCGTGTGACACATTGATACATGCAGTAACAAGAAGACATTACCCCATGTGAAATGAGCAGTCACAAAACAACAAATCCTGTGTGGTTCCACTTCTAGGAGGGCCCTGGAGGAGTCAGTTTCAGAGACAGAAAGCAGAATGGGGGTTCCAGGGCTGGGGAGGGGAAAGGGACTGAGTGTTTCATGGGGACAGAGTTTTACTTGCAGAAGAGGAAAAAGTTCTAGAGACAGAGGTGCTGACGGCTATACAGCAACATGAATGCATTTAATGCTGTTGAACTTACTTACAAAGGGCTAAGATGAAAAAATGCTTTCTGTCCCTACAATCCAGCCTTCACCAAGCCACCCATGTGACATTCTGCCTCCTTCGCCCCCCAGCCTCATCCCTCGATGCTCACTTGTGTGGCTGCAGAACAAACAAACTCTCAACCACGGAGTCCAGGGTCAGAATCCAGGCAAAGCTGGCCTCCCCAGAGTGACTCCTGCACTCTTGTTTCAGTTCTGTGCCCCCTGCTCCAGCCTCCAGGTTCTTCTCACTGTGCCTGAGCCCAAGCAGAACCACCCCAGGTACCTCCTGCTGCCCCAGAGAAGGCCCCTGGGGCACGTGGGCGCCGCTGCTATGGAGAAGAACTGGAATAGACACAACTATGACATTAACATTGTCCAGAGACAGTGCAAAGGCAGCTGAGCTACCTCCAAAGCCTCAAGAAAACAAACGTCAAATGAGTCCCGTGCATTTGGAAGCCTCCCCAGGCAGGCTGAGTAGTGAAGATTCATCGCGATGGAGTATTGCCAGACTGAGGTTTAAAAAAACAGATGCATAATTATTCAAACATGATAGCCACTGTTCCTTCCTAATGAGAAGTCGAAATACTTTCACTCGTCTATTTCCGAGTGAAGAAAGGCTGTGTAGAACGTCAGTTAGCAACAAATCTAGGACTCAGTTGCAGTGGATAATGGACGGTCATCCTTTAGAACTCTGCCCATTTCCATCATCTTATATTGAAAAGCAAACACTTTTTGGCTGTAGTTTTCTTTAACAAAAATCACAGCTTTATACAAAGTGGACTCCTTCAATTTTCGATATTATTCTTTAGGCAAATCAAACCAGCAATAGATGCATTGGCTAAAAGTCTGAAATACGTTTTTAAAAATGTACATTTAAATATAAATTGAACTTATGATCCGAGACCCAGCCCTGAGTGCTGTCACTGCAGACAGCTGTCAGTGGCTTGAGAAAGAGGCTGACAATCTTTTAGGTTAGAGAATAACCACAGACAGCAACAAACCTCTTTTAGGTTAGAGAATAACCACAGACAGAGCCACTGATGGGGCTTCCGTCTTCAGCTGTGGTTTGACGTTGATTTTATTCAACAGTTTGATGTCAGATGTATTCAACATTTCACATCTTTAACAGAAGCATTGGGCCTTGTTCTTGTAAGCATAGCTCCATGTCAAAAGACTGATGGCAAATATGGCACCAGCTTTGCTGTGCTGGTGGCAGCTCAGAAATGAAATTTCCACGTGATTTGAACCAGCATCGGGGAAAGTGTGTCGTGGCAGCCTCTCGCAGGGCCCTTGGAAGGAAGCGCACAGTCATACTCAGCATCCAGACCCCAGTGTGTGGGGCCAGCTGGAGAGATGAGCTGCTTCCTGCCAAGGAAGGTCTACATGAAAAATGCAAATGCGGGAACACCCTGCTTCCTGAGTTTGCTTAGAATATGTTTAGACACAGAGGAGCAAGGGAAGGAGGGGTCCTTCACCTCTGGAGACATGCATCGTTTATGTGAACGGCTGCCTCAGTTCCTGAGGGCCAGGAGCAGCCCTTCCTCACCTAGCACTTCCGTAATGCTTAAAAACTATTATTTTTGGAAAAAAGTGCCGCATTGTACTTAGTTCTTCTTAGCTCCCTTTCTAAACATGCTAACGTGTGTTTGTGGGACGGTCCGCATGATGGGAGGTGCCCGGAGCATGCCCGGTTCTGTCCGGGCCCCGCCAGAGCGGGGCTGACGTCTGTACTCTACCTAGATCCTCCTCTGCCGGCCCCGGAAAGCTGATGCCCGGCTGGACCAAGTCTCCAGCTTCTTCCTCTGCAAAGACAGAAACAAAGTCACTCTTTAATGCGTTTCTGGTGTAGACTGCAGTCATTCCCTGCACATCTTCAAAACCCTCCACACTCAACAGTTCAAACATGACAGACACCTTTGTATTTCTTCAAACGTCACCGCTCAGAGCCCAGCATTTTGTGCCAATAACCTCAGGAACAACCAGTGTTTTCTGTAAAGCAGCATTGTGACCACAGATGCACGTATTTCTCCCACCTAGACACGGACATAGGCAGTGAGTCCCAATGATTCTCAGCTTTAACTCTGGCCTAACTTCAAATTTATTAGGCCTTATTTGCATTGGAACAGACTTGAGTAAAATCAGTCCACTCTGATTTTCCCCGGTTCCTTCCAGCTGGGTGAGTCCCATGAGGGCCCTGCATCGCCCATGAGAAAGACTTTCCTTCCGGTCTAGAAAGCTTCATGCCATTCGAAGCCTCATTTTGCAATGTTCAAAGCCTGCATTTGTGATCTTAGTGCTTAATATTAGTTCATATTAGGTCCACTTTGACCAAAACGCTGATTTAATTTCCCTCTGTTGGGAGATCACCCAGGTCACTGGCATTGATTTTCCATTGTTCGATCTGTGCTAACACAAAAGCAGACATCACTTTCTTAGAATGACATCAGCATGTGGCTGTAAAAGGTCTTGGGGTCACTGAGCACTGTCTTCCCTCCATGTGTGGGGCAACAGGGAACTGGGGAGACAGACAAGCTTGTCACTTGATTTAACTGGTCCCTGAGGAGCTGGACTGAGCATCATCCCGTAGCTCTCCTCCCAGTGGGCTCTGCCCAGGAAACCAGGTGCCGACTCTCCAGGCTGCCTTGGTTTCTACCAGGCTGCAGAGGCAGTGCAGACACAGCTGGATCTCAGGGAGGCTCTGCCCAGGAAACCAGGTGCCGACTCTCCAGGCTGCCTTGGTTTCTACCAGGCTGCAGAGGCAGTGCAGACACAGCTGGATCTCAGGGAGGCTCTGCCCAGGAAACCAGGTGCCGACTCTCCAGGCTGCCTTGGTTTCTACCTGGCTGCAGAGGCAGTGCAGACACAGCTGGATCTCAGGGAGGCTCTGCCCAGGAAACCAGGTGCCGACTCTCCAGGCTGCCTTGGTTTCTACCTGGCTGCAGAGGCAGTGTAGACACAGCTGGATCTCAGGGAGGCTCTGCCCGACACCAGCCACAGTGAGTGGTGTGGGGAGTGGCCTGAGGAGGGGGGCAGGGAGCATCAGATAAGGGAGAATTTGGCACCACGTTACATGTGCATGTAAACATGTTATTTATGGGGTATCAGAATGATGACACATGTGCGTACACACATCTTTGTCACCATTTTGGCATATATGCCCCAAATATAAATATGATTGCATGTTCAGACTCTAGGCATGTATTCACACACATATGTGGGTTTCCAATATTCATGGACAGGCTTTGAGGCACATCTCACATTTGCCCCCACCCCCCCCACCCAAGTGTTAGATGCAGTTAGCCAGGCTGTAGTCTGCAAACGGATTTATTTCAGAGTATGATGCTGGAGCCACTTACACTGCAATCACCATCTCTGATTCAACAAATCGGCATCTGCCATTTTCAATAAGTTCGTAGAGGTTTGGGAAAGGAAGATGACAGATTTGGAATGTGAGATGCTGATGAAGAGGATACGGTCGCCTCTCAGGTAAATGTGAACTAAGATTTCATTTCATGGGATCTCCCAGTTACAGCTTTTTAAAAAACACACATGTATAAGAAATAGCTATCTGAATTAAGTTAAGTATCTTACAAGACAGCTCAAATGATTTAACATAACCCCATTTCTTCAAGGCTAACAGCACTTTTTGCATAGTTTAAGCTGCGTTTTTCAGCTAATGAAATACATCTGCCAAATGTCCACATTAAGTATAACATAAAACCACAGACTGGAATGGTCTCATTCATGTAGAAATATGATGGACAGCTCTAATTAACTACAGTTTCCATGGAGACCATCGTCATATGTGTGAGTAATGTGAGAACAGAGCGTCCAGCTGTGTGAGAAAGGAATTTGGGGATGAACTAAAACAATGGGCCCTTCAACCTCAGCCCTCCTTACACCAGACTTTCAGCACACATGCACACAGAGACAAGGCAGGGGCTCTCACGGGGCGGACTTGAAGGATGGGCCAACATCACCCAGTTGCAATGACAAGCATGAGCACTCCGCTAACAACACCAGCAGCAACAGGCATGGAGTTTAGCAAAGCCACGTGCTTCACACAGAGCACAAGCTTGGTATCGGAAGCCTGCGATTTGCTGGAGGAACACACCTAATTATCTTGAGAACAGCACTCCAAGAATGAGGAGTGGGGACGTTTGAAGGTCAGCCTTGAATTGCAGGAGTACAAACGCTTCCTTGCCTGATCTCCTCCCACCCGCCCTTACTGTTTATCAGATGAGAGAACAGGAGGTCTGGAAGCTGTGTGGCTCAGGTGACACCGTTCAAAGTTAACAATCCAGCATGGGCTGAGGGTACATGCATGGAAGGTTTCCGAGTGCGGTGTGGCCTTCTAGCTGGGAGAGCTTAATGCAGCATGTGTGTCAGTATAACTGTGGGTACCATCCTTCCTTATCTAACGAGGCTTTGTATTTTCAGCCTACATTTTGTACAGGGCAGCACCCCCTTCTTGGAGGTTCTCTTCCTGTGGCTTCAGTCACTGAGGTATGAAATAAGCTGCTTTGAGAGAGAAACAGAGACCACATTCACATACGTTTTATTAAAGTAGATTGTTATAAATGCCGATTTCATTACAGTTATTCAGGTTACTCTCTTACTGTGCTTAACGTATGTGCTGAGCTTTATCACGGCTGCACAGACACAGTGAGCTCTGCACTCTGGCTTTCTTCTGCTCTTGCCCAAATTCCCATCCAAGGGGCCTGGGGAGTCATGCCCTACAAACCACGGAGTCTCATTAGAGGGGTTTTCTTTACCCTACATAACATGGCTCACTTTCCAACCTGACTCGGGCACATCACGTGACAGATAAAGAACAAAATAAAAATATTTCCATCCCGAATGTGTAATTTTTTTTTTTTATTTATTTTGCCGTATCTTGAAATAGTGCAGGAAAATCTGCATTCTGAAGAGAATTCCCTTCTTTTTCCTTCCTTTTCCCAGATCCAGGAGAGAATTGACTCTGATAAGAAACACTTACCATCCATCCTCTTTGCAGCCTGCTGCCTGGAGGCTTCCTCTGCACGGTGGGAACTGCATCTCCACAACCCCTTATCTTCACCCAGACATCGCTTTCTATGAATTCTAGGTCTTCAGACAATAATTTAACTCTTTCAACCAATGGCCAATCGGAAAATGTTTGACTCCATAATGACTTGGGAGGCCTCACTTCCAGTTGTCCTGCCTTTCCAGACCCAACCAAGGTACATCTACAGGTAGTGACCAATGGCTTATGTCTCCCTAAAGTGTATAAAACCAAAAGCTGTATCTTGACCACACTGGACACATGTTCTCAGGATCTCCTGAGGGCTGTGCCACGGGCTGTGGGTCATTCATCTTTGGCTCAGAATAAACCCCTTCAAAATACTTTACAGAGTTCAACTCTTTTTGTCGACAATAGGAAAAATCTACCTACAAGTGTTGGTACTGGCTGAGGTTTCAGGCATCTGCTAGGGGTCTTGGAACATGTCCCCGTGGACAGCGGGGACTACCGTACTTCTACCACGTTCCCACCCCCAGTTCAGAACCCTCATTAGGCAAGAACCCTGTTCGCCTGGACAGGCCATAGGTAGAGCCATGTTCTTCCTTACATCTTCCGCATCTGGGACAGCATGGGAGAAATGCTAATTACCATCTCAGCGACCTCAGAAATGCCCTTATCTATGCTTAAAGAGACAAGGAAATCCTCCTTCTTCTGGTAGATCTCTCTCTCCTGGCCTCCTCGTATAAGGGAGGAGAACCATTTGCTCCACCAGTCATTGGAAAGATGGGCCGCCTGGCCTAGGAAGCCAACGTTGGCTGCTGTCATACAACTACAGCTCTCTCTGCGCTCTGAGACGTTCTGAAATCACGTGACCGTAAGCTTCCTCCACCTAGCCTCTTTACTTCCCATGGTCCAAACTGAATACCTCCCAGGGAGAGGCTGGACGCTATCCCATCCCATGTGTGAGGCTGATCGGTGCTGTGAAACTGACAGCGCCGACCTCTGACCTCACATTTCCATCGCCAAAACAAAACGTGCCTTTGACTGAGAAGTCTTGGGAATCATCCATTCACGCGTGGGAATGCACATCTGTCTTCACTGGAGAAACAGTCTTTCACCGCGGCAACTCCGGGTGGGGCTTCCTCACTCAGACCCCTTGCTTAGGGTCCCTCTGGCAGAACGTACTTTAGGAGTCACCTTTCTCATCTGCTGGAGCTTGATGAAGGCAGTGCTCCATAACGTGTGACCTGGAGACCCCGTAAACCATATTCCATAACGTGTGACTGGAGACCATGTAAACCATACTCCACAATGTGTGACTGGAGACCCCGTAAACCATCTTGGGGGAGCTGTAGCAAGGTCGTCTGGCTATTCTGTGCCCTGGTGCTTCCTTGGAGTCAACACCCAACCCTCCTCCAGCAACGCACACCTCTGGGCACAGCAGCGAACGTGCGGATGGCGTGTGCGGTGCCTCGGGTGCCGCCTGGAGAGCGTGGACCTGTCCCGAGTGAACACACAACACAGGCGCACTTTCTAACATCTCTGATCACCCATGAGCTTCAGAGAAATGGCTGTCCTGCTCCCCTGTGGCCCAGAGGGGTCTGGGTGGATCTGAGAGGGTCTGTGATGGCCCTTAATCAAACATAGGGCGCCGTGATCACTGTGCTGGGTGCGCCACGTTTGCCTTCCTTTGCTCAGTGATGAGTCGTCTCAATGTCACAAGCTGCTCACACTTCCTGGAAGGGAGACTCGGGCAGTGCGCCTTGAGAAGGGAAGGAAGCAGGATGCTTCCCAGAACCGGTCCTCAGAGGCCCGGGCCCAGGTGGCTGCATCATCAACACCTTCCAGAAAGTGAGGAAATCAGCACCAGAGAGGCAGAGCGCATACTCAGAGGACAGAGGCGCAGACAGACCTGCAGGTTCCGGCCCCCATGCACTCCTCTCGGCGCCCCCACGAGGCCCTGTGATGCTTCCACCGACACCGCAATGTCTCATGTAGAGATTCTGCACTGACCTGCAACAGGGCTCTCCTGAGTGATGATGGAGGGAGGCAGAACACTCTGCCAATGAAGAGGCAGAAGAGAGGAAAGAAATGATTGTGGGCAGGTGAGTGACCGATGGACCATATAGCCCTAGGGTAGACTTACTTGCAAGAAGAAACCTGACTTTCAGGGAAGCCAGTGGGTGTTTTACATTCTCTATGTATCAGGCAGGCTTGTGTTTCTGGGCACTCGAAGGAGAACCGTGCCGGGGGCCCCACGTCACTGCCTGGGAATACTCACAGTCTTGTTTCATCCATCAGCCACACCTGGGCCAATCCTTGGCTGTCAGAGGCTCTCGGGACAGGCTGGGCGCCGGCACCCAGTGGCCGCAGGGGCTGTCGTGTGCTTTGCAGATGGACACGCGCTATTTAACATAGAGATGCGCTGAGTCCGGGTGATTAGTGAATCGCACGTCATCGCAGACACTAGAAAGCGAAAGCATACGGGGGAAGGCCCCGGGCACAGACCCAGCACGGCCACCACTCGAGCTGGAGCTGCCTGCGAGACGATGAGCGTCTGCAATCTGCATCCTGCGAGGCAAAGATGTCCACGTCAGCACAACCACAGATCAAAGCCAGGGTCCTCCAGGAAGAGGCTTCCCAGTAGGTGCAGAGGCAAACGTTTCAATCACCACTGTGACCCGAGCACACTGTGGTCTCAGCACACCGACCTCGCCGGGCCAGCGCAGTCCTGGCTCACCCACCACATTCTGACCCCTCATGATGGCGGCCCCTCAGCAGCGCCACTCTTGGCCTCGGCTGCCCTGGCCGGCTCAGTCTCCGGCTCAGAGCAGCACAGCAGAAGGGGAAGAGAAAGGGCCCTGGGGTGTGTGGCCGGGTAACACGGGACAGTAAACGTCCTCGGCTGCCTCTCCTTGTCCTGGAAGTGGAGACAATGCTTCCCCCACAGCTGCCGGGCATCTGAGCCAGCCCTGGCACGCTGGCACTGGCTGTCTGGTGTCGCTTCTCCTGCAATGGGAAGGCCACAGGTTCAGACCCAGCACGGCCACCACACGAGCAGGCAACTTGCCTGGAAGACGACACGATGAACCCACAGGACTCCATTGACCTTGACGCTGGCCCCCGTCTGATCTTGGCAGGGAAGGGAGGGCACCAAGACCGCCAGGGGCTGAGCTGCCACCTGGTGTCGGTCCTGGCAATGCCTCATTATGGAGAATTGATGAAGAAAAATGGCACGTATGAGGATTTAAAGGTACATTTGCCAACAGGCATATCTCGGGACCTCACTCTAACACCCTACCACTCTGTCATTACGCCAGGAGTGATCATCTCTAGTTCTGTGGATGCAGAAATTGAGGCCTGGGGAAGTTAAGTTTGTTCTCTGCCGCCACAGAAGAGTTAGATCTCCGTGAAGCTGAGCCTCAACCCCGTGGCTGGAGCTCTGTGTGCTCTGTGGTGTGGTGGTGTCTGTTTGGGGGAGGCTGCATTGAGTGGCACCTCGTTTCTTTTCTTTTCTTTCCTTTTTTTTTTAGATGGAGTCTGGGTCTGTTGCCCAGGCTGGAGTGCAATGGCACAATCTCAGCTCACTGTAACCTCCACCTCCCGGGATCAAGCAATTCTCCTGCCTCAGACGCCCAATAGGTGAGACTACAGGCGCCTGACACCACGCTCGGCTAATTTTTGTATTTTTAGTAGAGACGGGGTTTCATCATGTTGGCCAGGCTTGTCTCAAACTCCTGACCTCGTGATCCACCCACCTTGGCCTCCCAAAGTGCTGGGATTAAGGCGTGAGGCACCGCACCTGCCCAAGTGGCCCCTCATTTCTTAAAGACCTGCCCCGTGAATGCCAACTGCAAGGTTTGGGAAGAAAGAGGAGGAAATGCACACTTTAAATTGACAGGTTTTTAAACTCAAAGCACAATTGCGTCTTCTCAGGGGGAAGTTGTCTCCAAATCATGCTAATGCGGAAGCAAAAGGAAGCAGTTAAGCCTTCAAAGTATTAGAAGGAAAAACCAGGTTCACACATGAGAAGGGAAATTGCTCATAAGAAAAGACTGGATTTCTTGATGGAAAAGGAAACAATAGTATTATCACCTCATAAACACCAAGAGAAGGACATGACCCACTTTCGTCCACTGTGTGTGGGCCCTGCAGCCTTTCCTGCCCTGCAGAGTGTTTGTTATGTGTTTATGGGTTCATCCTACTGCCCCCCCGCGATGCAGAATGGGAGGGCAGGGGCCCTGCGTCCTCCTGGCATGGCAGGCCAGCCCCTCCGTGGTCAGGAGATACAACACGTTCCCACCAGTCTTGTGAGTCCACACTGCACTTTTTATAGTACAGGCCTTTTTCGAAATGAAATGGACACAAAACCCCAAACCATAAAACAGATGCTGTCAGCACTGCCTAGGAAGAATCAGGGTAAGAAGCAGGGTCGTGCCGCGTCCACCCCTTCCGCATCTACCCCTGACGTGCCCACCGCCCGCCCCAGCTTCTCTACAGGAGCCAGCCGCTGCCCAGGGAGATGGCAGCAGGCAGTGGGCTTGCTTCCCTTCCATTTCTGAAAAGCACACTTACTTCTTTTCATTGCCGATAGGACGTTTTCCTAGCTGATGGACACCTTTGCTTACAGGAGGATTAGAATGTGAAGCCTTCACCATTAAACCAACGTTCAGAATCTGGGAAACTTCACCAGGACCCTCGCGGCTCCCACACACGTTCAGGTGTGTCTCTGGGTCTTCCCTGGGGTCCGTCCCTCTAACTGTCCCATTCCGTTGCTTCATTCTCATCCAGGGATGCACTGGGCTCGCAGAGGCGTGTCTGAAAGCCAGGGAGATGGAGGCAGCGGTCTATGCGCTCGGTCCACAGAGGCACGTCTCAGAGCTGCGGAGATGGAGGCAGATGTCTACACGCTGGGTCCACAGAGGCGTGTCTGAAAGCCACGGAGATGGAGGCAGCCGTCTGTGCCCTCCGTCCACAGAGGCGTGTCTCAGAGCTGCGGAGATGAAAGCAGCCCTCTATGCGCTCCATCCATGGAGGCGCGTCTCAGAGCTGCGGAGATGAAGGCAGCCATCTGGGTTCCTAGGGCACTGCCTCTTCTCCCCGAGTTCTTGCTACACGGATCCGCCTGGTTCTACCTGCACAGCTTGAGCTCGTTGTCACCTTGTGCCCTGCCCAGATCCTCCTGGACTTCCCTTGAGGCTGAATCTCTGTGCAGCCTGCCCCTGAGATCCTGGCATTTTCTCTCGCCTGGGTGAGAACTCGGTTTCCATCCTCCCCAAGGAATGCTACCTGTTCCCTATGCGTAGGTGGGATGGCAGTGGAGGGTGGAGGGCGGGTTGACATGTACCTCTGAAGATGTGTGGAAAGGTGTGGAGGTGCCTGTCTTTCAGTTCTTCCTGTTTTTCTCCGGCCTACTGTCCCGCAGCTCTCCGTGGTCGTACACAGCCCTTCTCCTTATTGGCCTCCCATGGGTAGCACACAGGTCTTCACGCAAAATCGGCTGCGTCGCCATGAGCATGGAGCCGGGGAAGGTGCCTGGTTGGAAGTCAGGGAGGCGGGGGGTCCATCCCGGCCCCTCTGCCTCCAGCTGTGAGGAGGGGTCAGGTCACGTGCTCCACGGCACCTCTTCGTGGGGGGAGGGGACAGGCGTGGGCCTCGGCTCTTGGAGTCACCGCGCAGGCGCAGTGACAATGTTTGCGGAGCGAAGCGCGGTCCCCATCGGGTGTCGCCCACAGGAGCTGCTTCCGGAACGCACAGGGAACGCTCAGCAGAAGCAGCCCTCTGAGAGTCAGTGCAGAGTTCAGCCATCTGAGCTTGCCCCATTTCTAGATTCTTCTAACTCTTGAAAAGTTTACTTTTACAGAAAGCACGCTCGAGCCTACATTTGAGCCGCTTCCCTAATGACAGGATTTGAAGGCTGTTTAAATTAGGGATTCATTTCTGCTCCGTTAGGACAATGACATTGATTGGTTTTAATGCTGGCTTCCTCCTCCATTTCACTCGCAGCTGTGCACCAGCCGCGCTCAGCCACTGCCGTAATGATTACTAATGGCTTTTCTTTGAAAACCATAGAAATGATCGTAATTTTATTTTGGACCGAGGATCAAGTCTCCACAGAAGCTGCCCCTAAAGTCTGCAGAATTTTTACCAGTGGTTAAATGTCACTTAAATCAGGCCAAGAGAAAGTCTCAAAGTCACTAATGAAGCAACCCCACTCAACTAAGAATGACAATCAGTGCCTCTGTCAGAACAGATGGCTGCAAAGGCGCACGACAGCGGAGCCCGGCTCCAGTCACCAGGTGCGCTCGTCACCCCCTCGCGTCCCGCTCCGGAGCTCTGCAGGCCTTACCAGCTTAAACACCACCATGCCTTCCGATAAACTACGACATCATCTTCCGAAGGAATTCAGTTATGACTAACAGCAACGTACACTTAACTTTGCATTTTTTCTGGACTCGGAAAAAAAATTAAAAAGTGCTGAAGTAGAAAGGCACACTATTTCTTATTTAAATATCTGCTAACTTCAAGAGGAAATCGTATCTGCCTGTGGTGAAACTTGAACATTGTTCGCATGAAAAGTGACACCTACTTATATTTTCTACAACCTGTTTCAGATCTAAATTCCAAATACATGCGGCGTTAGGTCCCCTGCACTACCATCTATACTTAATAAAGTTTTATACTAAAGACACCTTAAAGATATGTCCACCATGCTTACCCAGGAAACACTACTTTAAAGACAGAGTGAAGGGCATTTTACAAAGCTTAGAAAAATGTGGCCTTCAAATCTCAGGCTATTGCTCCTCGTGCTCACTTTCTGAAACAGCCTCTGAGATCAGGGGGAGCAGCCGGAAGCCTCCGGGATCGGGGGAGCAGCCTGAAGCCTCCGAGGTCAGGGGGAGCGGCCCGAAGCCTCCGGGGTCAGGGGGAGCGGCCCGAAGCCTCTGGGGTCAGGGGGAGCGGCCCGAAGCCTCCGGGGTCAGGAGCAGCGGCCTGAAAGCAGCCTTACTGTTTCTCTTGCTCACAGCATCGGCAGTTCCTGGGCAGGGCTGCCAGGCAACCTGGGACGCCAGTTACATGTGAATTTCAGACAAACAGCGAGCATTTTTGTCACATATTTCATGCAACATCAAATGTTTTTGTGAAATGCAAACCTAACTGGGCGTCCTGGATTTTTTTTTTTTTCTTTTGCTCTGTTCATGAAAAGTGATTTTATTTTTGGGTTTTTTTTTTTTTTTTTTTTTTGGTTTCCAGTTTCTTTATTTTTATTTATTTTATTTTTTTAAATTTTATTATTATTATACTTTAAGTTTTAGGGTACATATGCACAATGTGCAGGTTTGTTACATATGTATACATGTGCCATGTTGGTGTGCTGCACCCATTAACTCGTCATTTAGCATTAGGTATATCTCCCATTGCTATCCCTCCCCCGTCCCCCCACCCCACAACCGTCCCCGGTGTGTGATGTTCCCCTTCCTGTGTCCATGTGTTCTCAATTTCATTGGCTAAATCTTGCCTCCCTAACCCTGGGGACCTTTTAGGAGGACACAGGCCTCATGCCCCAGCCCAGAGATTCTGCTCATTTGTTCTGGTGTGGGGCCCAGGTCAGTTCATTTGACAGTGCCACAGGTGAATCAATCCACAGCCAGGGCTGAGGCCACCAATAAGGGAGGAAGAACAAAAGTGATTAACCGAGGGCCCATTTCACCTTTACCTACTGAGCCGACTGTGGCCCAGGGCTGCGCCACCTCTGTGGACCTCTCTGGAATCACTGTCTTTCCACACGAACACAGAACAGGACTCTCCCATCACCCTCTCTCAGTGTCTTTGTCACACAACATGCTTTCTGGATAGAACTTTTTCAGGCATTTTAACATAAAAAAATATTCACTTTGAAACGCTCTTAACTTCTTTAGCTGACGTATTGTCTGAATTTTCTGCACCTGATGGATGCCTGAGATTGGCTTCTGTTCCTTCTCCACAGGCGCCTTTTCAACCCCGCACGTAAGGTGCTTCGATGTGGCAGGAGCAATCACAGCTCTAATTATTGCTGACACTTGTTCTGGGTATTGTGCAAATGACTTCAGGGTAAGTTGTGATGCCCATTTATTTTACTTCAAAAAAATTGAAGCCGGGCGCAGTGGCTCATGCCTGTAATCTCAGCACTTTGGGAGGCTGAGGCAGGTGGATCACAAGGTCAGGAGTTCAAGACCAGCCTGGCCAACATAGTGAAACCCTGTCTACTAAAAATGCAAAAAAAATAGCCGGGTGCGGTGGCAGGTGCCTGTAATCCCAGCTACTCGGGAGGCTGAGGCAGGAGAACTGCTTGAACCTGAGAGGTGGAGGTTGCAGTGAGCCAAGATTGTGCCACTGCACTCCAGCCTGGGAGACAGAGTGAGACTCCATCTTAAAAAAAAAAATTGATATGCCTTAATCTTGGAATGCCCAATTAAAGCAGAATGCTTAAGTAAATTATGGTGCAATTATCATGTAGAATGTTAGAAAGCTTCTAAGTGTTATTGAAATTCCCATCGTAACGTTACGTGAGAATTGGTATACTCAAACTCGATGCGGTTTGTGATCTGAGTTTGCTTTGGAAAATGTCTGCTGGCAATTAACCAAGATGCTCACAGCGATGGGCTCTGATGAGCGGAATTATGGCCGTGTTTTATTTTCTCTTTAAATTTTTTGTGCTTTCCAAATTTTCTCCCACCAACCTGTATGCCTAAGTATAAAACATTATAAAAAGTACTTGGCATCCAACAGTCTTCGGTAAAGACAGTATCTGAATTGTCTTCCTTTTTGGAATGAGATGGCCTGGAATGAAAAGGGTGGTGGTAAAGACGTACAGCTTCCTTCCTTCTTCCTCTAACGTGGGTCAGCCCCGAGTGACTGCTGTTCCCTCACACAGATAATGGCACCACTGCGATCTAGAAAGACACCCACAGAACAACAGTCCCTCGCTCATCCACTCCGCCAGTCACCGGTGCCATCCACGCATGGTGCCTCTTGCAGGAGACTCACAGACAGTGAGGAAGACATGCTGCCCTCAGAGCTGACGGTCCCATTTTTTCCACGAACTCCAACTCCACGCATCAGAAGCACACTAGTCGCATTCTCGAGCAGCTCAAACTTCAGCATGGAATGTTGTTTCCCAGGCTTTTACAGTCCACAGGTAACACAGAGGAGGACATATTTTCTTGGGCATCTAGAAAAGCAACTCTGGAGGAAGAATCTGAACAGGGTGACACCTTGCTTCCTTAAAGAAGTTGGACCATGTGCAGAAGGTAACAGTGCGGATTATTTAAGCTGAATGCGAGTTGAGTCTGTGGGGTTCTATCCAGTGTCTTCCTGTAATCAGTTTCTGAAAAAAGATCTGAAATGGTAGCTGTGGGGATGACATGCCTGCATTTGCTTACCCACCCTGAATCCAGGTCCCCTTTGATGCCCCCTGCATGCCCCACTATCTGCAGGACAAGAGTCAGCCTGGGGTGATCTCTGGACATCATAGTCACTGACTGCAGCTGCCTGAGAGGAGGGAACACACAGCATCTGAATGCAGAAGATAAAACGTCGTCATGCCCATCGTGCAGAGGAGGAGCTTTGGAGATGTTGTAGAATTAAAATCCCACAACTACTCCGTGGCAGCATGGATGAGAACCTGCATCCTCAATTTCTCTCTGGCTCCAAACCCCTGTTTTCTCCTGTGTGGCGTGTCAGCATTTACTGCTCACCTCTTGGCCTGGGCAGCTGCAGCCCACCTCGGGCTACCTGTGGAGCTGCTTAGGACCAGGCTTTGCAAAAATAAAGGGAAGATGAAACGTGGGCCAGGCACCGTTCTGACTGGCCTCTCAATGCCTCTTTTGGGTGCTCAACTGCCCATTCCCAATTCTCTTTCTCTTTAAGCCACTCCTTTTCTGGCATCAAAATCTGAGCTTGGAAAAGAGACCTGCCAAGCTCACCAAGACTGAGTACGAGTGGATTCCAGTGGCCTCCATGGAAGAGCCACCCCGCTGCGTCCTCCTGCTGTGGCCAAATCCCAGACGGGCGTCTGTGTTTGGGAGATGAGGCCTCTCTGTGAACTGCCGGGTGGGAGTTTGCAGGGGGGTGGAGGACTGTGTGGAGGACAGTGTGGGGAGGACTGTGTGGAAGAAGGACTCCCAGCCTCCCACCTGGCTGTTCAACGGAGGCTCTGCCCTGAGTGGGCTTGTCAAGAAATCCTGAAGAATATGCCACAGCTTGAAACTGCTGAGGAACTCAACACCTCTGCCCTCCTCATCGAAGACTCAGCGATGATGGAAACTCCTTTCAAAGCGATCATTTCAACAATGATTTCCACAGGTATGATTTCACCTCACAGTGAATGTCCCGGGAAAGATGTTTAGAGGGATAATCTGAGGACGTGGCAGAGCAGCTCCAGCAACTGTGGTGACCGCTGTCCTCCCAGTTATGGGTAAAGGGGCCACCACGTACCTGCTGGCAGGTAGTGAGGACGTGAAGCTTCACCGACTACTCGTACTCGACCAGCCCTTGAGGATGAGGACCTGAGAATCGGTGCTGTGTGGTGCATGCTTGGGACGCAGCAGTGCACAGGTGGGACCTGGCCTGCGGGCTCATAGCCAGGCAGGAGAATCACATATGAACAGACGATTCCTACACCATGAAATCAGTTCAGTCACAGACACATGTACAGGGAGAGTGACTCGTGTTATCTGGGTTAGACGGACAACCTCACAGGGCAAACCAGCTTACAAAGCACATCCTTCACTTCAGTAGCACTGTTTTAAACCTGCATTCAGTTGTCCTACAGAATGGAATCAACTCAATCAATTACAGGTAGAATTTATTACATAAATCTATATACCAGAATATTTCATAGCCAATATACTATTTTTATTCTCATTTTCTAAATGAAAGCAACTTCAAAAATCTGATTTGTGGTTGGTTGTTTTCTTCCCTGAATCTCTGTAATACCCACTTTCAGTACTACTTAGCCATAGAACTGAATTTTGATCTATATCCCCAGGCCTAGCCATTATTCATTTATTCCACTCTGGGTATTAATAACAGTGAATGGCATTTGTTAAAAAATGACAGATGAAACTGGTTTCCTATTATTCACGGACCAATCATGCCTAAGGCATCATTCTTCTTGTTTTAAATACATCACATGTCAAGTTTACTCGCAGAAAACCAAATAAGTACAAGGTTTTAGCACAGCACTTACATTGCAATTCATTTTTAAAGCCTCGGATTCTAGATCGATTGTGCTTTAACAGGTTACAGAGCTCCTGACCTGAAACTTCACCAAGAAATGACTGTGCCAGGCTGTGGCAGCTTGGCGGGCCCCAATATTGTTTCAACCTCCCCACGTGGCTGGTCTCCCTGGGTTGCCCAGCAGTATCGGGAACGTGGAGACAAACGTTCCAGGCAGAGGCTGTTCCAGTTTTCCCATCTGTTGGTGCTTCTTGAGATTAGCAGCTGCATAAATGCATGTGTTTTACTACTTGTTTGTGACTCAAATGCATGATTCTCATGTTGCCAGCTCCACTGGCAGTATATTTGCCTTCAGCAATTTATGTTTTCTGTAATGAAAAACCCTGGCAATTTCATCCCATTTGGCATGAAACGCTAAGATATTATTTAGAGTTGGAAGAGCAAGAGGAGACAAATGCAGTTCTGTTAAAGTGTTGTGGCTCTCTGCAAGGCTCAGGAGCCGCCGCCGCATCTCCGCTGATGCTGAACTGTTCCTAAGGAAACCGAGAAATTCCCCCTTTGATTGGAATGTGCTCAGCAGACAGCCTTCCATAGGGGGTCTTTCCCCTCTCCAAGGCAAACTACTTTCAGAGCCTGTGGAACATGACAGGCTTCGCACGTGCCACCACATGGCAGTCCTTTATAAACAACACAGATCCAGAGAGGACACAGCCCTAACAGCCTCCAGGAGCCGAGATTTCACATTCTTCTGAACAGACTTCCGGCCCCACCTGTCTTGGCTGCCTTTTGCAAATGCTCTTTGAACACGCAGACTGCACAGCTTTCCATCTGCCGTAATATGCAGGCTTGACTTGCTCAAGTCCAGGCTCTGGCTCTTATGATCTGGGGCAAGTAATGAAAGCCTTGGTTTCCTTATCTGTAGGATGGTCATCATGCTGTTTGTGCCAAGGGTGGTTCTGAAGATGAGGTGAGAAACATGTCCATGCAGCATCTTGGCAGAGCACGGGACGCGAGCAGAGATCTTGAAGACCATGCTGATGACTGATCTTCCTTTTTAAAATTATTATAATTTTTTGAGATGGAGTCTCTTTCTGTCACCCAGGCTGGAGTGCAGTGGCGCGATCTCGGCTCACTGCAGCCTCCACCTCCGGGGTTCAAGCGATCCTCCTGCCTCAGCCTCCTCCTGAGTAGCTGGGACGACAGGTGCCAACCACCACACCCAGCTAATTTTTGTATTTTAGTAGAGATGGGGTTTCGCCATGTTGGCCAGGCTGTTCTCAAACTCCTAACTTCAAGTGATCCATCTGCCTCAGCCTCCCAAAGTGCTGGGATTACAAGCATGAGCCACCATGCTCAGCCTGATGACTGACCTTCTATGACCTCCCTGGGCCCTTTCAAAGGTTCCCTTTTCCTCCCTCTGTCAAGTAGGGGCAGCGCTTCAGACCACACCTGTCTTCCCACAGTGGGAGCTGGGAGGGGGAACTGAAGCGTTCTCCTTCAGTGAACCAAGAACGGGGATAAACCAGCGTCGCCATCTTCACATGGACGCAATGTGGGACACACGGCCTCTCCAAATTTCCTTAACCGCGTCTGCTATAAAAATCTGCATCCAGCGAGTCCATTACTTACATACATGCTTTCCCTGCTTCCTTTCTTATGTGAAGCCTCATGGCACTTGTGCCTCTCAACTGGTTTTCCTTGAATCCTGCATCTGCATGAACGCTCTTAAAAACATTTTCTGCATTTGAATCATAGATAAGTCCTGCCTATGCTCTAGGTGGAAAAATGATATGAAAAAATCTGCAATTCATTAGCTGCATTTTACAGCGTAGAGTGGGTCTGGCTAATCAACCTAATCAAAATTATACAAAAAAAGCGTATCATAATTATCTGGCAAGATGAGAGGAAAGGAAGATAAAAATAATTTTATGGAAAATGACAGGGCAGCTGCATTAACATCGTCCCAATTTCCAAGCTTGTTTCTGAAACTTCCTGTCAAGGCATATTTGTAAGTGTCCACATCATTCTCTATAGTTCTTTAAGAGAGGCCGTGGCAATGCCTGATGGTAATGTAAAATTTTCATCCTCATTGCAGTTATTATTAGCGGAATTTAAGATAATGCCTTCTTATTGACATTGCAGCCACTGTGGCAAAATGAAGGTCCTAGGGGGCAGACAGCAAAGGAGACGGCAGAGCAGGAAGGGGAGGGGGCTGAAAGGCTGAGAGACCAGGTCTGCTCTCTGCTGCCAGGAAATATTGTGATACAGCCGATGACTCAGGGTGGGAGGACATGAAGCCATCTCAGAAGCCACAGAAGGCTCTGCTGCCACCTCTGTCCCTCAGATATGATGCCCAACTATGGTTGGTTTAATTTTTCATGGATCTCCCATAAGAGTTTACGGACTAACAACATGAATATCTTTCTATCAAATGCCTCAGCCACTTTCACCAGAAATTCCTGTCCAGCTTGTAAGTTGGGTCTGAATTGGTTTTACCCTGATGACTCTGAATCAGCGTGAACCTCCTTCGAGTGTCTGGATGGCTGTTCTGGGCTCTCACCAAAGGCCTCAGCCGTCGTGATCAAAACATCACAGACCATGGAGGACCCTGGGTCGGCGGGCACCGCTCTGGGGCAGAGCCGTCCAGTCGCAGGCCTAAGCCAGAAGGTTTCCAATTTCCCTTTTTCTTTTGAAGTGTCCCTGCGCAATGAGGATCTAAGGAACTCATGTCCGTGTCTTAAAATAATCATGGATGTTTTCTTTTTTAAATCAGAAATGATGAATTCTGGAAATCAAGGCCATTGACTCTGTTGGACCAGGCAGTGATACGGGTCTGACTGCTGACAAGAAGCCCTGCAAAGCTGAGAGCTGTGGCTGAGCCAGCTCACTGTTCATTCAGAAGCTCATGGAGCTCAGAGCCCAGGAGGCTGTGGCCTTGGCACCTGGAGGGCCTGCCCTGGCTGCTCTCTGGCACCTCACCAGCTCCTCAGCCCACGCTGGCTCCCAGGAAGGAAGCCGGCTTTGTCTTTCTTCCTTCCAGCTGCCTCCACATGGACTGCTGTGGTCCTCTTCCTAGAACAGTGTTTGAAATGGGGCAAAACATCCCAGTTTCCATATCACGCTAAACCCATGGGCAAGAACACTGTTGCCCACCTTTTTAAGACTCTTTTTAAAAGGAGTTTCATTCTCATTACTATATTGTGTTGCTATGTTTGCAACTAACAGGCACTAATCAATGAACAATTGTGAGCAAACCACAGCTCCCAGACCCTTACAAAAGCCCTGTGGTCTGTGGCTGCTCCTGGCAGCCCTGCCTGCCTCCCTGGTCCCCATGTCCTGCACATGCCTCCCTGGTCCCCACATTCTGCACCTGCCTTCCTGGTCCCCACGTCCTGCACCTGCCTCCCTGGTCCCCACCTCCTGCACCTGCCTCCCTGGTCCCCACCTCCTGCACCTGCCTCCCTGCTCTGTGTAGACGCCCTCAGGTCCTGCTCCCTGAGCCTCCTGCACAGCAGTTCAGCCTTCCCTTGTCCTCACGTTCTGCGCCTGCCTCCCTGCTCTGTGTAGACGCCCTCAGGTCCTGCTTCCTGAGCCTCCTGCACAGCAGTTCAGCCTTCCCTTGTCCTCACGTTCTGCGCCTGCCTCCCTGCTCTGTGTAGACGCCCTCAGGTCCTGCTTCCTGAGCCTCCTGCACAGCAGTTCAGCCTTCCCTTGTCCTCACGTTCTGCGCCTGCCTCCCTGCTCTGTGTAGACGCCCTCAGGTCCTGCTCCCTGAGCCTCCTGCACAGCAGTTCAGCCTTCCCTTGTCCTCACGTTCTGCGCCTGCCTCCCTGCTCTGTGTAGACGCCCTCAGGTCCTGCTTCCTGAGCCTCTTGCACAGCAGTTCAGCCTTCCCTTGTCCTCACGTTCTGCGCCTGCCTCCCTGCCCTGTGGAGACGCCCTCAGGTCCTGCTCCCTGAGCCTCTTACACAGCAGTTCAGCTTCTGGGTCCGTCAAGCCAACAGCAGGTGTGCTCATCTCCACGTGGCGCCTGGAGACTCTGGAAACACACCGCGGCCTCACGCACGTCCAGCCCAGTCTCTGCCCGCCACGCTCACTTCCTCACGCGTGGGGCAGAGTCTAGAGGGACGCATTTTAAAGCCTGGGCTGGGTCACTTCCTCATGAAAACCTTCTGAGTTTCCCCACAAAGTACGGACTCCCTGGACCCCTCAGGGCCTCTCATCAGCCACAGATCACTCCCTGCAAACGCCCAGCAGCAGCTCGGTGCACCGCTGCCCTTCCTGCCGGCACCGAGCGTGGTTTATCTCCCAGGCTGCCGCGGGGCTCCCTTGCGCCTCTCCGGCCGCGCGCGCCGGAGGCTCACTCAAGCCAGCTCCAAGGAGGAGGCAGTGCCGGAGGGAAGAACAGGTGCGCCAGGGCCCGAGCACGGGACGTGAGGATGGCCGGGCTGTGGGAGGGCTAAATGCTCCAAGACCATCCGCCCTCTTCTCCTGGGTCCCTGTCGTCGCTCGTGTCTTTGCTTCTTTCTCTCTTTGTCATCTCTTCCTGCGTCTCCCTCCTCTTCTGGTCCAGCCTGATGCCCCGAACGAGGGTCCCACGCCCATCCCCACATCCACCCACGGCTGCCTGCAGCTCCTACTCTGTGTTTGGGGCGGGGAGACGCCGAGGGCTACAGCTGTGGAAGGAAGCGCATCCCAGGTCAGGTGAGGCTGGCCGGGGCGGCCGTGGGAACCACCGCGCAGGGACTCCCGGAAACCGTGGGGAGGGGGCGGGAGAAGCCAGCCGAGCAAGCCGCCCACCCCGTGGCCCACGAGAGCGAGCCATGCCAGTGAGCTGGGCTTGTTGAGCCTTTTTTGTTAACTACAAGGTCCTCTGCAGGACTACCGTGTGAAAAATTAAAAATGCATATAAATTACTCAGAGCAGACGTTCCATACATTCTGTGATTATTTTTAATACATTCTTTAAAAAGAAATGCAATGATTTTCAGCAAATGCTAGGCTATGTTTCTAGTGTAAAGACACATGAACTGACCACAACAGACAGAGGGTGGAGATTAGAACTCTGAGGAAGGCAAGCCTCGTGCAGCGTTGACCACGGTGCTGTCCTGCCCAGCTATCAAGAAGCAGATCAAACGGCTTTCCACGTTTCTTTTAAAAGAGAAACAGTGACTTGAAAAGCAAGTGTTCTGAATCTCAAAATATCCTTAAAACCCACACGTTCTCAAGCACATCACATTTGACATAACTGTGTGATTCCTCCCAGACCGTCATGTGAGCATGACACGGGGTGACAGATGTCACACAGCCACTTGGATGCTTTCATTTCTTGTGAGCATGGTGATTTTCCAGCCCTGCTGTGAAGACATCACCAACTTTCCCCCGAGGAACACAGACCTGGTTCCACAGGAGGGCTGAGAGCAGTCATTGGGGCCCCTCCTACCTGGCCCTTCTCCAAGGGGGGACCCTGGCATCAGAAGGATAATCGGGTCGGGCTGGAAGCTTGAGCCTGAGACATGATCAACCCACTGGGTGCCCTGACATGAGTTTAGTTTTCTGGGCCAGCCAAGGAGTCAGAGATTTTTTAAATTCCCCTTCTGGGAGTCTCATGTCTTAGAAAATAAAATCTGGCCTGGTGCGGTGACTCATGCCTGTAATCCCAGCACTTTGGGAGGCTGAGGCGGGTGGATCACCTGATGTCAGGAGTTCGAGACAAGCCTGGCCAACAAGGTGAAACCCCGTCTTTACTAAAAATACAAAATTAGCCGGGCGTGGTGGTTCATGCCTGTAATCCCAGCCATTCAGGAGGCTGAGGCAGTAGAATCACTTGAACCTGGGAGCTGGAGGTTGCAGTGATCCAAGATCACACCACTGCACTCCAGCCTGGGCGACAAAAGCAAAACTCCATCTCAAAAAAAAAAAAAAAAAAAAAAAAAGAAAAAGAAAAAGAAAAAGAAAATCCAATAAAGTATCATCTCACTTTGACCCTTCCTCTTAAGATTTTTCTGGAAAAGGCTTTGCCATTGGAAAGAAAAGTGTAAATCTTTCTATCTCCACCTCCAGGCTGGTCTCTGAACGGTCACGCTCATCAGTTATCACACTATTTTGTTTGTTTTAATGGCCTTGTACATGGATCATGTAGGAAAACGTAAAACTAGGCTCCAGGAGGTTTTAAAAATGCCTCCTTCAACCTTCTTTCATTTTTGATGGTTTTTAAAATTTTTTTTTTATTTTTTGAGATGGGGTCTCGCTCTGTCACCAAGGCTGGAGTTCAGTGGTGTGATCTTGGCTCACTGCAAGCTCCGCCTCCCAGGTTCACGCCATTCTCCTGCCTCAGCCTCCCAAGTAGCTGGGACTACAGGCACCCGCCACCACGCCCAGCTAATTTTTTGTATTTTTAGTAGAGATGGGGTTTCACCATGTTAGCCAGGATGGTCTCGATCTCCTGACCTCGTGATCTGCCCGCCTCGGCCTCCCAAAGTGCTGGGATTACAGGCGTAAGCCACCCTTCCCAGCCTTTTCTTTTCTTTTCTTTTTTTTTTATATGGAGTTTCGTTCTTGTTTCCCAGGCTGGAGTGCAATGGCGTGATCTCAGCTCACTGCAACCTCTGCCTCCCGGGTTCAAGCGATTCTCCTGCCTCAGCCTCCCAAGCAGCTGGGATTATAGGCATACACCACCATGCCTGGCTAGTTTTGTAGGTTTTTTTTTTTATTATTATTAGTAGAGATGGGGTTTCACCACATTGGTCAGGCTGGTCTAGAACTCCTGACCTCAGGTGATCCGCCCGCCTCGGCCTCCCAAAGTGCTGGGATTACAGGTGTGAGCCACTGCGTCCAGCCTGTTCTTTTATCTTGTTAACATAACTCTTTATTTGGCAAATCACTGATGAGTGATGGACTAGGCCAGGTCAGGGCTCAGCCAGCCGTGCGTTTGCTTCAATGCTGTATTTCTGGGTTTAAGCAAAATATGTGTGTGGGAACGTGCCCTGCCATGGGTGCAGAGAGCTTCTGCCAGTGAAACATGACCCTGAGTATTAGGAAGAAAGACAGAGTCAGCACTGAGATGCCCCCATCACCCATCCTCTTCCTCTTCCAAGACAATCTGGAGACAAATCCATTTAAATCACATGTGGACTCCAAAGAGACATAAAAACAAGACCCGGCTTTTGGAGACTGAAAACCTACATCTAGCCCCACGTTTCCTGTGTTCTGAAAAGCTCAGCAGGCGGAGGGGGGATGTTCGGTACAGTGGTGGTTAAAGGCTCTCTGCCTGTAGCCAGACAGCCGGGGTTCGGCTCTGCACTGCGCGGGGCGTCCCTGGGACTCACTGCCAACCCTTGGCATCCGTGCCTCTCTCTGCAAGAGAGATACTAATTGCACCTGTCTTACAGGGGCTGGTGAGGACTAATCTATGTAAAACATTTATCACAGGGACTGGAGCTCTCATGAAAAACAAAAGTCACGCCAGCACTACCCAATTTACATACGCAGCTGAGATACTTTCACAATGAATCCCACCGGGGTAAATAATCATAGCATTCACATTTTCCATCCCAACAAAGTCTTCCAGGCCAAAATTCTGTTGGCTATTCATATTACTTTATCGCAACGCAGAGACACCAAAAATTAACAGCCAGCTTGGACCGCAGGGGGCTTCTGATGAGGCACAAGGAAAAGACTACCTTGAAATCAACTATTTTCTTCATCTTACGGTTGGCCAACCCCTTTGCATAATAGGAATGATAAAGGACACAGAAATGAATGACTCACCGAAATGAAAGAGCAAACTCTACCATTTATTGCTTTCAAGAATCGATAAGCAGGGGAAATGAAACGCACAGCCTTCCCCTCTGCTTATGAATTAGGTCCTCCATCAAGTAAACACCACTTTCCCCACCCCCTTTCAGGATGGATCCAATTTTCAGATGTCCATTTGCAATTAATTAGTGGCTAAATGTGCCGCTGTGTTTTCTCACCTTGGCAGTAAATCCTGCCAGCTTCCCAGGACAATGCTTCCTATGCAAAAACAAACAGAGGTCACTTTCGTCCCCAGAGTGCCTGAGGGATGAAAGCTTGAGAGGCGGCTAATCATCCCTGCGCCCAGCATCTTATTCTGTCCCCACCGCCCCTAATCCCCGCCTGGTTTGGCAGCGGAGTAAAGGTCAGGAAGTCCTGCAGTTTTTGAAAAGGAGCATCGTGTTAGACCTGACTGACTCCAGACTCACAGCCTCTCTCCTTTCAAGGCCGCTGAAGAAACACTGGCCTGCTGGCTGCTGTCCCAGCGTTGCCCCCCTGCCTGGGCTCACCCTGCTCCACCCTCAGAGGCCTTTGTGCTCTCAGCTGGTGCTATGCAACTGGAAGCAGGTGCTCCTTTCGATTGTTTCAGCATCATTTGTGAAATGCTAATAAATTAACATGTTCCCAGAGGTTATTTTCTGTAAGTTGCATGTGGCTAACGCTGCAGCCTGACCTTCAGTCTCCAGGATGCGCCGTCATCTCCCTCAACCTCCAGCTTCGTGACTCATTCCAAGCTACTTTCTTGTTCCTTTGTACCTGGCTAATGACTGATCTTCATCAAGGAGGGGGCTAGAATAATGACCCTCCATTCACAAGCCTTCCGGCATTCCCAGCAACATGCACCTCTCATACTGAGGAGCCGACTGGTGGGTGGGGGTGGCTGCCATCCAAATGCCATGTCCCGGACCAGGTCTATTCCGTTGGTTTGACCATTGCCCTGGGCATCTCCGGTGTCAATGGAGAGAGGAATAGAGAAAGGAGGGCCTTGTGGGGTGGGGGTGGCTGCCATCCAGGTGCCGCGTCCCGGACCAGATCTATTCTGTTGGTTTGACCATTGCCCTGGGCATCTATGGTGTCGATGGAGAGAGGAATAGAGAAAGGAGGGCCTTGTGGAGCAAGAGTGGCCAGAATCACGGATGCTGTTGGCCACCTGAGGAAAGCCAGGGCTGAAAGCATGCTCTTCACACCGCGAGGAGCTCCTGAAAATGTCATGGAAACTCTGAGAAAATATGCTATGTCTACACACACCACGTCTCACATGAGCTGAGGGGTGCTCACGTTCCTTCATGCCTGTATGTGTCCTCCTGGCTGCAAATTCCTGAAGGAAAGGGAAGGAGGGCTGGCACCCATACCCCAGACAGTTCAGAGAAAGCCACCAGTGTCCCAGTCCGAAGGAGGAGTAAACAAAGATGGCTACAGGCTCATGGGTAAGATGAATGGAAGAGAGTGGACAGACACCCAGATTTAAAAAACAGAGGGCATTTCATTAATTAGCAGCAGTTAAGTTCCCATGAGCAAGACGGCAAATGGGGAAAAGAAATGCTGTGATTTCTGAAGGTCACATTTACCCCTTACGTAGGGGGAATGAAAGTAAATTAAACCCTACGAACAGAGAGTGACAGGCAGCGCTAAACCAGCAGATAATCCCCTGCCTCCCACCACTGAAAATGCATTTTCCACCAGACTGACAGGTGCTCTGCCTGGGGCAAAATGACTCAGGGTCACTCTGCCATCCCGACACCGGCATCTGGAATCAGGTCTATTCATTCCATGGTTGGGACTATCATTTCATTAGGCACCTTTTTTTTTTTTCTTTCTCACCTTTCAATTATTCTAGGCCACATAATCTGGTTTCTTGTGGGCTCTGAGTCTATGAACCGATAATAATCCATATGTTTAAACATGAGAAAATAAATGTCAGGGAAGTAAATAAGCGAGCTACTTTGGATGCACATTCCTGGGTGCAGATGGGCAGAAGGAGGCTGTTTATCATGGCCACAGACAGGTGAGCTGTGAGGAATTAGGAACCACAGTAGACAGGCTCTGAAGATGACCACCGGGCTGCCGGCTCTCAGGCTGTGCAGCTGCGTTTCTGAGCCAGAATTTCAATAAAAGAGCAAGGTTCCTCAAAGTTAAGGCCAAATGGAGACAGTGAACTTGAATCGGCCCAGCAGGGACAGGCAAAGCGGAGATTCACAGGGGTGGGGAGAGAGGCTGGTTTCAGAAGGAAAGGACAGAGCCGGAGGGTGGGGAGGCAGCCTGTCCAGCTGGCCTTCCACAGCCCTGCCACCAACATGGCCTGGGACACTCCATGTCTGTCCAGTACCCTGTGTTATGGTCCAGTACCTTCCAGCCGTCATCTGAGACCTGACCTAGGCAAAGAGGGTGGGTGGGATCTCTCATCCTGGACAGGTGCGCATCCACCCCCGCAACTTCCTCTCCCATCTGACAGCCAGCTGGTGACATTCCCAGCAGGTGGGTCAAGCCCTCTTGAGATAAAAGGCTATGTGTGCAGTGCCTGCGGCAGTGACGTGATTAATTGTGTCTGCGGTGGAGGCTTTGCTCTGCAGGAATGACCTGAGAATAAACCTGTCTTCACAGGTGTTTAGGTTCCTGGAGGGTCACACAAAGCATACAGATCACAATGTCCGTCTGACTTGGCAGAACAGGCTGGTGGGTGGCTGACAGCACTCAGCCATCACGGGTGGGTCTGCAGAAGGGGCTGGTGGGTTGGCCGACAGCACTCGGCCATCACGGGTGGGTCTGCAGAAGGGGCTGGTGGGTGGCCGACAGCACTCAGCCATCACGGGTGGGTCTGCAGAAGGGGCTGGTGGGTGGCCGACAGCACTCGGCCATCAAGGGTGGGTCTGCAGAACGGGCTAGTGGGTGGCTGACAGCACTCAGCCATCAAGGGTGGGTCTGCATAACGGGCTGGTGGGTTGGCCAACAGCAGTCAGCCATCACGGGTGGGTCCGGCTCCAGGGGAGGGGGAGAGACTGGCTTCTGAGGAATGTCACCGATGGGGACAGCACTAACATTTGCCCTGGGAACTGAGGGGGGAACCATGAGGAGGTGTGTGATGAAAATACCCAAGCTGGTGTCAGCGGAAATCAGTTTGACTCAGCTCAAAATACCCACGCTGCGCTCAGCCGAACTATAAAAAACAGGAAGGAACAGGTGACGCCCTTGGAGTGTAGAGGGGAAGAAAGGAAGTCACAGGCGCGATGGGAATAGATTTACTTTGTGATGCAGCCGAGAATGTGCTGCAGGATTATTATTAGGATTGTATTGCTCTCTCACGTAGATGTATGTGTAAATAAGACTTCAGAGGGATTAAAAAATATCATTCAGATGACACTTCAAAAACGTACAGAAATGGAACTAAAAGCTAAGAGATGTACCAGGACGAGCCACGCATCCATGAAAGCACCTTTGCTCATGAAGTCGGTGGGAGTCAAAGCAGGTCTTGAGTTTCACAGAGTGAACGGGCTCACTGTCTTGTTCTTCAGACACTGGTTACTGTACGCCCTATAATCCCAACAGAACAGTGATGCCCTCTTTTGAAGGATGCCCTGGGCTCCTCATATTTCCTTATTCAAAAGGAGTGTTGGCCAGCTCTGCCTCCAGCAAGATTAAACTTGAGAAGAGTAACTACAAAAACCATTTTTCTTTATAATGAAGAAGACATTTTAATGAAATCCTAGAAGAGCTACTTCTAAGATTTCCTAGGGGAGAGAAAAAAACAAGAAATGGGACCTGAAAATTGAACCTTTCCATTTGGTTACAAAGAGTAATGATCTCCTATAAATCACACACTAGAAGCATTATTGAATAGTTGGTGAACAGTAATTCTGTCTGACAAGCCTTTTGTTGAGCTCCCCAAGCCGGCAGGTGCCACTCGTGTTCTGCCGTGGACCACGCGAGGGTTCTGTCTTCCTCTCCGCTCGGCCTTGCGGTGGGTCCCGGGATGACAAGCAATGTTCCTGAATTATGGGGGTCAACGACTTTGTAGGGCTTTAGGGTGGTGACCTGAGCCAGTATGGAAGACGTTTACTCCCAGCCGCTCATTGATCCTCACGAAACAGCCTGCAACAATCAGCGGGGCACCTCCAAAGCAAAACGCTGGGGTGCGGAGTGCTCTCATTTTGATGCCTGCTCACCATTATGGGCTCTGTTTTCCATACCTAGGGCACTTCAGGGGGATGAAAAGGTATCAGGCTGCTCCATGATTTCTCAGTAGATGCTGTTAGAGTTACAGCTAAAACCTGCTCCCCCGGCTTTTTTTTCTTTTTTAACGTTTATTTTAGAATTGAGGGTACACATGCAGGTGTGTTATGTAGGTTGATTGTGTGATGCTGAGGTTTGGGGTATGACGGATACTGTCACCCAGGTAGTGAGCACAGTAGTTCCCGGTGTCTTGTTCCCATCTCTGTGTCCACGTGTGCCCAATGTTTAGCTCCCACTTATGAGTGAGAACGTGCAGTATTTGTGTTGATTCACTTAGGATAGTGACTCTGACTACACCCGTGTCTCTGCGAGGACATGATCTCATTCTTCCTGATGGCTGCGTAGTATTCCATGGTGTGTATGCACTATATTTTCTTTATTCAATCCCCCTTTGATGGGCATCTAGGTTGAGGCCATGTCTTTCCTGTTGCGAATAGTGCTGTGATGTCTGTATGGGGGCATGTGCCCTTTGGAAGAATGATTTATTTTTCTTTGGCTATATACCTAGTAATAGCATTATGGGGTCAAACGGTAGTTCAACTCTCAGTTCTTTGAGAAATCTACAAACTGCTTTCCACAGGGGCTGAACCAATGTACGCTCGCACTGGCAGTGTATAAGCATTCCCTTTCCCCATAGCCTTGCCAACCTGTTAAACAGGTTATTTTTAACCTTTTAACAAAAGCCATTTTTGACTGATGTGAGATCGTATCTTACTGTGGTTTTGATTTGCATTTCTCAGATGATTACTGATGATGAGCATTTTATCATGTTTTCTGCCCACTTGTATGTCTTCTTTCTTTTGAGAGGTGCCTACTCATTGGTCATAATCAAAGAATCAAAAAATAATGTTGGCGTGGACGTGATAAAAAGGAAACACTTCTGCACTGCTGGTGGGAATGTAAACCAGTACAACCACTATGGAAAACAGTGAGGAGATTCCTTGAAGAACTAAGAGTAGATCCACCGTTTGACCCAGCAACCCCACTCCTGAGTATCTACCCAGAGGGAAAGAAGTCGTATGAAAAAGACGCTTGCACACACGTGTTTATAGCAGCACAATTCACAATCACAAAAACACGGAACCAGCCCAAATGCCCATCAATCAATAAGTGGATAAAGAAACTGTGGTATACATATACCATGGAATACAAATCAGCCAAAAAACGGAATAAAATAATATCATTCTCAACAACCTGGATGGAGTTGGAGACCATTATTCTAAGGGAAGTAACTCAGGAATGGAAAGCCAAATATTGAATGTTCTTGCTTGTAAGAGGGAGCTAAACGATGAGGATGCAAAGGCGTAAGAATGATACAATGGACTTTGGGGACTCGGGGGGAAGGGGGGAAGGATAAAAGGCTACACATTGGGCAGAATGTACACTGCTCATGTATTAGTCTGTTTTCATGCTGCTGATGAAGACATATACAAGACTGGGTAATTTACACAGAAAAAGAGGTTTAATGGACTCACAGTTCCACATGGCTGGGGAGGCCTCACAATCATGGTGGAAGGTGAAAGGCAGGTCTTACATGGTGGCAGACAAGAGACAATGGAAGCCAAGCAAAATGGGAAACCCCTCAGAAAATCATCAGGTCTCATGAGATGTATTCACTACCATGAGAACAGTATGGAGGGACCCACCCCATGATTCAGTGATCTCCCACTGGGTCCCTCCCACAACAGTGGAGATTATGGGAGCTGCCATTCACAATGAGATTTGGGTGGGGACACAGCCAAACCATACCATAGCCTACACCGTATTCAAGACAGCGCATCCCATCACCCCAAAGCTCGCTTGAGCCCTGCTGCAGCTAAACCCCTCCCCAGTCTCCAGCCCCTGGAAACCACAGATGCAGCTTTTTCCCTTCAGTTCTGCCTTTTTGAGAATGTGATATGTGTAGAATCAAACTGCAAGCAGCCATTTTCTGGTTGTTTTACAACGTGGACCAACTGAACACCTTCGCCTCCAGCCCCGCAGTGGATCTGAGATTCTCCCTCACTGCAGGCTCCGTTCTCCGTTCCTCTCATCCCTGAGTGGCAGTCTGCTGGGCGGAGGAACCTTCTTCTGTTCATCTACTCAGCCCCTGAAGGGCATTGGGTGGTTACAGGTTTTTGGTGATTATGAATAAAGCCGATATAATCATTTGTGGGCTGGGCACGGTGGCTCACGACTGTAATCCCAGCTCTTTGGGAGGCCAAGACGGATGGATCATCTGAGGTCAGGGGTTTAAGACCAGCCTGGCCAACATGGTGAAATGCTGTCTCTACTAAAAATACCAAAATTAGCCAGGTGTGGTGGCAGGTGCCTGTAATCCCAGCTGCCTGGGAGACTGAGGCAGGAGAATCGCTTGAACCTGGGAGGCGGAGGTTGCAGTGAGCTGAGATCAAGCCACTGCACTCCAGCCTGGACAAAGCAAGAGTCCATGTCAAAAAAAAAATTGTGTGAATTATATTGTGAGGACATAAGTTTTCCCTCATTTTAGGGAAATATTTAGGAATGGAATGTATGGGCCATGTGAAAAGTATATGCTTAACTTTTTAAAAACTGCTAAACCAGTTTCTAAAGCAGTTACTCTGTTTTGCATTTTATGGGAGTTCAACTCACTGTGCATCCTTGTCACCCCAGCTAGGGTTTTTCTAATTTTAGTCATGATAGGGTTAACTTTCTGCAGAGACCACTGTGGCTGGCTGGCAGCTGCACCCCTTGCCTCATCTGTAGAAAATACCTGCTGAGCTTCGATTCTGAACCTGTATATCTTGAGGATTGTTTACATCATGTATTATTCCATCCTCCTCAATCTGACCTCAGCGTCTCCACTGCTGGCACTCGGGCCCGAGACCCTGACATTTCCTGCTTCATCTCCTTGCTTCTACCCTTGTCCTTGTTTAGTGATTTCAAAAGAAACAAAGTGGAAGCAATTCTGGAAATATGTATACCAGACCATGTCATTCTCACTAAAAAACAAAATGAAAATCACCAACATAACAAAACCAACTGCAAGGGCCACACCCGCTTTGGGATTTACCAGAAGGGCCTGAAGGGATGATGGCACCTGCGCCCCTGGCCTCCCTCCCAGCTGCGTCCTCTCCTGCTCCGGCCCTGCATCTGGTGCACAGCCGCTCTACCGCATGGCTCAACCCCCCTCCCCTCCCAACATGGCGGCAGGCATCCCTCCTGCTGCAAGGATTTCCTCCAGCATCACCTCCCCAGTGCGGCCCCGTCTGAGCTCTGCATGTCCTGCTCTGCGTTCTCACTGTGGAGGGGCACTTGTTTACGCCTCAGGCCCTCTGTCTCACTCCCACGCTCAATCGTGGCTGCTATGAGACCAGGGCTTGTTGGTGCTCACTGCTTTATCCTTAACGTAGTGCCTGGCACAGAGACCACCGCTAAATACAAGTTTATTTAATGAAGGATTAAAGAACGATTTAATGATGTTGTACTGGGCACAAGAAGTGGTTGCAATCACAACCGTTTACGGACCGCAGGCCTGCGCAGAGCCCCATTCAACTGTCACGGCACTTGTGAGCTCCTGGAAGAAAAGAAGACTTGGAGAGTTTGATGTGATTTCACCCAGCTTTAGCCACAAAGGTGGGATTTGAACCCAAGGATGGGAGTAGCAAGGGTGAATTCCTACACAGCATGGTCCGTCACCAGCTGCTGATGGATATGAACCCTTCTTGGTCTTGAAGAGGCATTTCCCATGCTCATAAAGGGAGGTGTGTGGGGTGGTTGTTTGAGGATCCCTTAATTCAGGGATGAGTGGGCTGTGGGCAGGAGGTGAGAGGAGGTTAGGAGGGAGGCTGGGGAGGGGAGGGCGTCGCAGAGGAGGTTAGGAGGAGGCTGGGAGGGGAGGGGAGGGCATCGCAGAGGCTGGGTTGGCCATGGTGCACAGGCCTCTGACAGAGGTGAGGAGGCTGGGGATGTCCTGCGTCACAGGCAGATGGAAGCCTTGTTTGGGAGCTGTGCTGGGGACAGAGTGTGGAGGTCAGCAGCTGGCGGGAAAGGCTGGAGGGGTTGGGAAAAGCTGGAGGGGTCGGGAAAGGCTGGAGGGGTCGGGAAAGGCTGGAGGGGTCGGGAAAAGCTGGAGGGGTCGGGAAAGGCTGGAGGGGTCGGGAAAGCCTGGAGGGGTCGGGAAAGGCTGGAGGGGTCGGGAAAGGCTGGAGGGGTCGGGAAAGCCTGGAGGGGTCGGGAAAGGCTGGAGGGGTCGGGAAAGGCTGGAGGGGTCGGGAAAGCCTGGAGGGGTCGGGAAAGGATGGAGGGGTCGGGAAAGGCTGGAGGGGTCGGGAAAGCCTGGAGGGGTCGGGAAAGGCTGGAGGGGTCGGGAAAGCCTGGAGGGGTCGGGAAAGGCTGGAGGGGTCGGGAAAGGCTGGAGGGGTCGGGAAAGGCTGGAGGGGTCGGGAAAGGCTGGAGGGGTCGGGAAAGGCTGGAGGGGTCGGGAAAGGCTGGAGGGGTCGGGAAAGCCTGGAGGGGTCGGGAAAGGCTGCAGGGGTCGGGAAAGGCTGGAGGGGTCGGGAAAGGCTGGAGGGGTCGGGAAAGGCTGGAGGGGTCGGGAAAGGCTGGAGGGGTCGGGAAAGGATGGAGGGGTCGGGAAAGGCTGGAGGGGTCGGGAAAGCCTGGAGGGGTCGGGAAAGGCTGGAGGGGTCGGGAAAGGCTGGAGGGGTCGGGAAAGGCTGGGGGAGTCGGGAAAGGCTGGAGGAGTCGGGGAAGGGGAGGCCGTGGTCGGTGATGCCTTCATCATGGAATATCCACGTGGAGCTACAGGATCTTAAAATGGTAGGATTGTGCCGAGAGATTAGTCACTTTCACTTTTGTTCTGTTAAACTATTTATTCAGTGGCTTGGGATTTAGTCAAACATCAAATATTTAAGAGAGAATAGAATAGGATTCCAATATGTGCTTCTGCGTGTGACTGGCCCATGGATTTTGTTGTATTTAAACGATTCTGTGAAAGTATTCAGAAGAGAGCAGGTGGCGGGAGGGATTTCAGCAGGGATGATATTAAACATATCTATCAGCTGCCATGCCACTGCATCGGCCACTCAGAATGAATCCAGCTCCCACTGTGGTGGACTCAGGTTGTAAGGAACCAGCGGGGCTCACTTGGTGGCACCAGCTGAGGGATGAAGGATGGCATTGGGGGCTGAGAAGTGCTGGATGGAGCACCTGGCTGCCAGGACTTAACACAGGCGACAGTGTAGACGTCCAGCGAGACAGCGGAGTGAAGCATCCATGGTCTGGCATGATCCTGTCTTTCAGCAGCCACAACTGAGGCTTTTCTTTGGAGACAGGGTCTGGCCCTGTCACCCAGGCTGCAGTGCGGTGGCATGATCACAGCTCATTGCAGCCTTGACCTCCTGGGCTCAAGTGATCCTCCTGCCTCAACCTCATGAGCAGCTGGGATCGCAGGCACACACCACCAGGCTTGGCTAATTTTTTTTTCTTTTTTTTTTTTAGGGATGAGGTCTCCCTATGTTGCCCAGGCTGATCTTGAACTTCTGGGCTCAAGCAATCCTCCTGCCTCAGCCTCCCAAAGTGTGGGATTACAGGCATAAACCACCACGCTTGGCCCTCAAATGAGTTTTATAGGAGTCTGTATTTTGTGCATCTCCTGGAGAAATAATCGAGGGTCATACATGGACTTTTAAAGTTGGTTCCTCTCAAACAATGGCAGCACTTCAAGGAGGGCCCATTTCTGGGGTTGGTTTTATTTAGGGCAACAAATAATAAATTTAATACAAAAAAGAATTCTCAGGCACGTGCAGAGCAGGTGCTTCTGACGTGAGAATCATCTTGGGGTGAGGCAGATGCATTGGTGATTTCACGTTGCCCAAGAGCTGCCAGTGAAAATACGAATACGTGGGAGGTTCTTCTGAGGAAGCTCAGTAAGGCAGCGAAGGAGCAGGCAAGGTCCTCAGCAGCAGACGTCTCTCTCCAGGCTGCTTTCCAGTAGCTTCCGAAGAAACCTCTCCTGCACAGGAAATGGCAGAGAGGGATGTACTGCAGTTTGCTGCCCTTGGTGGCCACATGGAGGGTCTCCTGAGGAGATGGTGGCCACGCATTAACAGCCGGCTCCTAGGAGCCAGAATAAAGCCCGCTTCGCTCTCGTACGGGGCCTGCTGGGCAGGGAGCAGCTCAGAGCTGAATGCCGCAAGGTGTTGTCCTGGGAGCCAGGGTGGCTGCTGTCACGGCCACTGCTGCTGGCCACAGCCACCCTTCACTGTGCAGGAGCTGGGCGAGGGGAGGAAGCCCCAGGACTGGAGGATCTGCCACAGCTTTTAGGGCAGGCCTCTGCCTGGTGCTCACATCCCAGCTGGACACGGGGCGCCCAGCATGGATTTCTTTCATAGAATGAATGACAGGACATGTCATGCGTTGAACTGTGTCCCCTAGAAGGATGTGTTGACAGCCTCATCCCGGAGCCTGTGACTCTGACCTTGGTCTTTGCAGTGGCCCCAAGTTCAGATGAGGTCGTACAGAGGGAAGGTGGTCCTAATACCAGGACGATGTCTTTCTAAGGAGAGAGAGAGGCTGGAGTGAGCACAGCAGGATGGACACGGGAAGAGAGTCTGGGCCGGGCAGCGTGGCCCCAGGATGACGGTCACCACAAGCTGCTGGCATCCATGGAGAGTGGGAGGGAAGAGGAGGGTTTTCAGAGCCTGCAGTGGGAGTGCAGCTCTGCCCATGCCTCAGCTTTGGTCTTCTGGCATCCAGAATGGCGAGAAGATGCCTTTCTGTGGTTTACACTGCCCAGGCTGGAGTCACGTTTTACGGCAGCCCCAGTAAATAAAGCGAGGAATGCACTGGCCCCAAAGCACAGGCTTCCCAGGTTTCCTTCAAGGGTGGAGGGATGCCGGGGTCCTGACCTGGTGGCACCAGGAGCCTAAGGCTTGGGATCCATGTGTTGGAACAGGTGTGGTTCTCAGAACCCACCATGGCTGCTAAGGACTCAGGGCCAGCCCGGATCCATGCGATGTGAACCGGGGAGGTTCTCAGAAGAAACCATGGCTGTTGGGGACTCAGGACCAGCCCGGATCCACGCCGTGTGAACAGGCGAGGTTCTCAGAATGGACTGAGGCTGCTGGGGACTCAGGACCAGCCCAGATCCACGCCGTGTGAACAGGCGAGGTTCTCAGAATGGACCGAGGCTGCTGGGGACTCAGGACCAGCCCGGATCTACGCTGTGTGAACAGGGCACAATTCTCAGAACCGACCGAGGCTGCAGAGGACACAGGGCCAGCCCGGATCCACGCTGTGTGAACTGGGGAGGTTCTCAGAAGGGACCGAGGCTGCTGGGGACTCAGGGCCTGCCTGGACCTCCCTGCTCCTGTGACCCTGGGTCCACGTCTTTGGCAAGTGATTTCTGAAAGTGTCTCTGTACAGGGGTCAAGATGCAAGCCACAGCGCCCCCACTTTGCAGCACAAAGATTCTCTCTTAGAACAGGAGGCTGAAAGAATTAGCACGGTTCCAGCTGGGTAACACTTTTCAAAAATGTGTAGCCTCAGAACGTATTTATTTATTTATGTTTAGTGAAACAAAGCTGTATGATGTGGTGGCCTCCTGACCAGGGGGGATCTGGGATCTCAGAGCCAAGTCAGCTTCTCACCCTGGCGCCACCCCTGCAGCAGGGCGCAGGACCCCAAGGCACTGTGGGACACAGTTTGAGAACCACGGTGGTCTCTGCCACTCTGCCCCCCTTACTGGCAGCAGTGAGCTATGGAGAGCAGCCAGGCCACGCTCCCTTTAGTGATGGGACGTTGCCGTGGTTCTGTGCTGGGGGCTAAAATGTGCAGGCTTATGGGAAGGTGGGCAGGGCAGTCTGTCCACTTGACACGAACACTCCCTGAAACCCTCCCTCTGTGCACACCAAATGCCCGTGGTCTCCCATCCACTCAGCAAACGCCAGCTTGTGCTGGGCTCTGCCAAGGTAATGGGGGTCTGGAGCCGAGGTCACGGAGTCCCTGCCTTCAACGGGTCTAGTGAGGGGGCCTCTTGGTGAGTGGGGGTCCTGGGTCTCTCTGGAGCTCCTGGGAGGTGTCCTGAGGAGGTAGAAGGCAGAGCTCTGGGGGGCTGTGGGGGGCCGTGAATGGGAAGTACAGTCACATGGGGATGGGTCTGAGGAACAGGGACTGCAGGAGGACCATAAGGAGGGCTGGATGTGGATATGAGGGTGCAGTGGGGCTGGGGGGAGGGACCGTGGTGAAGGACACTCAGTGACATCCAACAGAGAAGCCATGCATGACGATGAGAGACCTCCTGGGCCCCTGCTGGACCCCTCCTCCCTCTGGCTGGATCTGGGACTGACCCTCCCAGGCCCCTGCCGGACCCTCCCTCCCTCTGGCTGGATCTGGGACTGACCATCCTGGTCCCGGGGCCGGGCATTCGTCTTCTTTATCACCCGGCAAAATCCCATCTGCCCACATCCCCCCAACTTTCTTGAAGCTTCAAAGTGTTCAGCCTTTCAGCCACTTTTTACAAAAATTTAAAATCACTTCTATAACTAGCTCTCTTTTAAACTAATTTCTAAAAGGTGTGTTTAGGCTGTAGTTAAGGGAAAAAAAAAGAAAAAGTAGAACAAAGAAAGAAAAGAAGCAGCTTCTCCCTGGCCTGGTAGCTCCTAGGTTCTGGCCACTTCCTGGAAAACAGTAATTACCACACGTCTCACCAACCACATCACACCACTATCCACGCAATGGTGATCATTTCCTTCCTCTCACTGAGAGCTGCATGGCACACACAGCCTCTGTATCTAACAGAGAAATGCCACTGAGCAGAAATAGCAGCAGCTCTTTAATCCAAAATGTTACTACTATGAATTTAGGTAAGTTCTCGGCACCTGAGAGTTCTGGAAAGTACTGAAATTAAGGTTTTTATCACATATGGGCCAGACACACACACATACACACACACACACACACAAATTGAGATGTCTGGAAAAGTTATACCCTGGTACCTGATACCCTGTGCCAAGAAAAAAAATTCCCTTTTGAGCCACCGTGTCTCCACAGGGTCACTGCACGCGTGGTTCCAGTGGGCAGATTTCCAGCCCAAAAGAGGAAAAGGGAGGGGGGAAATGTCTCCTGCGGCAGCCACGGCTGAGGATGAGGGTCGGCTGGGCCTCATCACTGCTCTACTTGGCTCAGGTTGCCTGGCACCAAATTGTCAGTTAAGCCATTCAAGTCCAAATGATAAAAAAGCAAAGCCCACTCTGTGGATTAGTAAAGAGTCTAATATTTTATTTTACTGTCGGTTTGACCCCTCTGACTATTTCTCCATGTGGGTCAAGAGCACACTTGACTTCAACCTAAACGCTCCAACACGAATATGGTTAATTTATTACTCAAAATGCAAAGTATGTCAGACAGCACAAGCAGACGGCGCTGTCACAATGGATGCAACCGGCTTTCGCCCACGGTGCCCGCCTCATGACTCCCACGGCCTCTGCTGTAACGTTGGGAGTCTCTCTCTGACCTCCCACTCCGTTCACTGCTCCTTTCTCTCCCCAAGGCAGGGACCTTTCCCGGCCTTTCTGTCATGGCGTTGGCCATAAAGACATTCTCTGACCCACCTTTCTCATTGTGAGTCCCAAAACCCTCACCCCAGAGGGTCCTACCTCACGCCCCTGAGGAAGAAACGCGGCACAGAGGGGCCGGGAAGAGTCTGAACACATAGGCCTTGCTAGTTTCCACCCTTGGTCTGCTAGCAACACAGAGCGCAGCGACTTTCTCCAGTCCCATTTCCACACGGCTGTCTGAGCCTCAGTCACGCCCATCCAGTGGAGTCTCCACAAAACGCCCTAGCACTGGGATCGGGGTTTTTGTGGAGCTTCCAGACACCTGAACCCGTGGAGGTTCCTGGAGGGTGGTGCCCTGGGAGGCACAGAAACTCCATGCCCCTTCCCTTGCTCATCTCTTCACCTGTATCCTTTATAATAAACCACCAAACATGGGTGCTTCCCAGAGTTCTGGGAGCCACTCTAGCAAATTAATGGAACCCCACGCCCCTTCCCTCTGCTCATCTCTTCATCTGTCCCCTTCCCTCTGCTCATCTCTTCCCTTCGCTCTGCTCATCTCTTCATCTGTCCCCTTCCCTCTGCTCATCTCTTCCCTTCGCTCTGCTCATCTCTTCATCTGTATCCTTTATAATAAACCACCAAACATGGGTGCTTCCCAGAGTTTCGGGAGCCACTCCAGCAAATGAATGGAACCCACGTGTGGGGGGCTTGCAGGAGCCTCGGTTTACCACTGGCTGGTTAGAAGCTCCTGGAGCTTGTGATCAGCATCCAAAGTCGTGGGTGGTCTTGGGGACCCAGCCCTCCCCCTGTGGGACCTGAGGTTCCCGCCAGGTGAATGTGCTGAATTAGGGGATCCCTGGCTGGTGACCCCTGCAGAGCTGGTCACCTGCTGGGTGGTGGGGAGAAGCCCCCAACATTTGGTCATCGAAGTCTCCTGTGTTGGTTGCTGTTGAGTGAGAAAATAGAAAAACCACTGTGGTGTGTTTTCCCTCACATGGTTTGTGCTTTTCTCTACTCAGATACTACTTTTTTTTTGTGAAGAGTGATTCTATGTCCTCCTCTGAAACTCTTGCATAGGAAGGTCAGCTTCTGATATGATAATGATCATCCTGCTGCAATCTGATGGCCTCTCTATGTCCCGTTGCTTCGCTGGAGGCCAGGACGGTGAGGCGTGAGGCAGTGAGCCCTTCTGGCCCCCAAGGTCACTTTCAGCATGGAGAATGAAAGGTGAGGGACGTGTCTCCAGCCCCTGACAGCTCTTCCTGGCCCTGTCTCCCCTCTATCTGCCTTCAGTCATTGGAGACAGTGACTAGCTGCCTGGGAGCTCAGCAGGAAGGGAGCTGTCCTGGAAGTGAGCCGTCCTGGAAGGGAGTCGTCCTGGAAGGGTATTGTCCTGGAAGGGTGCCGTCCTGGAAGGGAGCTGTCCTAGAAGGTGGCTTTGGGGATGGTGACTTACTGCCTGGGAGCTCAGCTGGAAGGAAGCCAGCCTGAAAGGGAGCTGTCCTGGAAGGGTGCCATCCTGGAAGGGTGTTGTCCTGGAAGGGTGCCGTCCTGGAAGGGCGTTGTCCTAGAAGGGAGCCGTCCTGGAAGGTTGCTGTCCTGGAAGGGAGCTGTCCTGGAAGGGTGTTGTCCTGGAAGGGTATCGTCCTGGAAGGGAGCTGTCCTGGAAGGGTGCTGTCCTGGAAGGGTGTTGTCCTGGAAGGGTGCTGTCCTGGACAGGTGCTTTCCTGGAAGGGAGCTGTGCTGGAAGGGAGCTGTCCTGGACGGGTGCTTTCTTGGAAGGGAGCTGTCCTGGAAGGGTGCTGTCCTGGAAGGGTGTTGTCCTAGAAGGTTGCTGTCCTGGAAGGGAGCCGTCCTGGAAGGGTGTTGTCCTGGAAGGGAGCCGTCCTGGAAGGGAGCTGTCCTGGAAGAGTGTCGTCCTAAAAGGGTGCCGCCCTGGAAGGGTGCGGTCCTGGAAGGGTGCCGTCCTGGAAGGGTGTTGTCCTGGAAGGGTGCTGTCCTGTAAGGGAGCTACCCTGGAAGGAAGCTATCCTGGAAGGGTGTTGTCCTGGAAAGGAGCTGTCCTGGAAGGGTGCCGTCCCGGAAGGGTGCCGTCCTGGAAGGGTGTTGTCCTGGAAAGGTGCCGTCCTGGAAGGGAGCCATCCTGGAAGGGTGTCATCCTGGAAGGGAGCTGTCCTGGAAGGGTGTTGTCCTGGAAGGGAGCCGTCCTGGAAGGGAGCTGTCCTGGAAGAGTGTCGTCCTAAAAGGGTGCCGTCCTGGAAGGGTGCGGTCCTGGAAGGGTGCCGTCCTGGAAGGGTGTTGTCCTGGAAGGATGCTGTCCTGTAAGGGAGCTACCCTGGAAGGAAGCTATCCTGGAAGGGTGTTGTCCTGGAAAGGAGCTGTCCTGGAAGGGTGCCGTCCCGGAAGGGTGCCGTCCTGGAAGGGTGTTGTCCTGGAAAGGTGCCGTCCTGGAAGGGAGCCATCCTGGAAGGGTGTCATCCTGGAAGGGAGCTGTCCTGGAAGGGTGTCGTCCTGGAAGGATGCCATTCTGGAAGGGTGCCATCCTGGAAGGGCGTTGTCCTGGAAGGGTGCCGTCCTGGAAGGGTGCCGTCCTGGAAGGGTGCCGTCCTGGAAGGGTGTCGTCCTGGAAGGGAGCCGTCCTGGAAGGATGTTGTCCTGGAAGGGAGCTGTCCTGGACGGGTGCTGTCCTGGAAGGGAGCTGTCCTGGATGGGTGCTGTCCTGGAACGTGGCTTTGGGGACAGTGACTTGCCTGGGAGCTCAGCTGGAAGGAAGCTCTTCAGGAAGGCGGCTGTTGCGACATTCAGTGAATTCTGTTGATTTCCCTTTTTTTCCCATGATACTTTGGTCTTTTTCTTCCAGGTTTCAGCTCCTTCCTCAGTTGTTATGTGCCTGATATTTTTCCTCTTCCCTCAGGACAACTGTGAAAGCTCCACGTGTCCCAGGAGCGCGTGCAGCTCCCTGGAAGGCCCAGGTCACAAGATGGAAAGAAAACCCCAGCAGAGCTTGTGAATCAGCTCAAACCACACCATCGCCTCCACAGCTCCTGAAGCCCTCGTGGCTGCACCTGCTCGCCCACCCCGTGCTCCAGGCCCATCTGACGGAGGAGGGCCTGGGCCGCTCACACCATGTTCAACGTGGCCAGTGCCTGGTCAGCAAGTCTGTTTTCACGAATGCTTGCTGGGAAATGCAAGTGAGATTTGGGTATCCCGACCGCCTCCTGGATGGGATTGCTTTGTTTGACACATGTTCAGAACTCAGGCTTAAACCACTGGACCCCTCAACGCGAGGCCGGACCAGCTCGGGGCCACCCGGGGCAGGAGCGTCCTGGGAACAGGACCCTGAGCCAACCATACCCGAGGCTGCCTGACCCTGGCTTTGGACGGTGGGTTCGAAGGGAGTTCCTGGGGAGCATGGGTGGTCCCTGGACACACTACATAGCCATGCTGGGTTCTCTCTGAGTGGCTTTCTCTGTCAGTTCATCATATGTATTTTATGACACACGTAACGCAGTTGCTCCCACTATTTCATCAATAACCAAAACCAGCACAAACGCTGGGGCCGCTTGTCTCATCAGCACCTTCCCCGATCTTTTTCTTTTGTTTTTTTGAGACAGATTCTCGCCCTGTCACCCAGGCTGGAGTGCAATGGCATGATCTCAGCTCACTGCAGCCTCCATCTCCTGGATTCAAGCGATTCTCCTGCCTCAGCCTCCCAAGTAGCGGGGATTACGGGCACACACCACCACGCCAGGCTAATTTTTGTATTTTTAGTAGAGATGGGGGCTCACCATCTTGGCCCAGCTGGTCTTGAACTCCTGACCTCAAATGATCCACCCGCCTCAGACTCCCAAAGTGCTGGGATTACAGGCGTGAGCCACTACACCTGGCCCACTTGAACTTTAATTTTACTTCCAACTTCTCATGGAATGGGATGAGGGCAACATGTGTTTGAGCCATTTGCTGGGAAGTAACATTTCCGTCTTGAACTAATCGTTTCAGATAAAATAGATCCTAGAAATCAGAAGCCACCGCCGTGTGGGGGCCTGAGGGCTGCTGTATCTCACGGAGATGAGGCTTGTTCAGGAGGCATCCCTGGCCTCTGCGGGGGGACGTGGCTCCCTGGGCCTGAGATGGTACATTCCTGGTCCCTTCCCCTTCCCCAGCCACCCACGCTGGCAGCCTGAGTCCTGGAGGCTGAGCTACTGCAGGATGACCGAGTGCGGGAGGAACTGAACTAATTCCCATCCACCCAAGGTAGCCACAGTCCCGTGACAGCAGCACCTTCTCCCAACCTGAACACCGCCCTTCTCCCTCCTCCTGGTCACCGAATCAGCGACTGCACCCAGTCCTGTGACAGCAGCACCTTCTCCCAACCCAAATGCCGCCCTTCTCCCTCCTCCTGGCCACGAAATCAGCGACTGCACCCAGCCCACGTGACAGCAGCACCTTCTCCCAACCCAAATGCCACCCTTCTCCCTCCTCCTGGCCACCGAATCAGCGACTGCACCCAGTCCTGTGACAGCAGCACCTTCTCCCAACCCAAATGCCGCCCTTCTCCCTCCTCCTGGCCACGTAATCAGCGACTGCACCCAGCCCACGTGACAGCAGCACCTTCTCCCAACCCAAATGCCGCCCTTCTCTCTCCTCCTGGCCACTGAATCAGCGACTGTGCCCAGCCCACGTGAGAGCTGCTGATTTTGGTTTATGGAGGCAGAAACCCACGCCAGGCTTTCCAAACTCAGGTCTGTCCAAATGGTACCCTTGTGTTTATGCTCTGGAGAGAGTCCTTTCTGATCCCTACCGACCCAAAGACTTGTGTGGAAATTATACTGAATAAAACCCACTGGCCACCCAGATGAGTAGGGCTGGTCTCCAGGTTTGTATATTGCAGTCTTTACCCATAAAGTATCTTCTCTGATTAGTAAAAACCATTCTTTACTCTTGATTCCAACCCAAAGTCTCCAAAGAGACTGTGCCACAAAACAAATTATGAGTTATCTCTTTAAAGTTGAGAAAATGTTACCCCCATCTAATATATAAAAAATGCACAAGAAATTATCTGTCTTCCTGCAAAAAAGAATCAAATTTTACAATTCTATCAATGAAAAACCTGTCATGAAAAGCATCAGTGAAGAGACCGTCGAGTCACCATGCTCTGCTGTGATCCACTGTGGCTCCAGGAAGGCAGCCGTGACAGAGGGGAAGGAGAGGCGTCCCCTGCTCTGCTGGCTTCATCAGTAAAGCGACATGTTAATCTTCAAGGGGTTGTGTTGAGGACGACACGAAATCAGCTGATTAAAGTCCTAGCCAGCATCTGACACATTGAATTTACTCCACAGATATCTGTTCACAACATCAGAGCCCATGGTTTAGTTTCTTCATAGTAAATTAAAACAAAATAGTCATAAGACACAAGTTTGATCATAAGCCACTTGTACACAGAGAACATGGCTCTGTTGTATTGGAGCAAGTGGTCTTCAGTGGAGGATTATTTCACAATGACAGGCTCAATTCTTAGGCTTATGTAGCTCCATGTTTCAAAGGAAGCATGGTGTGGACAGAAGCCCGGGGCCGCGGAACAGAGTCCGGCCACATGCCAGCGTCCTTCCTGCTCACGCTGCACGTGTTCTTGACATGGGATGGGTGTTCTCATGGTCCCTCTGTCAATTCCAGAACGTGAAAAGGTTTACTGACTTCATTCCATTACATAAAAACACCCGAGGTCCCGAACCTCTGTGAGTACTTTTTGCCCTGTGGGAGGCTGAGGTGGGTGGATCACTTGAGATCAGGAGTTTGAGACCAGCCTGACCAACATGGTGAAACCCTGTCTCTACTAAAAACACAAAAATTAGCCGGGCGTGGTGGTGCGCACCTGCAATTCCCGCTACTCGGGAGGCTGACACAGGATAATTGCTTGAACCTGGGAGGCAGAGGTTGCAGTGAGCCAAGATTGTGCCACTGCACTCCAGCCTGGGTGACAGAACAAGACTCCATCTCAAAAAAAAAAAAAAAAAAAAAGAAAACAACAGAATTTAAAATGCCAGAGAGGGTGCTGGATGATCCTGACAGCTCTGTGAGTGCTCTAGGCCTGCTCCCATTTCCTACATATGTGCAATTAATCAATTTTATAAACAATACATGCTTGGTATTGCAGTTAATTTGAAGAAGAAATGAGCCCAAGCCCATTTAAAGTTTTCCTGACAGTGACAAACAAGCATGCATGGAAAAGAACATCTTTCAAGCATTCCTCAGTTGCAATATTAATTATGGATAATGAATATCATGACAAGTGACAATCTCTGAACGTGGCGCTTAAAATATTAACATGCTCAGCAGAATAGGGTGACCCCTGGGGCCTATGCATGTAAACCAGCTGGCTGTCACTCCTGTCTGGGACGCACGCTGGTCTTGTAGGGTGACCCCTGGGGTCTATGCATGTAAACCAGCTGGCTGTCACTCCTGTCTGCGACGCATGCTGGTCTTGTAGGGTGACCCCTGGGGTCTATGCATGTAAACCAGCTGGCTATCACTCCTGTCTGGGACGCACGCTGGTCTTGTAGGGTGACCCCTCAGGTATATGCATGTAAACCAGCTGGCTGTCACTCCTGTCTGGGACGCACGCTGGTCTTGTAGGGTGACCCCTGGGGTCTACGCATGTAAACCAGCTGGCTGTCACTCCTGTCTGGGACGCACGCTGGTCTTGTAGGGTGACCCCTGGGGTCTACGCATGTAAACCAGCTGGCTGTCACTCCTGTCTGGGATGCACGCTGGTCTTGTAGGGTGACCCCTCAGGTATATGCATGTAAACCAGCTGGCTGTCACTCCTGTCTGGGACGCATGCTGGTCTGTAGGGTGACCCCTCGGGTAGATGCATGTAAACCACCTGGTTGTCACTCCTGTCTGGGACACACACTGGTCTTGCACATTGGTGGGAAAGATGCTGAGTGGCCAGAGGCCCTAGCACAGCCTACAGAGCCCCATATCATGGGGACGCCCGACCCTGCTCTCTGTCCTGGGACACCCTGTGCGGCTGCCTTCTCCCACTCCTGTTTTCATGTCTGGATGCAGAGAAAACTCCCTGTGTTCTCTCAAAGCCGACACATCCTAGGTGGGTCCTGAAGGCTGTGTGCAAACCCTGTCTTCCCCAGGGAAGGCTGCTCTGAGCCCTGTCCTGCAACCTGAAGCCACACGCAGGTCTGTGCTGCTGGAGGCTGAGAGATTGTTTTGAGTTTGATAAAAAACCATAGACACATTTACACACCACTTTGCAGAAATTTGTAGGGTTTCTTGAACTCCCTGAAGTCTGAACCATTATTCATGATGCCAGGTAACAATGCCTGTCTAAATATGTCAGGTTGAACCATAGGAAGATGGCATTTGTGAAGGTCAAAAACAGTGAAGTATCAGTCATCTCATCTGACTCAACACAATAAAAGGCCAGGTATGATACATGTTAGAATAACTTCTACCTGAAGGCATAAAACACAGTAAAAGGTTTTATCCTTACTGTGGGGAAGGTGCTCAGTTATTCAGAATACTAAACTAACTTCAATGACCAGATTTTTAAAAACTCAAAAATTTTGTGTTTCCAAACATGCTGCAGGAAGGCAACATAGAAGATCTTATTAAGATCAGACAACAGAGGCTGGGTGTGGTGGCTCATGCCTGTAATCCCAGCACTTTGGGAGGCCGAGGCGGGTGGATCACGAGGTCAGGAGATCAAGACCATCCTGGCCAACATGGTGAAACCCCGTCTCTACTAAAAACACATACAAAAAATTATATACATATACATATATATATATATAATTATATATACACACATATAAAAAATTATATATATATATATATATATATATATGATCAGAGAACAGAGACAATTGACAGGAGTTTAGCTTTTATAATTTCCCTGCATCATAGTTTAAAGGAATTTCATGAGCTGCAGAAATGTGCGTGCCCTTGAAAATAGAATTAACAAAGAAAATGACAAGTAGTGAGTTGCGTGACTCTGCAGACAACAGCTATTTGTTGCCATCACTGAGGCATCCTGGAGGGAGGAAGGGCAACCTTCTGGGGGAGGCGTGGGACGGGGGAGGTGTGTGGGGCTACAATATTTGGCTTTCATGAAGGAAGTTATGCTTTGCATTAGAGGGAAGAGAAATATGGCAATTAACATAGTGAGGAAAAATTGCCTGTAAGAAAGATACCATTTTTAGTAAATACCAGATATCAGTTTATTTCAAAATGAAGCTGGTTTGCGAAGAACCATCTGTCTTATCAGAATTAAAGTTTCAACTTGCTGCCATCAGCTTGTCCTATTAGTATTCAAAGTAGATTTCTGGGCTACTAGTTAAGGATACAAACCTATGTTTCTAGGAGACCGAGTATAGATAAATATGCTGGAATACATTTCTCAGTAAATTTCTTACGGCATACACAGCCTCCAGGAAAACTCAGAGTTTCATTTTAGAGCAGGAGCAGGAACAATGAAGAAATCTAGTGGAGACGTTTGTTTTCTCTCTGCAACCATTTCTGTGGTTGCCAGCCATCGAACACGTCGATGAATTATGACTATAACTTGAGAACAACCCCTTGGAGTTAGATCTTGTAAAAATGTAGATAAGCAAAACAAATAAAATGGGATGAAAACGAATACACAAAAGGCCTACTCCAACATATTTCATCTGCTTGAATATAGGATACACTGAAAAATCTTGCAACTCCAATAAAATAGGAGTCTTTTATCAAATCACTAGGGGCACGGAGGGAACAAAGATGACCACATTGAAATGAAGCCCTGTGATCTGCAGGCCCAGAGCCAAGGAGCCCTCTGAACTCGGGAAAGGCTAATTGCAGGCCTGGGCGCCAGCGCTCATTAATGTGCTGTGATGTGTTCTCACTGAGAGACCGCTCGGGGCCGGAGTGCAGGCACCGGGCTCATCGGCATCACAGAGCTCCCTGGCAAAACCGATTTCACCAGTGCACAGCCTGCTGACGTCCAACGACCAGAGTGCAGGCACCCGGGCTCACAGCATCATAGAGCTCCCTTGCAAAACCGATTTCACCAGAGCACGGCCTGGCACAGCCTGCTGACGTCCAACGACCAGAGTGCAGGCACCCGGGCTCACGGCATCACAGAGCTCCCTCGCAAAACCGATTTCAGCAGTGCACAGCCTGGCACAGCCTGCTGACGTCCAACGACTGGGGCCTTCAGCGTTTGCTGGTTACCAGTCACATAAGGATCCTAGACAACTCTTCAACAATCGGTCTCATTTTTTTTTTCTAATGATGCAATTTGTGTTTCTCTGGTGACACTTTTTCATTAATTAAATTGCTTAGTTTGCTGCAAAAAGGTGATGCTTCTGATAATAATTTTTACAAACCAGTTTTTACTATGAAATGGGCCTTTTCTGGGACCACATTATCACAATCCTTGGATTATGATTCAGCAGATTCTTGATCCGCTGTGTGCAAGCAGCAAAGGAGACACCAAAGTCAATTTTGAATCATTATGTGATTGCCTTGAAAATGCTTTGATGTTTAGATACACGGCACCATTAGTCAGGAAGACGACAGAATTTCGGTCATATTTAAAGGGCGTGATGAATACGTACAGGGTGGCAGCCTGGGAGAAGCGTGTGTGTAGAAACATTCCGTAACCCACAATGCTGCCAATGAGGAAGGCAGCGTGCAGCACACTCGGTGTTTGGCAGAGAGACTAGGGCGTCCTGTTTGCAAAATGCTGCAGAATCCGCAGCTTTCTTAGGAAAGAGGTGGCTCAAAAACCGGCATGAACTCACTCCTGAGTTCAACGCGACATGGGAGTCAAGCTTTGATCCATCGAAAGCTGCTGGGAGGGACCCAGGAGTTGGCCAACAACAGATTCCTCAGAATCCAATCAGCGAGCGGCCATCGGGCTGGTGTGCATCATGGGGCATCAGGTCTTTTTAAGACAAGATGATGTGTAATGGGTCTGACCACATGCTGGGGGCCTCGGATCCAGCCTCTCAGTCATGTTGATTGATTTCGTGCCGGGCAGAGGCCGAGACAGTGAACAAGACAGACCGACCGCCTGCCGTCCTGGAGTCTGTGGTCTGCCTGGAACGCTGCAGCCTTGCTGATGGGAGGAGGTGGTGCCTTCCGCACACTCACTCAGTGGCATGATGCAGCTGGGGTGAGGGTCAGGAAGTGCCTCTGGAGGATGCGACGCTTAATTAATATATAAATGGGGGGCGTGGATGTGACGCTTAATTAATATATAAATGGGGGGCGTGCCCCTGGCAGTGGGACTGGCCCTGGGCTGAGACAGCAGGACAAGCTCAAAGATGAGGTGCGCTCCGCCTCCACCGAGGCTGCAAGGAAAAGCAAAAGGTCCTGGCAAGCCTCTGTGTGTCAGGCGGACTGACTTCCTCCTCTCAGCCCTGCTCAGGCGTGAAGGACACGGGCAAAGCTGTCTAGGCTCAGGCCCGAATGTTGACATCTTCCTTTCAGCTCTCTCCCCGACAGCTGAGTCCTGACAGACCAGGGTCCGCCTGGGACCCCGAGGGGCAGGGGGACTCATGTGGACTTCAGTCTGCAGCGGCCTTGGCACCACCATCGGGAAACCCCACCTGCAGGCAGGCAGCTCCAGAGGGGCCCTGCCCCAGCGCATGAGAATCAGTGCCTGAGATGGGCGGGACCCACCTGCACCTGCACCTGACTGGGCGTCCACGTGGAGCGCTGTGACCTTGAGCACTCACTGACTTGATGCCAGCATCTCCCTCTGGGCTTTGGACGGGCTCTCAGACCAGCCGCTCACAGGGTTGCCATGAGCTCATTGCATTGCTCAAACCACCCCTCACGGCAGCCAAGGAGCTGATGATGTGTCTGGAACCTTCCTTGCATCCGGTATCCCCCCCTCCCCAGACCCCCAAGATGTAGCTGACAGTGCTCACGGGTGGCTGTGCCTTACCATGGGTGAATGTGTGGAAACTGGGGGCCCGATGGGCGGGGAAGCTCAGAGGTGGCTGTTCTTCCTGTCCTGGCCATCAGGTCATCCTGTCTGCATGACGGGAGGGTGGGCCACAGGACCACCAAAGGCCCTAACCTTCCATCATCCTGATGGGGTATCGAAGGTCTGAGTGCTCAGTGGGGGTCTCTGGGCCACTGACTTTATTCCTTTTCTACCTGCCTGTTCTGTGACTAGGATGCTGCTCATGACCTTGAACCACAAAACAGATATCTCAGCCCTCAAGCTGAACTCCCTTAGAGAAAAAGTGAAGTCAAAAATGTCCTTTGAGTTTTTGGAAAAATCCAGCCCCTGGAATGGAGCTCGGAAATGTAAAGGGATCTTAATGGAGATGAATCTTGGCTTTCCTTGCAATGAACACTCACATTGGTCGATTTCAACCCACCCAGGAGGAAGCAGTGTTTTCTGCTCCTCTCCTCCAGGGGTGGGTTTCTGGTTCGAGTCACCACTACAGTTGCTGTGCCAGAAAGACACTGCCCTCCCCTCTGTGAAGTTGCCAGCAGGAACACCCTTGACCTCAAACTCACGCAGGGACGGTAGTTTCAGTGTAGAGAAAAGATAAAAAAAAAAAACGTTACAGAGGAAGAAAAACCTCACTGTGTTCAGACTGCCATGGATGCTACTGTTCAGCAGCTGGGAAAGCTGGCAGTGGAACTCGGCCACCTCCCAAGTGGGGACGCTGTGGATGAAACCTTACGGGGACATCCTGCCGGGCGGCTGTGGACGTGCTTGTCACACAGACATACACACACATCCACAGAGGGTTTGCGAAGACCCGAACCCCATCCCCAGCCCAGAAAACATTCTCAAATCTCTTTGCATGTGGTTTCCATGGCTTCATCGTGCCTCAGATTTCAACTTTGCGATCTGTCATTCAACAGTGTTAACTTTCCACTCTGCCTTTCAGCGGATCCCACTGCCTGGCAGGAGGCCACGCCAGCCGACATCGCCTGCGCCACACGCCACATCTGGCTTTGTATCTGTGCACATGTCCACATTCCAAGACATGCAAAACCCCAAAGACAAAAATATCTCAGAGCATCTGAATATCCAGTTTCCATGGAGACTGAAATCAAAGTGAGCTGTCTAATGAGGGGGCGTTTTTCTTCATAATTCTTGCATGATGCCTTATGGGTTGGGAGTATGTTGAAACTCCTGCTGGTTACTATTCCAAACACATTTTCTAATAGGCAAGTGCATACTCTCGTGAGAAGAGTTGATGGGGCGGATTCTCCCGCTTCTCAGGCCCAGGTAGAGAGTTCGGCTGGGTGGATGGTGGTGTTGCAGGCACAGGTTGAATTATGCTTCTTGCAAGGGACCCCAAGAGACGTTCTGTAAGGTGTCACCAAACTCAGTTTGCAAATGACTGCACTCAAGAATAATCCACTTAAATTCTGGGTGTTTCACTCAGAATACATAATGATTTTCAATGCAGCCACGCCAACACTCCAGCATACACTCCGTTCTCTCTGTTAGGTACGGAATAATTAGGTCGACCCTAACAATAACCTACTTAAGAAGGTAAATTTCATTATGGGCTGTCTTTCTTTCTCAGACACTTGTGAAAGTAATCAAGAAGATAAATATGATGAAGGAAAAATACTTTTTCTCCCACTTGGTGACAGTCACACACCTCCCCAGGCTCCTCCTGCTTCTCCCCAGCCTGACCGGCCAGCACGGCCCATTCCCGTCTCCGTCCCAGCTCCGAGAACTGTGTGCCTAAGACCTTCCATCCTGGGCTCAGTAGGCCACCCCAGCCCTCTGCCCAGCGCGCTCCAATACCTGCGACGTTCCCCTTCCTGGCATCTCAGCTCCCGAGCAGTCTCCTCTACAAGGGATTTCTCTTCTGGTCATTTGTGTCCATTTGCACCCCAGAGAAATGTCTAACCCTTCACAGATGGCACTCAGTGTGTCTTCCTTTGAATTGTGGACTTCTCACGTCTCCTTCCCATCCATAACACCTGCCGCCCGACAAGTATCAAACCCCCATGATCCACTGCATGGTGGGGGCTCACAGGCCTTCGTAATAGACCTGGCCACCCCCCTTTTACAAAAACAGAGACTCTTTAATGGGCACCGTCCTGAGACAATCTGGTTTCATAGGCTGGGGTCCATAGACCTGCGTTTCTAAGAAGCTCGGGTCCCCAGAGATGCTGGTCTGGGAAACACCTGGAGAACCACTGACCCAGCCTGACCCCGGCTGCTGTGGAGGCGACAGCTCAGCTGCCCAGCGCAGAACCCGCACAGAGCCTTTGCTGATAATGTTTCGGCATCTCCTGCCTCCTAAGTGGTCTGTTTCCCTCCAGAATTCTCCATCTCCTCTTCCCTGTGTCCTGCCTCCACCCTTTGCCTGGCAATTTAAGCCGGGCCACTGGGCCTCCAGCTCTCCCCGGAGCGCCCAGTGTCCCACAAGCTCAGAAGCATCGGGCATCCTAGCGGCCCTGAGATGACCATATTCCATGTCCACTGGTGCTGAATGCATCTTCCATTTGTTCTCATTCTCCTTCCCCAGCTGGGGCTGATGAACCTGTCGCACGCATAGCCTCGGCTCAGGGCTGATGTTCGGTGCTGTTCCCACAGTCACCTCTGTCCTGTGCACACCTGTGTGGAGGGTGCTTGGCCCTTCACTGTGCAACAGAGCGCCCAGCCACAGAACACCCAGCCACAGAACACATGGCCACAGAACACGCAGCCACAGAACACCCAGCCACAGAACACATGGCCACAGAGCACGCAGCCACAGAACATCCAGCCACGGGGCTATGCCTCAAACTGAGGCAGTGTCTTGACAGACAGCTGGAAGACACGGCCCTGGCATGCATGTGTTCGCTACAACCATGCCCAGTGGCAAATTCACAGATGGCTCAGATCCAGATGCCTCGGTTGTGTGCTGCCCAGGATGGGACATCGGCAGAAACCGCAGTTCCGGTTCTCTTAACTAGATTTTGTTGTCGTTTTAAGAGTCAGATATGGGAGTGGTGGACAGATAACACGGAAGAGAGCAGGGTGTGGGGCCTGGGCCGTGTGTGTGGGAGCCCGTGAGCTCTGGTGGAGGGAACAGGATGGTTTGGGTACATTAGTGATGATCGCAGGGAATGTGGGCCAGCTACCTAGTGGGATATCCGGACGTTGGGAGAATGTTGTGGCCTCAGGAAGATGTGGGAGTCGTTACTGTGGAGGGAGCTCCTGGACATAGATGGAGTTGCTGAGGCGGAGGCAGCATGAGGCTGTGTGATGGCTGAGAAGGGGCTGCTGGGGACCTCAGTTTTCGATGTGGGGAGGGAAGAGGAGCCGGCAACAGAGGCGGAGGGAAGCCAGGAGGGGACATGTGATGGAGGCGGAACAGGTACCTCGGATTTGATGAGGCCAGAGGCGATGCTGAGGTGGGGAAGGATTAAGGCGGTTTATGGGACCGGGGTGGTGCTGAGGTAGGGAAGGATCAAGGCGGGACAGGGACCCTGGCACCAGCGCCCTTTCAGAGCGTGCTGGGCTGATGGATGTGATAAAGCTTCAAGCAAACCTCAGGTCTGGCAGGAGGTGGCTGGAGGACTCACTCATGCATGCAACCTGGAGGCACTTGGACAGGGAAAGGGGTGCCGGCCTCGGCTGCCTCCTCCCCCAGGGACTGAGTCTGGGGAGTCAGCTGAGTTTTAGTGGTGTAGTTATGTAGGATGTTAGTTACGCTGCAACAGGCCTGTTCCTTCTTCAGGTGTAGAAGGAGGAACCAGGCTCCAAATATGGCCTGCACGCAGCAGCACTGGCAGCGGCGGAACATGCTGGAAAGGTGTGACTCCAGTCCCACCCATGGCCCACAGAACGGGAATCCACTAAGTAGGATATGTGTTACTCATGTAACTTTAAAACCACCGTAGGGACCACAGGAGCTCTGCCAAGTGAGCCAGTGATGCCCTGGAATTCGGTGACCCTGGGACTCCCTTGTCACTGGCGCCCTTACGAGGTATGATGCATTTCCAAATAGAGAAATTATACAAAGAGAAGCAACATAAAAAGTGTTTCACTAAGCAATTCATAGAGGACTGTTTATTACGGTGTCTCTTTTAAAATAAATATTATGATTTTGTTCTTTACCAGAACAAATACCTTCTAAATATTTGCCCAAATAGTACTTTTCTGTCTCCCAGGCTTGGGAACGTTGAGCGCAGAGACATAGCCATGCTGCGTGGAGGACGGTGCCTGTCGCTTGGCCCCCTCCTCATCCCAAGGCCCTGGGGACATAGGCCATTTAGAACCACAGTGTCACATAATTGCAGAGTGGGAATGATGGGGGGGAAGACAAAGTTTGGAAAGGAAAAAAGGTAGGCAGGAGGAAGTAGCCCTGGGGCCATGGTTCACAGAAAGGCGAGTCCTGCCAGCCCCGCAGTGCCTTAATTATGGATGTGTCCTCACAGCTCCGCCTCAGCCACCGAGGCTGCCCACCTCATCTTCACCCTCACAGCTCAGCCTCAGCCACAGCCACCGAGGCCACCCACCTCGTCTTCACCCTCACAGCTCTGCCCGAGCCACCGGGGCCGCCCACCTCATCTTCACCCTCACAGCTCAGCCTCAGCCACCGAGGCCGCCCACCTCGTCTTCACCCTCACAGCTCAGCCTCAGCCACCGAGGCCGCCCACCTCATCTTCACCCTCACAGCTCAGCCTCAGCCACCGATGCCGCCCACCTCGTCTTCACCCTCACAGCTCCGCCTCAGTCACAGCCACCGAGGACGCCCACCTCGTCTTCACCCTCACAGCTCCGCCTCAGCCACCGAGGCCGCCCACCTCGTCTTCACCCTCACAGCTCAGCCTCAGCCACCGAGGCCGCCCACCTCGTCTTCACCCTCACAGCTCCGCCTCAGTCACCGAGGCCGCCCACCTCGTCTTCACCCTCACAGCTCCGCCTCAGCCACCGAGGCCGCCCACCTCGTCTTCACCCTCACAGCTCTGCCCGAGCCACCGAGGCCGCCCACCTCATCTTCACCCTCACAGCTCCGCTACAGTCGCAGCCACCGAGGACGCCCACCTCGTCTTCACGGCAGCCCAGTGCAGCACGGCTCCTTCTCTGCGGCCCTTGGTGCCTCTCCCATTCGCATCCTGCATCCTTACAGCAAGGCTTGTCCTGGCAGCTGGTGTCATCTGCACACCCCCTGCTCCCACCTTCTGCTGAAGCCTTGACCTTTCCAAGTGTGGCCCAGGGACCCTCAGCCTCAGCATTGCCCGTTCAGAATGCAGAGTGCCAGGCCCACCCTGGAGCTCAGGAACGGGGTCTGGGTGCAGACAGGACTCAGTGGCTGTGGTGCCTGGAAGCCAGCAGCTTGGCTGTGAGAGCCTCTGACATCCCAGGTCCATGCCCGCTGGTGCCGTCCCGTCCCACTGCTCTTCCCAAAACGCTGAGCTCTACTCCCAGCTCTGTCAAACTCGAGTCCCCCTGGAAGCTCCAGCCCCAAGACAACTCTGAGAGAATTCCTGCAGCTGCCTGGGCTGGACTAAGCATGCCTGCCCATGCCCCAGTGACCCTTCACTCTTTAGTCCATCATGGCCCGACCCTGTCTCAGAACAATTACCCCGGAATCACCAGGGTGAGGACTTCATTGGTACGTGTAAAAACCTCCCTGGCAATAGGAGGCTCAGCTGGGCTGAGAACTGTGCTGTGTGGTCAGCGTGATCATATAAGTGACTTTCCCCATCAGGGGAAGATGAGAGGAAAGAGAACAGGAATTAATAATCATTAGGCCGGGATGACAGGCACGAGGCATTCCCAGAGCTGCTCTGGGGGGCCGGGATGTGCCGTCCCTGACCCGTGCTGAGCCTCCCCATCACAGCCTACAGCTCTCAGAACATGCGTCAGCTTTTAAACCAGACTTTGCGTGACCTAAGGACACAGACTTTGCTTCCTTGAAGGCCCAGCAGCGGCTGCATGTTTGACCCACTGTAGAGACATCTGAAATGTGACATGCTATTATGGGTCAGGATCAACATTAGAATCCAGGCTTTCTCCAAATCTTTCCATGGCCGGATCAGGGCAATGATTGATGTCATGCATTGATTTTTGCACGCAGTGAGGGGAACGGGAATGCAGAACAAAAATGTTGGGTCTCCAAGTGAAAAAAGTACATTTAAAAACAATAGCAAAGAACTATCAAAGTCTTCAAGATAGTTGCTCAGAAGTATTAAATTTATTTAGCCGTATTATTTTGTGGGTGATAGTGTTTGTTTGAGTACATAAGCAAGTGGACCTAATAGACATCTACAGAACTCTCCACCCCAAATCAACAGAATATACATTTTTTTCAGCACCACACCACACCTATTCCAAAATTGACCACATAGTTGGAAGTAAAGCTCTCCTCAGCAAATGTAAAAGAACAGAAATTATAACAAACTGTCTCTCAGACCACAGTGCAATCAAACTGGAAGTCAGGACTAAGAAACTCACTCAAAACCACTCAACTACATGGAAACTGAACCACCTGCTCCTGAATGACTACTAGGTACATAATAAAATGAAGGCAGAAATAAAGATGTTCTTTGAAACCAACGAGAACAAAGACACAACATACCAGAATCTCTGGGACACATTCAAAGCAGTGTGTAGAGGGAAATTTACCGCACTAAATGCCCACAAAAGAAAGCAGGAAAGATCCAAAATCAACACCCTAATGTCACAATTAAAACAACTAGAAAAGCAAGAGCGAACACATTCAAAAGCTAGCAGAAGGCAAGAAATAACTAAAATCAGAGCAGAACTGAAGGAAATAGAGACACAAAAAACCCTTCAAAAAATTAATGAATCCAGGAGCTGGTTTTTTGAAAAGATCAACAAAATAGATAGACTGCTAGCAAGACTAATAAAGAAGAAAAGAGAGAAGAATCAAATAGATGCAATAAAAAAAGATAAAGGGGATATCACCACCGATCCCACAGAAATACAAACTACCATCAGAGAATACTACAAACACCTCTACGTATATAAACTAGAAAATCTAGAAGAAATGGATAAATTCCTCAACACATACACTGTCCCAAGACTAAACCAGGAAGAAGTTGACTCTCTGAATAGACCAGTAACAGGCTCTGAAATTGTGGCAATAATCAATAGCTTACCAACCAAAAAAAGTCCAGGACCAAATGGATTCACAGCCGAATTCTACCAGAGGCACAAGGAGAAGCTGGTAACATTCCTTCTGAAACTATTCCAATCAATAGAAAAAGATGGAATCCTCACAAACTCATTTTATGAGGCCAGCATCATTCTGATACCAAAGCCGGGCAGAGACACAACCGAAAAAGAGAATTTTAGACCAATATCCTTGATGAGCATTGATGCAAAAATCCTCAATAAAATACTGGCAAACCGAATCCAGCAGCACATCAAAAAGCTTATCCACCATGATCAAGTGGGCTTCATCCCTGGGATGCAAGGATGGTTCAACATATGCAAATCAATAAATGTAATCCAGCATATAAACAGAACCAAAGACAAAAACCACATGATTATCTCAATAGATGCAGAAAAGGCCTTTGACAAAATTCAACAACCTTCATGCTAAAAACTCTCAATAAATTAGATGGGATGTATCCCAAAATAATAAGAGCTATCTATGACAAACCCACAGGCAATATTATACTGAATGGGCAAAAACTGGAAACATTCTCTTTGAAAACTGGCACAAGACAGGGATGCCCTCTCTCACCACTCCTATTCAACCTAGTGCTGGAAGTTCTGGCCAGGGCAATTAGGCAGGAGAAGGAAATAAAGGGTATTCAATTAGGAAAAGAGGAAGTCAAATTGTCCCTCTTTGCAGACGACATCATTGTATATCTAGAAAACCCCATTGTCTCAGCCCAAAATCTCCTTAAGCTGATAAGCAACTTCAGCAAAGTCTCAGGATACAAAATCAATGTACAAAAATCACAAGCATTCTTATACACCAATAACAGGCAAACAGAGAGCCAAATCATGAGTGAACTCCCATTCATAATTGCTTCAAAGAGAATAAAATACCTAGGAATCCAACTTACAAGGGATGTGAATGACCTCTTTAATGAGAACTAAAAACCACTGCTCAATGAAATAAAAGAGGATACAAAGAAATGAAACAACATTCCATGATCATTGGTAGGAAGAATCAATATTGTGAAAATGGCCATACTGCCCAAGGTAATTTATACATTCAATGCCATCCCCATCAAGCTACCAATGACTTTCTTCACAGAATTGGAAAAAACTACTTTAAAGTTCATATGGAACCAAAAAAGAGCCCGCATCGCCAAGTCAATCCTAAGCCAAAAGAACAAAGCTGGAGGCATCACACTACCTGACTTCAAACTATACTACAAGGCAACAGTAACCAAAACAGCATGGTACTGGTACCAAAACAGAGCTATAGATCAATGGAACAGAACAGAGCCCTCAGAAATAATGCCACATATCTACAACCATCTGATCTTTGACAAACCTGACAAAAATAAGCAATGGGGAAAGGATTCCCTATTTAATAAATGGTGCTGGGAAAACTGGCTAGCCATATGTAGAAAGCTGAAACTGGATCCCTTCCTTACACCTTATACAAAAATTAATTCAAGATCGATTAAAGACTTACATGTTAGACCTAAAACCATAAAAACCCTAGAAGAAAACCTAGGCAATACCATTCAGGACATAGGCATGGGCAAGGACTTCATGTCTAAAACACCAAAAGCAATGGCAACCAAAGCCAAAATTGACAAATGGGATCTAATTAAACTCAAGAGCTTCTGCACAGCAAAAGAAACTACCATCAGAGTGAACAGGCAACCTACAAAATGGGAGAAAATTTTTGCAACCTACTCATCTGACAAAGGGCTAATATCCAGAATCTACAATGAACTCAAACAAATTTACAAGAAAAAAAGCAAACGACCCCATCAAAAAGTTGGTGAATGATATGAACAGACACTTCTCAAAAGAAGACATTTATGCAGCCAAAAACCACATGAAAATATGCTCATCATCACTGGCCATCAGAGAAATGCAAATCAAAACCACAGTGAGATACCATCTCACACCAGTTAGAATGGCAATCATTAAAAAGTCAGGAAACAACAGGTGCTGGAGAGGATGTGGAGAAATAGGAACACTTTTACACTGTTAGTGGGACTGTAAATTAGTTCAACCATTGTGGAAGTCAGTGTGGCAATTCCTCAGGGATCTAGAACTAGAAATACCATTTGACCCAGCCATCCCATTACTGGGTATATACCCAAGGGATTATAAATCATGCTGCTATAAAGACACGTGCACGCGTGTGTTTATTGCGGCACTATTCACAATAGCAAAGACTTGGAACCAACCCAAATGTCCAACAACGATAGACTGGATTAAGAAAATGTGGCACATATACACCATGGAATACTATGCAGCCATAAAAAATGAAGAGTTCATGTCCTTTGTAGGGACATGGATGAAACTGGAAACCACCATTCTCAGCAAATTATTGCAAGGACAAAAAACCAAACACTGCATGTTCTCACTCATAGGTGGGAATTGAACAAATTAGAAGACTTGGACACAGGAAGGGGAACATCACACTCTGGGGACTGTTGTGGGGTGGGGGGAGGGGGGAGGGATAGCATTAGGAGATATACCTAATGCTAAATGACGAGTTAATGGGTGCAGCACACCAGCATGGCACATGTATACATGTATAACAAACCTGCACATTGTACACATGTACCCTAAAACTTAGAGTATAATAATAATTAAAAAAAAAAAAAAGAATGATCTGGCTGGGCGCGGTGGCTCATGCCTGTAATCCCAGCACTTTGGGAGGCCGAGGTGGGTGGATCACAAGGTCAAGAGATCAAGATCATTCTGGCTAACACGGTGAAACCCTGTCTCTACTAAAAATACAAAAATTAGCTGGGCATGGGGCACACGCCTATAATCCCAGCTACTCGGGAGGCAGTAGAATTGCCTGAATTGGAAGACGGTGGTTGCAGTCAGCCGAGGTCACGCCACTGCACTCCAGCCTGAGTGACAAGAGTGAAACTACGTCTCAAAAAAAAAAAAAAAAAAAAAAAGAATGACCTGGCTCAAAGCATGATCATGAAATGCCTACTATGCCTACTACAGGAGTAAGCAGGGGAGAAAGGGGACTGCAGATGGTGACACTGAGTCAAAATCATGGGACCATCAACCTGGAAATGGGGAAAGAAGACCCTGAAGGAGGGATGATGGAGAAGGAGGTGGAGGGAGGGTTCTCGGAATCACGGAGCATTGTCAATGTGCTCTTTGAAGGATCAGGCACACTGTCTCTTTCTCTCTTAAAAAATTCCATAAGAAATGCAAAGACCCACCATGCAAATGAAGGCAGATGAAAGACATCAAACAAAACAAGGTTAGGGAAGGCCTTAAATATGGAAATATTGTAGACACTGACCTCCAGAAATGAAGAAAGCCACAATGTCCCTTTTCAGTAGCAATTTGAGTATTTGGTAGTGTTGTTAACAGTTAAAAACTCTAATACCGTGTAAGTGCCCATTAATATGGAGTTGGTTAAGCAAATTATATTTCAGCCATAGTATTGAAGACGATGATATTGAGACGGGTGCAGTGACTCATGCCTATAATCCCAGAGCTGTGGGAGGCCAAGGCAACAGGATCGCTTGAGGCCAGGAGTTCAAGGCTGTAGTGAGCTATGATCGCGCCACTGCACTCCAGCCTGGGCAACGGAGAGAGACAAAAAGCACTGGAGCTTAAGGTAGAGGGAGGTGTAGGGAGAGCATGGTTTTTTTCCTCCATCCACATATTCAGCATGAGTACAATGATCATGAACACTGGAAAACTCATAATTGGCATGCTTCTGACAGTCCTAGAAAGCTTAAGTCACAGCTCTGTCTTGTTATAGAGCTAAAGTTATTGCTTTTAATCAATGAAGGCTTTTGTTTTTTATCAGTACCACTTCCAAGTCACTCACCCTGAACATTTTAGCCATGAGACATGGTTTGGCTGTGTCCCTGCCCAAATCTCATCTTGAATTGTAATAATCCCCACGTGTCAAGGGTGGGGCCAGGTGGAGATAATTGAATCACGAGGGCAGTTTCCCCCATACTCTTCTCATGGTAGTAAGTCTCACTAGATTTGATGATTTTATAAAGGGCAGTTCCCCTGCACAAGCCGTCTTCTCTGCCACCATGTAAGATGTGACTTTGCTGCTCATTCACCTTCTGCCATGATCGTGAGGCCTCCCCAGCCGTGTGGAACTGTGAGTCCATTAAACCTCTTTCCTCTATAAATTACCCAGTCTCAGGTTTGTCTTTATTAGCAGGGTGAGAACAGACGAATACACCACGCCACCCCTCTCTTGCAGGAGAAGACTGAGGGATGTGAGAATATATTCATGAAGCATTAAGTGAAACTGGCAGAAATAAACCCATGTACAGCCGCTAGAGGGAAGGCTGGAAGTATTAACATCCAAATGTTACCCGCGATTATCTCTGGGCAGTGGAGGGAAGGCTGGAAGTATTAACATCCAAATGTTACCCGCGATTATCTCTGGGCAGTGGAGGGAAGGCTGGAAGTATTAACATCCAAATGTTACCTGCGATTATCTGTGGGCGGTGGAGGGAAGGCTGGGCGCTGGGATTATATGTCAATATCTTTTCATGTTGATCTATGTTTTCTAAGTTTTTCTGTAATGATTATGACTTTCATAACATAAAACTTTTCATGTTTTTTTAACTACATACTTTCCATGTATTTGCAGTATTAAAATGATAATGTAACTAAGGGTTGTCTAACAAAGAGAAATGCACTAAATGTTAAAAGAATGATAAAGTTAATTTTAAAATCTTAACTACAAGAGCTTCCATAAGTACGTAAGCAAATAAGTTTTGCTTGCTTTCAGAACTCGTGTTTACGGTAAAAGATGTAAGCAAATTTATGTCATACAAATAGCTAGACTCAGGATCCTGTGGTTTACAGGACAATCCCAGTGGCTGAACCCACAGCAGCCTAGAGGGTCTATGCCTGGATCCGTCTCCCCCAGTGGCTGAACCCCCAGCAGCCTGGTGGGTCTATGCCCGGATCCGTCTCCTCCAGTGGCTGAACCCACAGCAGCCTGGCGGGTCTATGCCCGGATCCGTCTCCTCCAGTGGATGAACCCACAGCAGCCTGGCGGGTCTATGCCCGGATCCGTCTCCTCCAGTGGCTGAACCCACATCAGCCTGGCGGGTCTATGCCCCGATCCGTCTCCCCCAGTGGCTGAACCCACAGCAGCCTGGCGGGTCTATGCCCGGATCCGTCTCCCCCAGTGGCTGAACCCACAGCAGCCTGGCGGGTCTATGCCCGGATCCGTCTCCCCCAGTGGCTGAACCCCCAGCAGCCTGGCGGGTCTATGCCCGGATCCGTCTCCTCCAGTGGCTGAACCCACAGCAGCCTGGCGGGTCTATGCCCGGATCCGTCTCCTCCAGTGGCTGAACCCACAGCAGCTTGGCGGGTCTATGCCTGGATCCATCTCCCCCAGTGGCTGAACCCATCAGCAGCCTGGCAGGTCTATGACTGGATCCATCTCCTTCTCCAGTGGCTGAACCCACAGCAGCCTGGCGGGTCTATGCCTGGGTCCGTCTCCCCCGGTGGCTGAACCCATCAGCAGCCTGGCAGGTCTATGCCTGGATCCATCTCCTCCTCCAGTGGCTGAACCCACAGCAGCCCAGAGGGTCTATGCCTGGATCTGTCTCCTAGCCAGGTCAGAGGAGACACATGCTCACTCTGTTGCTCCTGAGTTTAGTAAGGTGCCCTCTGGGTCTGTGTGCACAGTTCCCCTTAGAAACTGGTCACGCTCTTCCTGTGTTAGTTTGCTGAGGATCATGGTTTCCAGCTCCATCCCTGTCCCTGCAAAATACATGATCTTGTCCCTTTTCATGGCCGCATAGTATTCCATAGTGTATATGGACCACATTGATAGGTGCAGCAACCCTGTGGAGCATGTTTACCTACGTAACAAACCTGCATGTCCTGCACATCCCAGAACTTTAAATTAAATTAAATTAAATAAAAAAAAAAAAACTGGTCAAGCTGTTGAAAGCCCACTCTCACAAGCTGAGAGGGCAAATTTCACATCCAACAGTGATGCTAAATATGAGTTTTACTTTTTTTTTTTTTTTTTTTGAGATGGAGTCTATGTTGCCCAGGCTGGAGTGCAGTGGTGTGATCTCGGCTCACTGCAAACTCCGCCTCCTGGGCTCAAGCGATTCTCCTGCCTCAGCCTCCTGAGTAGCTGGGACCACAGGTGCCCACCAACACGCCTGGCTAATTTTTGTACTTTTAGTAGAGACGGGGTTTCACCATGTTTGCCAGGATGGTCTTGATCTCTTGACCTTGTGATCTGCCCACCTCGGCCTCCCAAAGTGCTGTGATTACAGGAGTGAGCCACCATGCCCGGCCAAGTTCTACTTTAAATGGGGCCTTAGGTTGATCGCTCTCAGAAACAGTGAACAATTAACAAAAGTAGGGGCGTGAAGACATTTCTATTATTTAAGAAGCACAGACATAAGTAACGTAATTTTATGCAATTTTAAAATACAACGATAAGCAGTATATACATAATTAAATCTGCCAGAATTTATGAAAACTCAGGATGCATTTTAATGAAAAGATTAACACTGAATAAATATTGCACATCAATTATATTAATACATCTCTTTGTTTAGATAATACTTCCTCAAAACTGCATTTCTTGGAGCTTTTTATTCTGGGATTATGTTTCGAACATAGACTTTTCCCTTCAGCATCTTTTCTGCCTTGAAAACACAACCACAAATGTTTCATTTTTCTATGTATGCCCCTACCATTTGGCTGGAAAACCCGTGCTGGGAGGGTTTCATGTAGACTTACGTGCTTTTGCATTAAATTTGTTTTTATAAAAGATATTTCAGAAGACAGTCCTCCAAACTTGGCATGAAAGTAGCAGTTTAGGATGTCCTAAAACAGCCCTGGGCACTCCAGAGAGTTCCGTGGTTGCTGGAATATAAAAAGAGCCATTTGTCCTCATAAGCTGGGCAGTGCCCAGCCTCATCTGCAGGTTCATCTGCCACGAGCGCTTGCCTCCACCAATGTCGGGGTTGCTTCTCTGTAAAGAGACACCAAGGGCCCTTCAGGACCCAGAGGGCGGCTCACCCGACAATCCACGCTCAGCCGGTCACTAGTTCAGCAGGATTTTTATTCAGGAGAGCCCATGAGTCTTCTAAAATTTCTGCCGTTTTCCCCCTTTAGTCTTAGATTTGTGTCATAGCAAATGTGCATTGTGTAACATTTGCACGGCTAACAGATTCCACTCAGACTCTCTGGGTTTTCTCTCTGCTGGCTCAAGAGCTTCTAGTGTTTCTCTGCATTCGGGCAGGGTGGGCCGTGCACTCGCAGCGGAGTGCCTGTGTGCCATCCAGCTGGTTTTACACCTGTATATTTACATTCACTTTTGAAACGTAACGCAAAATTCAATGTATAAAATATTGACTCCATTTCCCACGTGAGTCCATTTTAATGTTAAATTCAATAAACTGTAACACCCTGAATTTAAAAGTATGCTAAAGGAGAACTTGAACTCAAAATAGATACCCGATTTATACCACAATTTAGGGCTATGTCTGTTTTATATTTGGTGGAAGTTGTATCAGGGTCTTTTCTCCCCTTACTTTAACAGACTTCCTTTTTTTCTTCTTAAAATGAAGAGGAGTAAAATCTCACATTTCTGCTTTCTAGAATAATGGGACCTGAGAGGTAGCTGAGCTCAGAGGTTGAGAAGAGTCTTTAAACCACATCTGTATCTTTACATCCTCACTCTATCACTTACTAGAGTGTGGCTCTGGTGACTTGCACATCATAGGTGCTCAAATATCAAAATATACTGTGACCTTAATAAAAACTCCGTTCACTGTCATTGTCTAGGGATGAGGACATTCAGCCCATCAACAGTCTCATGTCTCTTCACACAAGAGGCCTCCAGAGCAAGCACCTCACTATGCAACATCTCTGCCCTCAAATGCCAGGCCCTGTGTGCACACGTGGCTCATCGGAAGCAGTCTGGGGGATGGTGGGGAGAGGGTGGGCACATGTGGCTCATCCAAAGCAGCCTAGGGGATGGCGGGAAGAAGGTGAGCAGGAGACATACTGCTCACGTTGCCGTTTCAGTTTCGAGACCCTGTCTCTCTGCGCACTCCGTCCTTCTGCCTGCAACGTTCTATTTGTCTAGAAAAAAAGGAAGGAAAGTGACTGGAGACCGTGTTGCCGTGGGACTGAGCGAGGCCCACGTTAGGATCTCAGCTCAGCAACATAGCCACTGTGGGCCTCTGATGACAGGGCTGAGCCCTGGAGCCCTGGTCAGCAAGGCTGGGCAGCAGGTCCTGCTGCGTGGGCTCCCGTGAGGAACTAGAGAGGACACGCAGAGGCTCCGGAGGGCACAGGGTACACGGCAGGACCGTGGCAATGACTGTGCTGTCATTATCCACCTCTAGCTCCCACAGACAGCGCGAAGCTTCCTCCTAAAACCCCCACAGCGTCTGTCCCTCCTTCCCTTCCCTCTTCCATCAGAACCCGGCTGCCACGTGCTGTTCAGTCCTGGCGCCGGTGACCATGCTCCTGCCTCTGGAGGGGAGGGGCTGGGCGGACTATGCTTTTCATTCATTCTCTTAAATTCTCAGCACTTAACGCTCCACGTGGCTCCATAAATCATTAGGGAGGATAAAGTCACCACTTTCTCAGCCCAGCATGTGCGTTCTCTCCTCTCCCATTTACACTCGTCTGACTCTACACTGAAGCTTTGTTTCTTCATAAGCTTCATAAAACATAAGCTTTGTTTCTTCATAAGAAGCTATTATAAAGTGGCCAATCTTATTTTAACAAAATGTTCCTATTTTCATGCTTCACAATTGTGAACGTGCTTTTTTCTAGTAAAAAAAATGAAGGAGAAGGTGAATATTACGATATTGGTATTACAGCCCATTCCACTTCCAACCAGATTCTGCTCAGGAAACATTTGTGGATGGCAGTTTCCATAGCAACCAGCAACATATCTTTAGAGCCTGCTGCCGCCTCCATTCTAAGAATTTCGTTGTTATCACAGTCTGTGCATGCGGAAGTGATTTTCTGATGAAGTGTGTATTGTGATAGATCAAATCCTGCCCTTGGAGGAGAAAACTCTGGCGAGTGTTGCCCGGCTTTTTCTCCATGTATAAAATAGTTCTCGGTTCTTTCCTCACTGCTAGTTTCACTAAAATATTTTCGATATCAGCCATTCTTTTGAAAAGAAAAAAATTACTTAGTCAAAAGCTAGTGGTGAGTCACCACTTACATACGTATGGTGGTTTTTTTTAAAAAAGCCACAGCTCTTTGGGCCTTGTTACTGTTAAGTTAAATTAGCAATTTTATTCTTTGGAAAAACTCCCTTAGCAACGCACTAAAATGGCCTCCTAAGCAGCGAATCTGATGAGATTTAAGACCAAAACGCTAACTGTAACTGGTCTTCTGGTTTTAATTCTCAGTAATGGAAAGACCCCTTACCCTTCCTCATATCCATGACATGGTTGGGGGAGGAAACTGGGATGGGGAAAGACTTCAAAGTCTGAGACACACTCTATTTAAAATGCATTTTAAAAGAACCAGGTGGCTAGCGCTGGTTGCCCCTCGTAACCACACCCACACGATGGGAGCACTTCCTCCGGCACTTCCTGAGACAGGAGTACTGACTTCTGGGGACCAGCAGGTGTTTCTGAAGTGAAAACAGCCCACAACTCGAGAAATCCTCTATACCAAATTTTAACTTAGGCCTCTTTTCCTACTTTGGTTTTTATTTTATTCATTTTATTTTTTTGAGATGGAGTTTTGCTCTTGTCGCCCAGGCTGGAGTGCAGTGGTGCAATCTCGGTTCACTGCAACCTCCATCTCCAGGGTTCAAGCAATTCTCCTGTCTCAGCCTCCCGAGTAGCTGGGATTACAGGCACATGACATCACGCCCGGCTAATTTTTTTTTTTTTTTTTTTTTTTTTTTTGTATTTTTAGTAGAGACGGGGTTTCACAATGTTGGTCAGGCTAGTCTCGAACTCCTGACCTCAAATGATCCACCTGCCTTCGCCTCCCAAAGTGCTGGGATTACAGGCATGAGCCACCAGCCGGTGATATTTATTTTTAATGTATAAACTGATGCATATTTACAGAAAAAAAGCTGATGGAGGGGAAATAACTTTTCCTCACACAATTAGGAATCACAAAAGGAATTAATTCACCACTCAGATAGCGTTCTGTGTGCTCTGATCCATCCATCCACGTGAACTAAGGTGTTCCAGGAGGTTAGGTCGATGTCAGAACCTGCTCAGAAATTTGGTAAAATAGCGCTTCACCGAAAACATCGTCTTACGCTACAAACCAGTGGGGTTCTACGTTCCATCATTACAAGTAATAAGTACAGTCATGTGCCACTTAATGAGGGGGCACATTCAGAGAAATGTAAGGTGGCCTCGTGGTTGTGTGAGCATTGTGGAGCGCACTGATACAAACCCGCATGGCTTCGCGCCTGCATGCCTGGGCTGAACGGAGACCCGGATGGCGTCACCCTTACGCGCCTGGGCTGAACGCAGACCCGGATGGCGTCACCCTTACGCGCCTGGGCTGAACGCAGACCCGGATGGCATCACCCTTACGCGCCTGGGCTGAACGCAGACCCGGATGGCGTCACCCCTACGCGCCTGGGCTGAACGGAGACCCGGATGGCGTCACCCCTACGCGCCTGGGCTGAACGCAGACCCGGATGGCGTCACCCCTACGCGCCTGGGCTGAACGCAGACCCGGATGGCGTCACCCTTACGCGCCTGGGCTGAACGCAGACCCGGATGGCGTCGCCCCTACACGCCTGGGCCGAACGGCATAGGCCTCCTGCTCCCAGGCTGCACCTGCACAGCGTGTGACTGCACTGAAGACTGTAGAAAACTGTAACACAGGGGTAAGAAGTTGTGTATCTCAACATGTCTCCACATAGAAAAGCTACAGTAAAAATATGGTACAAAAGGTTAAAAATGGTACGTCTGCAGAGGACACTCACCATGAATGGAACTTGCAGAACCGGAAGCTGCTCTGGGTGAGCGGGTGAGTGGGTGGGTGAATGGGTAAGTGGGTGAGTGAATGGGTGAGTGGGGAGTGAATGCGCGGCCCGAGACATCACTGTATGCTACTGTAGACTCTACACACACTGCAAACTTGGGCTACATTCAATTTTCAAAAAATACTTTTCATTCCTCAATAATAAGTTAACCTTAGCATACTGTGATGGTTAATATGGAGTGTCAACCTGATTGGATTGAAGGATGCAAAGTATTGTCCTGGGTTGTCTGTGAGGGTGTTTCCAAAGGAGATTAACACTGGAGTCAGTGGGCTGGGAGAGGCAGACCCACCCTCAGTCTGGGTGGGCACCATCTATTCGGCTGCCAGCACGGCTAGGATAGAAGCAGGCAGAGGAAGGTGGAAGGACTGGACTGGCTGAGTCTTCCAGCCTCCATGTTTCTCCCATGCTGGATGCCTCCTGCCCTTGAACATCAGACTCCAAGTTCTTCAGCTTTTGGACTCTTGGACTCACACCAGTGGTTTGCCCGGGGCTCTCAGGCCTTTGGCCACAGACTGAAGGCTGCACTGCCGGCTTCCCTGCTTTTGAGGTTTTGGGCCTCGGACTGGCTTCCTGGTTCCTCAGCTTGCAGACGGCTTGTGGTGGGAGTTCACCTTGTGGTTGTGAGTCAATTCTCCTCAATAAACTCCCTTTCATATATACACCTATCCTATTAGTCCTGTCCCTCTAGAGAACCCAGACTCATACACACACTGTAACTCTTGTACTTTATTTTATTTTTAAAACTGTTTGACTCTCTTGTAAGGCTGAGCTTAAAACACAAATGCATTGTACAGCTGTACAAATATTTTTCTTTATATTCTTATTCTATAACCCTTTTACTATTTTTAATCTTTAATTTTTAAATTTACTTTTTAAACTCTCTTGTTAAGCACTAAGACCCAAAAACACATCAGCCTCTACCTGCGCAGGGTCAGGACTGTCGATATCACCATCTTCCAGCTTCACTTCCTGTCCCACTGTTAGGACTTAAGGGGCAGTGGCGGTGACAGACGTGGAGCTGCCATCGCCTACGACCACAGTGCCTTCTTCCGGACACCTCCTGAAGGACTGGCCCAGGGCTCTTTACAGATAATGGTTTTCCACAAGCAGAAGGAGCGCACTCTAAAATAATAATGAAACGTACAGTATCCCAGATGCATAAACCAGCAACATGGTCGTCTGTCAGCACCATCACAAGATGCACTGCGCATCCCTCTACGGCTACACTTCCGTACGGTGGCTGCACAGGGGGTTTCTCTACCAGGGTAAGTCACACGTGAGTCATGCATTGTGACGGCTATGAGGTCACTGGACAGTAGGAGTCTTCCAGCTGATGATAATCTTACAGGGCCACCGCTGCACCTGCAGTTTGTCTTTGACTGAAACACCCGTGTGCGGTGCGTGATGTAGTCAAAGCGCCGGTGTGGGAGGTTATAAAGCCCTTGCCTGCTTCCGATGGATGGCACTTAACTCACATTTATTCTTACAAAAAGGCTTTGTTGCCCTCATTCCACTACCACCCCAAAATCTACAAAAGCTGCTCAAGTCACACAGCTAATGTGGAAGATCTGGGGCTTAAACCCAAATATCCCCAAACTGTGCTTGTTCACAAAATACAAGAGGACACAGTAGGCCCGAGTAGGTTGGAAGGGCCCTGGGTCCCTAAGCTTCCAGGAGCAATAAGGACGGCGGAGCCAAAGTGACCATTGAAATGTTGGCAAAGCTCAAGTTTTAGGAAGAATAACACAGAGTACTGAATGTTGTACATCTGGATCCACAAGATCAAGAGTCCAGGGCCAGAGGCATGTGACATGCAGACCAGGCACGCCCATTCCTGCATCAAAGCCCAGTGATAAGAAGGATGATGATACCATGGAGGAGGGAGGGGAGGAAGGATGAAGGGAGGAGGAAGGAACGATAATGCATGTTACTCATGTTCACGGAGCATTTTCTGTTTCTCAAAATGCCAATGACGGCCGGGCACAGTGGCTCAAGCCTGTAATCCCAGCACTTTGGAAGACAAAGGCTGGAAGATTGCCTGAGTCTGGAGTTCGAGATCAGCCAGGGCAACATAGTGACACCCCATCTCTACTAAAACACAAAAATTAGCCTGGTGTGGTGGCGCACGCCTGTAGTCCCAGCTACTCGGGAACTTGAAGTGGGAGGATTGCTTGAGCCCAGGAGGTTGAGCCTGCAGTGAGCCAAGATTGTACCACTGCCCTCCAGGCTGGGAAACAGAGTGAGACACTGTCTCAAAAAAAAAACCCAAAACCCAAAATGCTGACACTCCCGGGAGGTAGCTCAGTGACCCAGTGGTGGGTGTGGCAGGATGCTAAGGGCTCTCTCTTACACAGGAGATGGGCCAGGCAGGTGGAGTGCTTGCTGTCTGCACGTGAGGCTACTTCCCACATGGCTCTTCCACCTGGTGTCTCCTGTCAGCCTCCTGGGTCACTCAAGGACCCCATCTCTGCAGACTCAGATAATCTGCAGGAAAACGGAACGAGATTTCCTCAGGGCCAGTCTGAGAATCCACATTTACCAAGATGAAACCCACCCAGAAAGAGAGAGCGGCTGAGCTGCTGACGGTCATATTAATCCTCCAATGCGAAACCCTCAGCCCTGCGGCCACGTCTCCATGCTCCACCTGCAAAGCAGCCACGCCCATAGCACAGAGCCTCATTCAGCGCCATTTCTGGGACTTCGCAAAAACACTTTCTTGCAGGGCATGGAGAGGCTTAGTGAGATGCCCAAGTCCCTTCTTTCTCTCCAATAACATTTACATAAAGAATCTTGGCTTGTGGTTTGCAAAGAGGTGTTATTCTCGGTTTCTGAGAGTGTAAGGACCCCAGGGACCATGGACAGCACTGGATTCCATGTGCATCATGGAGAAATTTAGAACAAATAAGCAGAGGTTTATACCATTTAATAAAAATTTGGATTCCTACAAATATGACCTGCTCAGCTGTCAACACAATATCTGAACTCTCCTAGCAAAAAAAAAAAAAAAAAAAAAAGCCAGTTTTGCCTCATCTGTGTATTTATCTTCAGTGTCTAGCAAAACTCCAGGCACCTAACCAGTGTTCAGTGGTTTGCCAAATGTGTGTTTGTGGATACAGAAAAAATTCCAAGTCGGTCAGCTGCGTTGGCTGCCCAGTGTCCGACTGTGCACCTTATTGATTAGGACTATTCTTCAAATGTGTCATCCAGCTCGAGGACCTACTCGGGTGGGCTCACCAGACAGCACCATCTGTACACTTGCACACCACAGCAGCCTCACGGGCTCAGCAGCAAGCACCTTTGCAAAAAGACCTTTCTAAACCACGTGGTTTGGGTGCTTGGGCCTGGCCACCGCAGCGGGTGCCTGGCAGGACCAACCCCTCCTGTTTGTGCTACACGTAGGCCATGCACTCCTAGGACTGGATGCCCCTGACGGCCACAGCTGGACCAGTACAGGGGTTGTTTCGGAACATGTAGAGCAGAGAGCTGGATGGGTTCTGTTGCCAGAGGCACAGGAAGCATCTTCAGTGACTTATTTTCAAGGTAAGCTCCTTCAAGAGTTCATGGAACCCAAGTCCCGCACGTTCCTGGAGGGGCTTTGGGCTCATGGCGGGGGCTTCCTCCCCTGCTGACTCCCACCCACACACTGGGGACGTGTGGCTCGGCAAGGGAGTCCCAAAGCCTATGTTAAGTGCCCTGGGACTAAAACTTGGCAGAATCATGAGGAGAGCAGACTGTGGGGGTCACCTCCATGGAGGTCCAGCCGCCTGTGAGTCCTGGAGCAGTCAGCAGCACAGCGGGCCCTGGGTCTTCCATGCAACTCCGCGCCTCGATGCTCGCCATTCCCAGGGTCTCTGGTCTCTGGGGACGCCCCCAGCTCGGCCAGTCTGTGTCAGGACCCAAGTCACCGGGGTCCAGTGTGTCTGGACCAGGCGACTCCCGCTGAACCTGGTTTAATCCAAACACGCGATCGCGGGAATCACCCGTAACCTGCATGCTGGCAGGTCATGGAGGTCCCCAGAGGCCCTGGCATCTCACCAGCCAAATTCACAGCATGCCGACATGACAGACACAGAAGAGAACAGCTCAGGGCCAGTGCCTTCAATATGAAAATGTCAAATGTGTTTTTACAATTAACTTAAAAGGCCTTGACTTTCTAGAACTACAACTACAAAAGACAAAGTTTCATAAATTCCACACCCTGGACTCCCTCGCCCATCTCTTTTGTCTCCTCTCCCCAGTCAACAATTTCAGTGGCAATTTCAAGACAATATGCCCCATGAATCTTTATGGGAAAATGACAAATAAACATTTAGACAGGACTGTGGCTTCCTTGGTTGGGCTAATCCCCAGATTCTAACTTCTTTCAGTTAAGTGGATGTTTCATCCCCTCTACCATTATTTTTTTAAGGTGCATAGAATTTCTTGAATATAAAAGCAGTTTCTCAGATTAAATTTGGCAGCTGCTTTTGTAGAGGAAGCAAAGCCAATCAATAAAGAATTTTTAAATGCTGCAATCTTCATCTTAGCCACTGGCTTTTACAGCAATGAAATATGGGGCAAAAAAGCAGAAAGAGAAACACTTGTTTCCTTATGAGTATGTGAAGTGGAACTAGCCCCGAATGATCAAACGCCAGAGTTCAGCCCCGATGGATGGCAGCCTGTAGCAGTGCTGGCTGGCATGGGGTGCTGGGTGCCGGCAGGGTTCAGCCCCGATGGATGGCAGCCGTAGCGGTGCTGGCTGGCATGGGGTGCTGGGTGCCGGCAGGATTCAGCCCCGATGGATGGCAGCCGTAGCGGTGCTGGCTGGCATGGGGTGCTGGGTGCCGGCAGGGTTCAGCCCTGATGGATGGCAGCCGTAGCGGTGCTGGCTGGCATGGGGTGCTGGGTGCCGGCAGGGTTCTCAGGGCTTGGTGGCCATCGACACGGAGGCATCAGAAGAGTCCCTGTCATGCACGCATCAGTGTCTTCATTTTACAAATGAAAACACCAAACTAAAGAAAAGGAAGGCTGAGTAAGCTGCCCAATAGCCCAGGAGAGTAAGCCCGGGAGCCAGTGCCTCCACTCCGCAGTCGGACTGAAAGCTACACTGGAAGGACAAGCCCCGGTCTCATCACCACGCCAGCGAGCCTGTGATAGGTCAGCTGACTCTTTATACAGGTGGATGTGGCCAGTGCTGCCTTTGGCCTGGGAACTCGTGCATGAACGGCTGCTGAGCGCCAGGCAGCTGGCTGCCTCTTCCTTTCTCCTTTCTCTTCTTCTTTCTGCTGCTGTTTCTATGCATTGTCCTTTGCCCACGGGTAGAGTCTACCTGGTCAGCCAACGGAACTGAGCTTGACACAGTGCTGACGCCCAGTAGGTTGTCAGCATGGATCAGACGTGCAGTCAAGGAGTACAATGAATGAACAGATGAATAAAGCCCCTACTCTATTACTAAACATTAAATTTAGTGAGTTTTAGTCTTTAAAAACATTACAAAACATTGAATCGGGACTTACACATAATGATTCTAATGATGTGTCAGATTGACAGAAAATGTAACTTTTGCTAACGGCCTGTAACAGGCATGAAAGACATTTCAGCTCACTGACTTGTATTTGAATCGCATGTGTTTCTGTTCTCTGTACACTGGGTTGTAACAATTGAAATAATAGTAGTAGCCTTTGCTTCCCATTTTACAGTTTGCAGGCACATTTTTGTTTCTATGTCCAAATATTTGCTTTGTTCCTTTCCGTAAGAGGGGCATGAGTGCTAGCCTCATCTTGTAAATAGGAGACTTGAAGTAAAAGAGAAGGTAATGACTTGCCCAGAACCCCAGAGACAGTCAACAGCCGAGTCAGAATAGGAAACCAGATCTTTTCATTATTCATTCATTATTGCCAATGCCTGATATCAAAGACGCTGCCGTGCCATTCCTGATTTAATGTGTCAGACGTGTCAGGGTCGTCCTTTAAAGACTAACAAAGGATGTTTCAATAACTGTTCATCTTATTTTTGGATCTGCAGGTTGAAGATATTTCTGAGTGGAAGAAAACTGTGATAGAAAAGAATACTTAAAATGATTAATTTTTCTTCAAGAAAGTATGAAAGGCAGGTCACAAACTCCTCTCAATCTCATAGAAGAGCAGTCATAGGCAACTGTGTGAGATCCATGGTCTGATCTTCATTTTAAATACAAAACCTCTGAGGCCCAGAAGCAATGGGGTTTGTCTGAGTCACCTTAGCTACAAGGCCTGTAGACCTAGGCTTTGCAAACATCAGTCTTTCCAGGCTTCTTCTGCTAGAAGACCAGCTTAAAGTCCTTTGCCTAATGTGATTTGATCAAACCGACCTTGAAGAAACATCAGCATGACTTCCTTGTATTTGAGAAAACAGCCACACATTCGCAATGCAACGTAAATGTGGCTAAGTTCCTCTATAAAGCAATGAAGCCACTAAAGATTTAATCTGTACTATTATTTTCTTCTTATTTTTAGCAAGGAGGATTTCGAATGCTTATGTAGAATCTAAATTAAAATCTAACCAAAGGAATCACAGATCATTGGTGACATATAGGGATTAAAGTATTTTTGCAGAGAATGTCACCTTTAAAGTGAGTGCTGAAACCTCCTAAGGAGCCATAAAATTATCCTAAAAGGCAAAATGCTGCGGCAGTGGTTTATTTTACCACACAGTAACATAATTATTCTCACTAAAAATGAATTCTAAGTTCATATGTGTGTGTATATATATATATATATATATATATATATATATATATATATATATATATATATATATATATATATGCATCTCTCCCCTTCTGCTTTCATTCTGCAGGATGATATTTTCAGGTGCATATCTGAAAATTAAGCAGAAGGCCGTGTATGATGAAGGTAAAATGGGTTCTGAGCATCGGCTTGACTCCACAATGAATGGCCAGATCACCTTGGACAAATCAGATGAATACTGCTTATTTTTTTTAAGGACAGAAAAACCCTGCTTTTCTGCCTCAGTGTGAAGCATGCACTGAATATCCTCTATGTGTAAATGGAAAGCACTGGGATTGAAGCTGGGGAGTAGAGGTCTGCTTGGAGAGTTGTGCCATGTGCCTGCTGCAGGCTCATCCCTGCTGGTTTTAACTGTGCTGACACCGGGCAGTGGAACATATTTCTCCCCTCCTCTCAGTGGCTGTGGATGACTGTCTTTAGGATTAGTTCTTGTAAGTTGTTATTGTAAGAATGTTTCACAAAAGGGCAGTGTTCCATGTCCCTAAGTCATCTTCAGCTTACACACCATCAGCACGTTAACCCAGCCTTTTGTATCTCTTATGTCTCCTGTACTTTGTTTAGTATGGAAGCCACAGCAATGAACAAGACACAATCCTGGACCCCATGAGCTCACAGTGAGTGACAGCAGCCACTACAGTGTTAACGAAAGTTTAATTCGGAGGCCAATGGGCTGGGATGGCCCCAGCACTTTTAGTTCCTATGTAAGCAAACCAAACTCCCGTGTAAATGGTGAAATGAAACGAGAGCCCTTACCAATCAGAAACCACCAGCTGAACCCTAAGTAGGAATTCTACCATCCAGAAACTGCCAACTGACCTCTAAGTAGAGACTCCACCAATCAGAAACTATCAATTAACTCTAAGTAGGGATTTTTCAAACTAATCCAACATGTTTTGTTTTGTTTCCAGGAACAACTTATGAAATTTTCTGTCTCACCTCTGAAGCCCTAGAGAAGTGCTACACTGCTTGCAGTCTGGTGCTGCCCAATTTGTGAACTGCTGTCTGTTCAAATAAACTCCACAGAATTTTAATGTGCCTAAGTTGATCTTTTAACAACAGAAATGCCCAAACCTCAGGAAAACAAGGATGGCTCACCCTAGATAGCCAAGCAGGGCATGAGACGACGTCCTGTGCATGGGAGTCACCTAGCTGGTGAGTGAGCAGCTGGATGTAGACCGTGCATGCCAGATTTTGTTTAAGGCTCTCCCATGTGGGTGTGCAGCACATGCACTGATATGAGCCACATGGCCTCTTCCTGCCTGCAAAGCTTCCACTTGACACATTTGCTGGCACTGAGCCATCTTTGCATTCCTGAGATAAACCTTACATGATTGAGAGCCATCACTGTGTTAAAAGTATGGGCACATGCATATTTATTAGGTATACATAGGCATACTTCTGTACCTGTAAATGTCTAATGTCTTATTTAATATTTTCCATCTGTTCCCAGCAGTCAATCTGACCTATAATTTTCTTTTCTTATTCTGTCCTTGGCCTGTTTTGTTACCAAGAATATATCATTCTCATGTTAGCCAAGTAGCTTTCCCCTCTTTTGTATTCCCTGGCACATACTCACTCACTCTTTCTCTCTCTCTCTCTCAAGGAAAGAGAGATCTAGTTATTTAAAATTATGGATTTATTTACTGGTAGTAAGTTTATTTGCATTCTCACTGAATTGTTCAATTTTATTTTTTAGACAAATTGTCCTTTTTATCTAGCTTTTTAAATTTTACATCATAAAATTGCTCATTGTGTTATATTTTTTCAAAAAATTATATTTCTAATAGGCTTTAAATTTTTTTTCTGATTTGGTGAGTTTTGATAGAGATTGTCTATTTTTAACTAACTAGCATTTTGTTTTCTATTTTGATTATTTTTTATTTTATATTTATCATTTTCTTTCTCTTATTTTATTTAGCGTACTCTGTTCTTTTTCTAGCTCATTTTGCTATGTAAGTCATTTATTTTTATTTTCCTTGTCATTTTCCAATAAATACATGTATGAACTTTTAAGGTTGCAATCTAAGTTGCATTTTAGCTGTCTTCCTACAAATACTGATATAAGTTCATTTTATATTAATTCCAAGTATTTTACAATATTCATTGCGGCACTGTTAAGTTATGAATTATGGAGAAGAGTACTGTATTGGTCAATTTTCATGCTGCTGATAAAGACATACCCAAGACTGGGCAATTTACAAAAGAAAGAGACTTATTGGACTTACGGTTCCATGTAGCTGGGGAGGCCTCACAATCATGGTGGGAGATGAAGGGCATGTCTCACATGGCAGCAGACAAGAGAAGAGAGCTTGTACAGGGAAACTCCCATTTTTAAAACCATCAGATCTCATGAGACTCATTCACTATCAAGACAACAGAGCAGGAAAGACCCACCCCCAAAATTCAATCACCTCCCAACATGCTCTTTCCATGACATGTGGGGATTGTGGGAGTTACAATTCAAGATGAGATTTGGGTAGGGACACAGCCAAACCATATCAAGTGCTTTCTGTTGACATTTGATTATTTTCAAGTATATGAGGATGTTTGTTTATATTATTTCTAACTCAATTGCATTACATTATGAGGGAGTAGCCACATCATATTTATTCTTTAAAATGTTTGTAATTGATTTTGTTACTCTTTGGGTTATGCTTAAAAAGAGTGTTTATTCTACACTTGGTAATACATATTTATCATATTACATTTGTCGTTGTGTTGTTCAAATCATCTATATCCTCACTAATTTGTCTGCTTGAGCAATTCCTTTTCTGAGAAAATATACTGAAATCTATAATTGTAGGTTTGTCAATTTCTCCTTTTTATTTTATGAAATTTAATGCTAGTTGTAAAAAGCTTATTAGTTCATACTTATTATGCTCCTGATTAATTGGATTTTTAACCTATGTAGTGTTTCTTATCTTTTATTTTGTATTTTGCCTTAACTAAAGTTTATTAAAATAAAGATCTTAACACCTTTTACCTATTGAAGCCTCTTCTTTAAATTATTCAAATAAGCACTCATAGTTTTTAATTGTCAATAAGACACAATATTTTTTATTGATCTCTCTGTTCACTGCTGTTTCTTGTATCCTGTATCTTCTGTTGTTATTTTTTTCCCCTTTCATATGCATTGGAGTAATCTTTCAGGTAGAATAGAAGGTTGAGTTTTTGTATATCTGACACTAATTTTTTTTTACGACTAATTTACTTAGACATGAGATTTTAGGTGGGAATTTTATTTTTCTTCAAGACGTGGAAGCCATAATTTGACCATCTTCTTGCATATGTTTTTACTAACGAAGAATCTATTGTTGGTCTAATCCTTGCTCCTTTGTAGATTCCTATCTTTCTGGGTGAGGTTAATAAGAGTTTCTCTTAGTCATGCATGGTCTTGAGTTTCACATCATCTGTCCAGGTTGGGGATTTTTCCTTCCAGGCAACAGCAGAACCCTTTCAGTCTGGATGGGTGATGTTATCCTGGTCAATTCCCAGCCACTGTTCCCTGGATACAACTTTTCTGTCGACCTCTGGGATCTTTTCTTCTGGAATTCTGCTAACTTGTTGGAGTCTCTACATCTTTCCTCCCTAGCTCTGGGCTCCTGCTTCATGCTGTTCATTTGTTTGTATTCCTTGGCCATGTTCTCGTGGGCAACTCAGCATTTCCCTCCAGATGGACTTTGAGCAGATCTAGTCTGGAGTCGGTCCTTCCCAATTTTAGGTCTCCAAATTCCTTAGTCTCCTCGTTTTTCATAGACATCTGTTCTTAACTTACATCTGCCTCTGTTCTCATCATTTTGAATTTGCTGATGTGGGTATTGGGTGGACAAAGTCAGTTCACAGTTGTCCTGCTGCATGTGTGGCCTTGAGGTGAGTTTCTCCAGCAGCTGAGCCGGTTTCTTCCTCCTCTTGCCCTACCCTGACGCTTTCTCCCGGCCTTAGGGGATGCTCTCCCTTGGTTCAGAGTTTGGTCTCATTCTCACGCTGAGGACCCCACACCCACGCATTCACCTTGCAGGTGTAGCATGTTCTGCTCAGTGCTGTCCTCCAGCCACCTGGTTTCCATAAGCCCTACATCAGGTCCTGGCTATTTTGCTTTTCCCCAGTCTCCTTTCTTCCCTGCTTTCAGACACCAAGCTCCAGTCCGCATTCCCTGCCTCAGGCACTGAACTGAACTTCTGGCTGTCTCTGTTTCTCGGTCTAGGGCCCTGACATCCCCTGGGCTCATCCTGCAGCGGCTTTGCTGTGGGTTTATTTTTTTAATGGTGCACAGACGTCCTTATCTTGGTTCATGAGCCCACAGGGGCCAGTTCCCTACAGGACAGGAGCCTCATCTTGCCATCAGGGCAGTCTCAGGGGTTTACATGACAGCTCTAGGCTTGTGGAAGACCATGTGGATCATGCGCCCAGGCTGTCCGGGATCTGGAGAGGTCCACATCTGCTCCAAGGGATCCAGAGGAATGCCTTCTGGGGCCCCTGCAGGGATGCACTCAGCTGTCCATGTCTGTCCTCAGGGAAGACCCAAGCACAGTGTTCCCATCAGACACTTCTTTCTCTCTTAAACAGGTACCAGGTTCCTGATGGGTCCCTGGTACCATGGGCGATGCTGTCGAGTAGCAAAGCTAATGTTGTACCTGGCTGGCCTCCCGGGGAAGATGCTAGATGTTAACACCAGGTCCCCTTCTGACAGATCAAGCACATGCTTTTATGAACCCCCCATTTACCATGGGCATGGCTAAGTCTTTTATATTCTTTAAAATACAGACAGATATTTTCACTATCATTGAAACGAGTTAAAAGATTGAATTCATAATGTTATCATGACTGAGGCTATGGAGTTAGGCATAATTTATAAATTTAAAAATCCTTATATCACCCAGTGCTGAAATATAATTTTAAAAACTACCTTAGTTGGCAAAATACTATACAAGTTTACTAAAAACTAAGTGCAAAAAATTTTTTAAATGTTTAAATTGAGATCAGCTACACATAAGATTCACCATCATGGGCATTTTTGTCTATTTCAGTGGCATTAAGCACTTTCTCATTGTTGTGCAGCCATCACTGCCAATATCTCCAGAACTTCTCGATCTTCCCAAACTGAAGCTCTGCCCCATTAAACAGCCCTCCTCATTCTCCCTCCCCAGCTGCTGGCAGCCTCCCTCTGACCTGTCTGTGTATCCAACTCCTCCAGGTGCTGCGTATAAGGGGATCATACTGTCCTTGTCCTATTCGGCCTTCTGTCTGTGCATCTGACTTCTCCAGGTGCTGCGTGTAAGGGGATCACACCATCCTTGTCCTATCCGGCCTTCTGTCTGTGCATCTGACTCCTCCAGGTGCTGTGTGTAAGGGGATCACACCATCCTTGTCCTATCCGGCCTTCTGTCTGTGCATCTGACTCCTCCAAGTGCCACATGTTAGGGTAATCACACCGTCCTTGTCCTTTTGTGATGGCTTATTTCACTCAGCATAGTGTCCTCAGGGTTCACCCAAGTCGTAGGATGTGTAGAATTTCCTTCCTTTCTATGACAGGGTAACATTCCATTGGGCAGCTATACACAATTGAACATTTTCATTTTATTATTTCATTTGGAAATCACAACCACCCCATATGCCAATATCAGTATGCTCTGGCCAAAGAAAAATGAGAAAAATGTGTAACAAGGGGCTTGGCTCATAGTGGGCCCTTGATACGCACGTCTTAATAAGTCTCTGTTGTCTTTAGATTGAAGAGTTAGATGCAGACTACAGAAGGGACCCCCTTTTGCTGTGACTTTCTTACCTATGCCAAACCATCAGCTTAAGACTAGCTGAATTTCTAGAGGTCTCTCAACTTGCGTGAAAGAGAGAAATAGCTGCAGGCTCATTCTGTGTTCCTTCACCCATGTGGAGCCCGCTTTAGTTCACAAGGACCTTCATGCTGGTGTCCTCTGAGTGCCATGGGAGAGTATCTCACACAGGAGGAGAACCTCCATCCAACTGGCTGCCTGATACGAGCTTTGAATAATCCGGCTGCTATTTTTGCAGAATTCATTCCAGTCATGTGAGTTGATCACAAGAGTACATCTATTTTTCAGCACTGCTTCCTCATTTGGGTTCTTCTGAACGTGGGATATTTTTGCTTTCTTGATGTTTCCATGCAGGGAATGGCTGTAGACGTGCAAGTGTCATTTGAAAGAGGGATTAACCTGCTCGAATTTCTCCTGTAACAACTAGAAGCTTGCAAGTGCATGGGCCCGTTGCTCCTGCCACTAGCCCTGGCTGTCTTCCCCACCCGCCTCTCTCCCTTGGAGTGCTCTTGCACACTCTGTCAATGGTGTTAGCAGCTACACATGCCAGGCTCTCAACGCACAGAGCAATTCCTCCAAGAGTTCAATAAGGGAGCAGCAGGTCCCAGCAGCCTCTGCTCCCAACATCGTGTTCCCTCATCCTGGAAGTCGTGCTTTTCAAAGCCACTCACAGTCAACACTTCAGGAGTATTAAGCCTAGGCCTGAAAGCGCTGATGCCTTGACAAGCTGGTGCCAGAAGTGCATGGAGCGGTATGGAGATGGCAGGGCAGTGGTCATCAGACCTCGCGGAGCACAAAGTGGGCTATGGGATGTGGTGGGAAATGCAAACTCCAGTCCAGACCCCTCCCAGAGACAGAACCTGGGGTGGTCCTGGGATCTGCCTCCACCTGAGCTGCCCGGGTGCCTGGGGGAACCTGTCTGTCCCATGGACTGAGCAGGCCTGGGGTCAGGGAGTGATAAGAGCTGTGACTAAGTAGAGTTCTGAGCTCTACACACCTGTGTTTACATTAAAAAAACTCAATCTCTGCTGGTTGAATTCAAAACTATATTATATTAACTTGCCACCTAGGCTTTAGCTGTTGTGGTTCATTCATTATTTTAAAAACATATTATTTCCCCTAAAAGATTTCCACTTGTCTACACTGTTGTGGCAGTCTGAACATTTTCACCTTTGTTTTGATGTCACTATGATGAGCACCATGTATCCTGATGTGCTCAAGATGTAGCCACAGTCACATATACCAGGCCACCTGCACGGATCCCCTCCCCAGGCTAAGGGGCCCCCTGGACAGAGTTGGCCTAGGGTGAAGTGAGGAAGGAGCTGGAGCTTCCTCAGGCCTCACACCGCTTGATTCTGGAACAGCACAGCATCCAACTCTGCCCTGAGCAGCTCTCACATTTGAAGACTGCTTGTGGATGAAACACTCCCATGCCCTCAGCCTTTCCCCTGCTAACGAAAGGACACATTCCCCCACCCCCAATCCTGGCTGGTCTCAGCATGTTGAGTTCCCTGAGCACTTAACGAGCACCTGCTGTGTACCACCCCCTGGTGGGCAGGGAACACACACCAGCCGTGCCCTCCAGCCTTTGCTGATAACCGTGAGTCGGCTTCTCAAGATGCATCCACCCTGTCTGTTCCACCCACACCTTTTTTTTTTTTTTTTAATGTCAAAGAAAGCCTTTTCCAAACACTCTTCTGCCTTCATGGGATCAAGACGCAGATTTACATTAAGTCTCTAAAGACAGGAGAGGTTTCCCTGGCATCACTTGCTCTTAGTGATCCTCGCTCAGTCACGGCCATCTTCGCTTTTCTCCCTACATATACACAAGCGTGTCATTAAGACTTGAGTTGTGTAACTTCGCTTGCAGTGGACGGAAATTTCACAGGTACATAATTAATTGCTGGAATGCACTTCTTCCCTATTGTGAAAACTAGAATGACATTTTTCTATCCCTGGTCTTCTGGTATCTTTTCCATATTCCATAACTCCTAAAAAAATACCCTTCAGGAGGGTCTGTGTCTTTCTCTCCTAGCGGCCATAAGACATTAGGAAACATCCTCGCGACTCAGCCATGTGGTCCGTGAAACGGGGTAGCTGTCCTACACACCTTGTCCAGGTGCTCTGAGATTCCATGGAGTAACAAACGCAGCCTCGCCCTCGGTGCCTAGCGTGTGTTAGATGCTCAGCAAATATCAGCTATTATGATTGCTAACTGTTTTACCCGCCACTTTTTCTCTTTTTTCTTTTTTCTTTTTTTTGAGATGGAGTCTCACTTTGTCGCCCAGGCTAGAGTGCAATGGCATGATCACGGCTCACTGCAACCTCCACCTCCCGGGTTCAAGTGATTCTCCTGCCTCAGAGCCTCTTGAGTAGCTGGGATTACAGGCATGTGCCACCATACCTGGCTAATTTTTGTATTTATAGTAGAGACGGGGTTTCACCATGTTGGCCAGGCTGGTCTCGAACTGCTGACCTCGTGATCCACCCACCTCAGCCTCCCAAAGTGCTGGGATTACAGGCGTGAGCCACTGTGCCTAGCCTTATGAATTTTGTTATAGCCAAACATATGTGCTTGCTTCTTGATCATCACTAATCTCTATTTTCATCTTTTGCAATCGTTACTCTCTTCAATATATGAAAATATAACTTTCATAATATTCATAACTTTAATGAAATAACTAAATTCCCCCCACCCCATGGAATACTGTGGTATTATAGAAAGGCTGAGTACGTAGCATGAAAGTGATTCTATGCATTTTCAGATTGTGTTGGCCTGTATATTAATTCCATGTCTCTTGTGTGGGTGTTATTATTCTGAGAGCCTCAGAATGGGATGTTGATTGATGAACTGCAGTCACAACTTCACTCAAACACAGCTGGAAGATTCTAATGTATGCAAGGCCTATACACAAGCTTTTCAGTTCAAAAAGCACTGGATAGAAAAATCAAAGAAGAGCAAAGGACAGGCTGTGTTCACAGATTACAGCAGCTCTCACACACACAACATGAAACACTCAGATGTTAGAGCTATGTTCCAGGAAAAATGAGCTCGGCTTCCTGTTTATTATGAACCACAAAATTCAAAGGTCTGAAAAACATACTTTGGATAAGTTATTTTACTATTTTCTACTAGTGACTTGTTGGAGAGATTGAAATTTTCTCCAGTGTATTATTCTGAGTTGGGAAGTCTATAACACAACTTGCATCCTCCTGAGAGGAGCTACAGCCCATGAGAGAGGACCCCGCTCTTTGGGAAGCAACATTCAGTACAGCCTCAAAACAGCCAATCGAATGATTAAAATGCAAGAAAGAAAGACCCTTGCCACACCTGCAGCCCAGGCAACGAAGACACCAAACAGGACTGCGCAGATGGGGAAGCACCTCTGAAATGGCACCAATAGGTCTAAATCTGGATGATTATGGGATTTTAATCAAGGTCACTGTGGGAGGGCCAAGTTAACAAGATTACCACCGAGCCAGGGAGCTGAGTTATGTGATAGATTTGGGAAACAGCAGTGGCTTTACTGGGTTGGAGTGGAGGGCATTTTGGCGAGAGGGAATGCAGTCGGAGGCACAAATTGGGTCCTGACAGTGTGAAACCTTGACCCACAGGCTTTGACATTGATGCTCAACATAGAAGATCATATTTTTAAATATATTCAGGTATACTGTGGATAGCTTAAACATGCTTTAGTAGGATAGTGACATGCATAGAGTTGTAGTTTAGGAAATTTGCTATAGGATGAATTGGAATTAGAAAAAACTCAAAGTGCTGAGATGACCTGGGACACCAGCGTAGAGTGGAAGAGAGAATCGCAGAAGTGAGGTGGCCAGAAATAGGCTTCATTTACGTGTATTTATCTGAACACTGTTGTGATAGAGCGACTTCTTGCTCAGAGCTCCTAAAACCCCATGGTTTCCTAAGTAATAAGGGCAATAAAGGTTGAAAGGACAGTCCTTAGTCATTCCCAGCCAGCCCTTCAACCACACCTGAGTTTACGCTGATGCAGAGACTCAAGCTGGACCCTGGAGAGCCTCAGGATAAGGCAGTCCTCAGGGAACTAGCCTTGTGATTAGAGGATTGGAACTTCCAGCCCCTCCCGACCCCAGACCTCCAGGAAGGGAAAAGGGACTGAAGGTTAGCTGGATCAGGGATGGCCAGTGACTTAATTCACTGTGCTTATGTAACAAAGTCTACATAAAAAACCCTAAGGATTTCATTCTTTTTACAGCTGAACTGTAGTCCACTGTGTCTACCTACCCCATTTCACATGTTCTTTCTCCATTCTTCTGTTGATGGACACTCAGGTCGATTCCATCTCCTGGCTATTGTGAATGGTGCAGCTCTGATACCATTTCTTTTGGCTGTACACTCAGTAGTGGGATTGCTGGCTCATATGGTGGCTTAGTTTTTTGAGGAACCTCCATGCTGTTTTCCTTAGTGGCTAGACTAATTTATATTCTCACCAACATTATAAGAATTCCCTTCTCCACATCCTTGCTAGAACTGTTACTTTTGGTCTTTCTGGTAACCGCCATTCTAACTGGAGTGAGACAGTATCTCAGTGTGGTTTTGATTTGCACTTCCCTGGGGATTAGTGATGCGATGCTGGATACTGGAGCATGTGTTCATACACCTCACCTTATACATTATGTACACGTATCAACATGTAACACAAGATCCACAGATATGTACAATTACTATCAGTCAACCAAAAATAACCATTTATAAAATGAAAACAAAACCTACACACACACACACACACACACACACACACACACGTATCAGAGTGTAACACAGTATCCCACAAATATGTACAATTACTGTGAGTCAACCAAAAATAACCATTTATAAAAGGAAAACAAAACCTACACACACACACACACACACACACACACACGTATCAGAGTGTAACATAGTATCCCACAAATATGTACAATTACTGTGAGTCAACCAAAAATAACCATTTATAAAAGGAAAACAAAACCTACACACACACACACACACACACACACACGCACGCATCAGAGTGTAACACAGTATCCCACAAACATGTACAATTATTATGAGTCAACTAAAAATAACAAATTTAAAATGGAAAAACAAAACCTACCAAGGGTTTTGGAGTGCTTGCAGAGGGCTGAACACAGGGAGGCGGTGCCCAGAGAGGGCACGGAGAGTCCACATGGCCCTGGCCTCTGCCTCGCCCCATGTGCCCCTTCGTTCGGCTGTGCCTGAGTGGGAGCATTTACATAGTGTGGGTAAACACAAGTAAAGTGTTTCCCCGAGTTCTGTGAGCCATTCAAGCAAATCACTGAACTGGAGGTAGAGCCATGGGAACCCATGATCTCTAGCCAGCGGGCCAGAAGCCAGACTTGGGATTGGCCCTGGTCTTGCGGGGCTGCGTCCTTAACCTGCGGGGTCTGAGGGAAGTGCAGGTGGTCAGGGTCAGGACAGCAATGAATTAGAGGACGCCCAGTTGGTGTCCTGGTAGTGGGAGAAACGGTGCATGGGAAAATATACACACATTTGGTGGCCAGAAGTATTGGCGTGAGTGTAGCAAAGAAAAAAAAATGGAATTTTTCTTGCATTTGGTGTCGAGAAGGAAACACTTTTTTCCCTTTTATTTGGCGTCGGAGTGGAGTGTCGTGTGAATGCAGAGAGAGCACTGGCAGCCAGGTGAAGCTTCCATTTTGACTGTGAAAGTAGAGACATAAATCGTGGGTTTGGGGTTAAAAGAGAGAAAGAAGTTAACGATGGCTATAATTTCAGGCTAAGCGACTACAGAAATAATCATCTTTTTAAAAACATGCCAGAATCAAATCCATTAATTAGCTATACTTTTTTAATGACTTGAGGATACTGAATATAAATATCTAAAGTTGAATATTTTCATGTTTGAGGCCATCTAAAGTGAAGCTGTTTAATTTTTAGACCATACTATTTAATAAATGACTTAGTTATTACACATACAATATCCATTTCTTAAATGTTCAGTAGTAGAGACAGTTACATCATCATTCTTTGGGCCACCCAAGATCAAGGTCTTTGAAAATGGTTCGGAAGGAGAATGCTGTGCATGAGGCCACACTGTATGGCTGGAGATCTTTTATTTGGTGGAGGGACAGGAGTTACATTTATTTTTGCTAATGAGATAACAATATTCTTGCAGGCATCTAATCCCCCACTTCCACTGTCCAGAACGGGACTGTAGAGCCCATTCTCCAAACGTGCTGATTTCAGATATTTAATTCTTTTTTTTTCACGACAGACGAATGTCAGTGGTAGCTATTTTGAAAATGTAATATTTTATCAGAGCAAAAGGCTCCTGGAACTGCACTTTTGTGTTGTGAACTCTGAATTCCCGCCAATAAAGATGAGGTAATAATCGAATTCTTCAAATGCATTAGCTGCATTTGTGGAGACATTGATCACTTTCTCTGAAATCATTCCAGGACCCTCTGGTCCGTTCATAGGTCTCCGTGGGCTTCTGTGTCTGGAGCCTCGCCGAGTGAGGCAGGAGTGGGGCCCCCTGTGCCCCCCTGGAGCCTCGCGGAGTGAGGCAGGAGTGGGGCTCCCCGTGCCCCCCTGGAGGCGGCCACGCAGTGAAGTCCTTCTGAGCCTCCTATTTATCTGTCCGCATTTTCTCCTCTCCTCCCCTGTTCTGGGCTTCGGATCCCCATTGCATTCACACCTGTGCTATGTACTATGCCTGCCCTGGTGAGCCCCGTGGAAACTGTTACCACATTAACCTTCACAGTAAGAGAACACAAAGAGCTGAAGTCAGAGAAAAACAAGGTTTGCTTCAACAATCAGAGGCTCCGTGTCCTGATCAGGATAAAAGCAGTGACAGTGCTGCTAGCTTCAAGGGCTTCTATGAACATGCGGTGAGATGCTGTCGAACCTGGGCACCCCGCAGACGCTAAATGAACGCCGGTCTCTCCTCCCGCCTCAGACGCTAAATGAATGCCGGTCTCCCCACCTCAGACGCCAAACGGACGCTGGTCTCCCCTCACTCAGAGTCTCCCCCGCCTCAGACACTAAATGAACGGGGGCTTCCCCTTCACTCAGAGTCTCCCCCGCCTCAGACGCTAAATGAATGAACGGGGGTCTCCCCCCCACCCCCCCATCCCCCCACCCCCGCCCTTTCTCCTGCTGAACCCGCCGGGGACAGTGTGGGGCGGGACCGCTGACGGCTGCTCGGAGGAGTGACGGGGACCCCTGAGCCCTGGACTCTGAGTCTCAATGCCACAGCCGCACTGAGCTGGGCCTCCTCACGAAGCAAATCTGTTTCCGGGAACAAAAGCGCATTCTTTGCAAGTCTGAGAAGCTTTCACACGAACAGGTTTTAGGGAGAGAACGGATTATGCTCACGCTTTGCAACAAATGTCTGAGGAGAGACAGAAAAGGAGGCCGGCACGGGTGCTCGCGAGCCACATTCCGCCCCCAGGCTCTCCTCTTAAGCAGCCAACACGTCCGATTCCTTTTCTTACTACCTGGTTTTTGATTCCTTGTTTTACTTATTAAGTGACCTGATAGACACTTTGGATTGAAATGTCAACACAGAAACAGAGTTTCCATGTTGATATTTCTATGTTGAGGTGACAAAAAACTGTTCGTTTTCATGGTAAGTTTTCAAAGAAGGGGCGGCCGTGGAGGCAGAGGGGTTCTGGTTCAGGCCTCGGGTGGTTCATTCAGCGGGGCTAGAACTCCATGTCCTCACTTAGGAAACAGGAGCAGCAAAATCGGATTCTCCGCCTGATGGACTGTTCTGAGGATCAGACACATTTATGGAAAAGTTTAATTTGCCTCAGAAACTGTAGTATCGCTGCACTGCAGAGGTTTGAACCTCCCTCAAGTGACCAGGCACGTCTGAAATACGAAGGCGGACACCTGGGCTGACCACGGGAAGCTGGTTTCCATGGCCGTCGTGACGGGAACCTACAATCCCCCGCCAGGCCGGGCTGGTCGCCACTCTGTATGGACGCTGGAATCATCTGGTCGCCACTCTGTATTGACGCTGGTAACCAGGCATCGTCTGGGGACAGGATGGGTTTCACGTCCAAACTGAGCACTGAAAATACTTTGAAAAGTCTCTTTAGCACCTCAAGCAGATATTATGCAGGGTCCTCTATGTTTTTGTCATCTAATAACATCTTTAAGTCTGTCAAATAATTTTGCATTTTCCACCTGCTTCCCATTGGCAGGGGTAGTCAGTTTTGTCACCCATCACCCTCCCCCAATTTATGTTAAAAAATATTCTTTTAGTCATGAAATGACCCCTCAAGGAGTTTCTACCCTGTTTGTGGGATTGTAAATTAGCTCAGCCACTATGGAAAGCAGCTTGAAGATTTCTCAAAGAACTTAAATCAGCAATCCCATGACTGGGTATATACCCAAAGGAAAATAAATCATTCTACCAAAAAGACACTGACACATGTATGTTCACTGCAGCATGGTTCACAAGGTTCGCAATAGCAAAAACATGGAAGCAACCCAGGTGCCCATCAAAGGTGGATGAGATAAAGAGACAGTGCTACCTATACACCACGAAATTCTATGCAGCCGTAAGAGAGAATGGAATCACGTCCTCTGCAGCAACACGGATGCAGGTGGGGGCCTTAGTCCCAAGTGAATTACCACAGGAACAGAAAGCCAGACACCACGTGTTCTCACTTATAAGTGGAGGCTAAACATAGGGCACACGTGGACATAAAGGTGCGAACAGCAGACACCAGGGCTACTAGAGGGGGAGGGAAAAAGGGGCTGGGGAAGAAACACTGCCCATTGGGTGCTGTGCTCAGTGTCTGGGTGATGGGATCATTTGCACCTCAAACTTCAGTGTCATGAAATAAATCCATGTAACAAACTTGCCAACGTACCCCCGGATCTAAAATAAAAGTTGAAAAAAAAATTAGCCTTTAAATCAGAAAGACGCACTAGAGAAAGTCATAAGAAAATAATTAAAAGTGAAAGTTTTGTATCCTAAAACCAGTTTAGGGCTGCCTGGAGTCAAGTTCACAGATTAAAGATAGACACAGCCCACAGGTTGGCAGAATAGAGTTGCCTGTTTGTACGCATGTGTGTACCTGTTTGTATGCATGTGTGCACATGTGTGTACACGTATGTATGCATGTGCACCACAGCCAAAGGCTGGACAAGTATAATACAGGGATCAAAATGCTTGATTTTTTTTCTTCTTTTTTTTTCTTTTGAGACGGAGTCTTGCTCTGTTGCCCAGGCTCGAGTGCAGGGGCATGACCTCAGCTCACTGAAACCTCCACCTCCCAGGTTCAAGTGATTCCCCTGCCTCAGCCTCCCAAGCAGCTGGGATTACAGATGCCTGCCACCACGCCTGGCTAATTTTTGTACTTTTAGTAGACATGGGGTTTTGCCATGTTGGCCAGGCTGGTCTCAAACTCCTGACCTCAGGTGATCTGCCCACCTTGGCCTCCGAAAGTGTTGGGATTACAGACATGCACCACCGTGCCCAGCCAGACACCTGATTATTTAACAGGAGGTTCCATGCTTGTAAAGGCAAGACACGCTGAGGGCAGAGGACGCCTGGACGTGCGTAGATGGCGGGATCCTCAGAGACAGCTGCCGGGCAGCTCCGCTCAGTCCCTCCCAGCCGTGTTCTGCCTCCACTCTGGTGTGGACTCTGCACTGGGACCCACAGCCCGGTCAGTCCCTCCCCGCCACCTTCCGCTTCTGCTCTGGTGTGGACCCTGCACTGGGACCCCCGGCCTGGTCAGTCCCTCATGTCCCCATGCCTCTTGCCTCCCACACTTGACCGGCTCCATGGGTCACGACCTGACTCACACCCCGGACCTTGCATTTCTGGCTTGCCCTTGGCAGGTCCTCACTGCCTCTCCCTGGCTACAGCCTTCAGACTTGTTGGCCTCATTCTGACAACTGTGAAACACACCCTCCAATCACATGCTCAGGGCGCCATGCCAACCCCACAAGAGTCCACAGAACACCCCTGCCATTCCAGTTTCCAGCTTTAGCACTTTCTCAGATTCCATCTTTACGAATATAAGTCAGTTTCTCTCAACAGACAACTCCCCCCAACCCTGAACACTTCACTTTCTCAACAGCCTGCAACTCTGACTTTACTGACCTTGAAAGAATGCCTTTCCCCAACACTAACAGCAGAGGAAAAAGCAGAATTCCTAGGCATGTCACTAAGTGTCCACACGGTGCCCTGAGCTGCACTTTTTGACTATTTGCTTTCAATCACAGCACCCTGTTGATGGTGTCTTCAGTGAACAGCTTACGATGAGTTTGGAGCTCTTTTTGAAAAAAAAAATGATAAACAAGAATTCACCATTTAATAAGTATGCCATTGACATTGTGCATCTGCACGTGCCTCTTCTCAGGCTGTGCCTCACCAAGGCCCACCTGGCAGGCGTGTGTGCACTGATGGAGCTTTGTGAGACCTGCACAATCTAACCCCATCATCCTGTCATTGCACCTGCAGAAGAGCTACATACTGGGAGACTGGGTGGTGCCCTTTGAGTTCAAGACCATTTATCAAAGATAAGAGTGACTCCAATCATTGATTACTGAGATTTTCATTCCCTTTCATATTATTCCTCCATCCAGAGAAGGGCCTTCGAACATCTCATGTTTCTGGACTTTAAGGCAATACTTTTTCTGTGACAAAACATTTTTTCATTTCCATTATAACTCTATACTTGCCAGATTTAGTGCAAAGTAATCTACAACTTTTTGAGAATCTAAGTAAAATATGCATAGTGACTTTTGCTTGCCCTTAAATTGGACTTACTTTGAAAGTCTTTTTTATGCTTCTTGAGCATTGAAACTATATTTTCCTTTCTTCAATAGGTTGTTCATTTATATTACAATAGTAATTCATTTTCTTCCTCTGTTCTTGAAAATATCTATCCATTTATTCATTCTGCTTCCCATCCTTCTATCTTTATGCTTCTTCCTTTATTTACTTTAAAAATACTATAAATAAATAGCTAATAATAAAGGTGTTGAAACATACAAAGGTGCTACAGAGAGGAGGGAGACAAGCCATGACTTGGAAGGAGCCACTGTCCAGTAGAAAACACAGAGGGGCAAATAGAACACAAAGCTGTGAGTTCCAGAGGGACACTAGGAGAACTGAGGAGGTAATGGCACTGGTCAAGAAGAGGAAGCCCTCTTCACAGAGGAGGGGACACTTGAGCTGGGTATTGAAGGATTTTTCCCACACTGTGGTCAGGAAGGGCAAGTCTGTTTTACGGAGGAGGGGACACTTGAGCTGGGTATTGAAGGAATTTTCCCAGCAGGAGGGAGGGAAGTCAGAGACAGGGAGACAGGAAATAGCATGCGAGAGGCACTGTAATCTCAGGAAATGCAGGTGGCCCTGAGCACTGGAGACACAGGCCATCTGCTGGGGAGGGCTGTGAATAGGGAGGGTATGTTAGAGTCAGAATGGCCATCACAGCTGGCAATTGCCTTTTGCCTGTAGAGGTCTTGCTAAGTGCCCAAGAACAGCAAGAAAGACTCAATAATTACATGCACTGACTCTGACCTTCACAAAGAGCCTGTGATCTTCACAGTGGGCTCCATTGCTATCACCATTTCTCAGAAGAGGACACTGAGGCAGAGAGGGGTGAAGCAACTTATCTGAGGGCTCACAGCTGGAATGGCTGGGGCTTACCAAGGATACACAAGGCCAAGCTGAGAAACCACACATTTATTCTGCAGGTCAAGTAGCAGCAGTGGGATATTTCAGCACTGAATTCGTGAGATCAGATGCATGCATGCATTTAGCAATGTAACAAATCATATGGAAGAGGGTGAGACTCTGAGAACCTTTTGGAACCTCCACATCTGTAAGAGAGATGGAGGAGAAAGAGCCCGGGAGACAGGGAGGCTGAGGGAGAGAATGGAGCCTCAGAAGGCTAGGGAGGAGGAGGCATGAAAGACAAGCAGGCTGCAGAGTCTAGCGCTCAGAGCAGGAGGCTGGCGGGGGACCTCGCCTTCAGCATAAAAGTCCCAGTGCTGGGGGCTCTGCAGAGGGCAGTGGGAGCCATAGCACTGGAGCTAAAAAGGGAGCACAGGTGAGGAGGAGGGAGATGCAGCAAGCCCAGCCCATGCTTGAGAGGCCTGGAGGCAGGAATGGAGAAAGGGCAGTGACTCCAGGGGAGGTGAGGGTCCATGGCAGGACATCCCTAGCAGGAGATCACCTGCCCATGGCATCTGTGTCTTCCAGAGCCCTTGCTGTTGCCTGTAGGTTTTCGGAGCATGTGTCTGAACGTGGAGGATACTGGCGTGGAAGCATCCACCCCCACACTCTGTGTCCCACTTGCAAAGGCCTGGATGAGTGTGCCGCACCACCAGGGCCCACACGACGGCTCATGAGGGCAGAGCTGATTAGGGAAAATTCACCCTTAGTGAGAGAGACTTCATGCGCAGCTTTCCATAAATTCAAGTTCTGGAAAGTTCACGGAAATAATTTTAGAAGCCCTTAAATGAAGTAGACACGCAGCTTCGTGAGCCTGTGAAATGCTTACTCTTGGCATTGTTTGAAGTTTAGCAGATGGTTCAGAGCAGGAGGGAAAGGAGAGGATAAACCAGGCCAGGAGGAGCACGAGGCCCTCAAGTCTACCACCTGCAGGTTCCGCATTTCGGTTACCTCGTTTAATCTGCCCAAGGCTCTACCGGCACAGTTTATGACTCCGTCTTCCTGCCAATGTCACCAGGCTAGGGAGCCGGAGGCAAGCAGGATGGAGTTATATCTTCGGCACAAGTGGGGCCAAAGGCCAGCTAGGACCGCCTGGCTCAGGGGTCAAGTCCTTCGTGCTTTTATGCTCTTTTATGTGGAAACCCATATGTATCAACATTATAATTCCCTGCCTTCAAAACCATATAAGATTTTTGGTGTTTTGATTATTCCTAACTCTGTTTTCTTTGACTTATTATAGTATATAATGTAGCTATGCATTGCACATTGTTAAAAGACACAATATATATAAACATTCATTTTCAGACCAAATTATTGCAATGAATAATTTCTCTGTAGTTAAGCAGAGCAATTAACATACGACGATTTTAATTAGGAGATGTTGGGTTTCCAGAACAAGAGACCACGACTGAATACCTGAAAGGAACAACTGGCGTATGCAGGTAGCTTTCCACGGTGACACTTTAGTCACCTTTTATGCACTGAAACTCAATAAATAAACCCACAGAAATATTAGTTTAGCTGGCAAGTCAAAGTAACGTACAACACTATGCAATTATAACAAAATAATGATTACAATCTCTTAAATAGAGAAGTAAAGATATTTACATGTTCACCAGGAGCTCAGCCTTCCTTCCTGGATAAGACAACTGAAAACAAGGAAGTTTAAAAAAAAAAAAAAAAAAATGGCTCCAGAGTGAAGCAAGGACATTCCCACAGGGAAAGGTGGCCATAATCTGGGAAAATTCCTGAACAAGAAAACCAGGTTCCAAATCAGCATCTCTGGATCCCTTGACCTGGACGTGGGGTTTGACGCAGGCCCATGGGGTGTCCCTGATGCCGTGCGTGAAACACACTTATGTGCTGCTGCCTCTTCATACTTACAAGCTCCCCCAGGAGTTTTAAGCCATAATTTCACTGTATTTCATTCTGAGAAGGGAGCTGACTTGATGCTTTTGCTTTAACTCGACCTGTGCGGAAATGCAGTAGCCTGCAGATGGACCCCTGCAGGAAGCCTTCCTCTAGTGACCCCATGAAACTGTGGGACATGACAGTAAGTTACTGCTACAGAATTATGTGAACTGAGGGGAGAGAATAAAAAGGAAGCACTCAGCGAGTATTTCAAAGGGGTCAGACTGGCGTCTGCTCTGCTGGGAGCTCCTCACCGTGAGGCTGCCTGGGCCACGGTGCCGCACGCGTGAAGCCATGCCCGTGAATGTTACCTTCCGTGTCACTATTACTGGTATCCTCATTGCCAGTGCCTCACAATGCAAAGATTCTGCTCTGAAGCCAGTGAGATTCCAACCACTCCCAGATGATCTGGGCCCTGATCGAAGCTTGCAGTCTCCTCAGCAGATCGAGGGCATGTTTTGAAACCTCCCCTTCCCCTTGGGCACTTGGTGTCAGCGTCTGGCATTCCTGGGGAGGACACCGCTTGGCTTGTGGACCTGACACCATTTCTCAGTTAGCCAAAGGTCTACACACCTGCAGCACGTATCGGTCAGGGTTCTCTGGAGGAATGGAACCAACAGGACACACAGACACATAAGAGGGGGTTTTATTTTCGGAACTGGATCATATGATTATGGAGGCTGAGAAGCCCCACAGCTGGAGACCCACGGGGTCAGGTGTAATTCAGTCTAAGCCCGAAGGCCCCGGCACTGAGGGGCTGCTGGTGAAAGCCTCAGAGCCTGAAGGCCCTGGGGCTCTGGTGGAGGGCAGGAGAAGATGAAGGTCCCAGCTCAAGAAGAGAGGAGGTCCTCCCTTCCTCTTTCAGTTCTATTTGAGCCCTCATGGACTGGGGGAGGCCCACCTGCACTGGGGTGGGGTCTGCTTTACTCATTCCCTGATTCAAACGCTGGTCCTTCCAGAAACACCACCACAGACACATCTGGAAAATGTCTTCCCAGCTCTGTGGGCATCCCCTATCCCAGTCTAGGTGACGGAGAAGATTCACCATCACACGGTGACAGGCTGGGAAGCGAGGAGGGTTCTGAGCACGTTCGTCACACCCAGCTCTCTTCTTGAACTTGTGTCTGGAGAATTTCTGAAATCAGTCTTTACTGAGCCCATTTCTTCCGGTTGGTTCTCAGCTGGTCTAGACAATTCTGTGCTCAGCACCAGGACTGCCAAGGAGAGCTGGGCGCCTACGGTGAGGAAGGAGTTGGGCAGTGGTCCAAGGGGAGCCAGGCGCCTGCTATGGTGAGGAAGGAACTGGTTGGTTCCAGTTGGTTTTCAGCTGGTCTAGACAATTCTGTGCTCAGGGCCAGGGCTGCCAAGGGGAGATGGGCTTCCTATGGTGAGGAAGGAGTTGGGCAGTGGTCCAAGGGGAGCCAGGCGCCTGCTATGGTGAGGAAGGAACTGGGCAGTGGTCCAAGGGGAGCCGGGCGCCTGCTATGGTGAGCAAGGAACTGGGCAGTGGTCCAAGGGGAGCCGGGCGCCTGCTACAGTGAGGAAGGGGTTGGGCAGTGGTCCACATTCTGGAACTGAGGCAATGCTGCTGTCTTTTTCATAGGTGGATTTATCTTTCAGGGAATTAACTGATGCTTCCCCAACAGACATCGATTAAATGTCCACTGTCTCCAACAAGACAGACCCTGTGGCCCAGGAGGGTGGGCAGACAGGCATCATGGACCACCACTGCCCAGCTTTCTTCTCTGTGCCCTGCGCACCTTAATGTTAAATGACAGTCAAGTCTTCCTGTTAACGCAGTGAAAGTGACAGACGAAGGGTCTCTTGGTGGTAGAGCTGCCACGAGTTCCCAAAACCTGGCTTTCCCGGGTTCTGCTTTCACCAGAAAACCCTCTGCACTGTCCTGTGAAAGCCTGAAACAAGGACTTGCTAGAAGGCCTCAAACATCCAAGATACATTTTCAAAGTTATGCGTGAATCCATGTTGCCTGCTCCAGAAAACAGGCTTAGAAACTCCAGTTGCCGAACAGTTAACACCGTGTGTGTCTGTGCCTGACAATGCTGGAGTCCCAGTGGAGAGCAGCACCCTCATCATCCAAGGCCCAGAGAAGGTCCCTCTGCAGGGCCATGGGGGCTTCAGGACTTGACACGGTGCCCCAGATGCTCGTGGAGATTACGCAAGGCCCCAGGTGAACTAACAGGTTGTGGCGAACTTGGAGCTGGGGCCTGGAACTGATTTCTCCCCTGATGAGAACACAGACGCCTCCCCGAGGGAAGGGGAAACCCTCGGACACTCTGGAGAGTGAGGAAACAGACCCAGATCATCAGCAAGAGGGGAAACTGAAATGGCATCGCGGAAAGTGGAGAATGAGTTGGACAGTGAGGCAGGTGGAAAGAGCACAAGGATTCCTGTGTTCTTCAACTACGGGAATAAAATGCTAGCTGGAGATGCTGGAAAGAAAGAGTGAGCCAGAGACCAGGCTTGCCTTGATCTCAGTGAAGACCAGCTGTTCTCAGGAGACGATTCTATCCCCTGGGGGGCATTTGGCACTATCTGGAGGCATTTTTGGTTGTCCTGACTGGCATCCAGTGCTGAGTCCAGCGATGCTGTTAAACATGCTGTGCTGTGCAGGACAGCCCACCCCAACCCCCAACAAGGAAATGCTGGAAGCCCTGAGGTGGACCCTGCGGTACTCAGTCAGCACTCAATACATGACTCCAGAGGACAAGGAGGTGGTGCTCAGTAAGCACTCAATACACGACTCCGGAGGATGAGGAGGTGGCGCTCAGTAAGCACTCAATACACGACCCCGGAGGATGAGGAGGTGGCGCTCAGTAAGCACTCAATACACGACTCTGGAGGATGACGAGCTGGCGCTCAGTAAGCACTCAATACACGACTCTGGAGGATGAGGAGGTGGCGCTCAGTAAGCACTCAATACACGACTCTGGAGGATGAGGAGGTGGCGCTCAGTAAGCACTCAATACACGACTCTGGAGGATGAGGAGGTGGCGCTCAGTAAGCACTCAATACACGACTCTGGAGGATGAGGAGGTGGCGCTCAGTAAGCACTCAATACACGACTCTGGACGATGAGGAGGTGGCGCTCAGTAAGCACTCAATACACTACCCTGGAGGATGAGGAGGTGGCGCTCAGTAAGCACTCAATACACGACTCTGGAGGACAAGGAGGTGGCGCTCAGTAAGCACTCAATACAGGACTCCGGAGGACAAGGAGGGAGCGCTCAGTAAGTTCTCAATACACGACTCTGGAGGACAAGGAGGGAGCGCTCAGTAAGCACTCAATACACGACTCTGGAGGATGAGGAGGTGGCGCTCAGTAAGCACTCAATACACGACTCCGGAGGACAAGGAGGTGGCGCTCAGTAAGCACTCAATACACGACTCCGGAGGACAAGGAGGGAGCGCTCAGTAAGCTCTCAATACACGACTCCGGAGGACAAGGAGGTGGCGCTCAGTAAGCACTCAATACACGACTCCGGAGGACAAGGAGGGAGCGCTCAGTAAGCTCTCAATACACGACTCCGGAGGACAAGGAGGTGGCGCTCAGTAAGCACTCAATACACGACTCTGGAGGACAAGGAGGGAGTGCTCAGTAAGCTCTCAATACACGACTCCGGAGGACAAGGAGGTGGCGCTCAGTAAGCACTCAATACACGACTCCGGAGGACAAGGAGGGAGCGCTCAGTAAGCACTCAATACACGACTCTGGAGGACGAGGAGGTGGCGCTCAGTAAGCACTCAATACACGACTCAGGAGGACAAGGAGGGAGCGCTCAGTAAGCACTCAATACACGACTCTGGAGGACGAGGAGGTGGCGCTCAGTAAGCACTCAATATACGACTCCGGAGGACAAGGAGGGAGTGCTCAGTAAGCACTCAATACACGACTCTGGAGGACGAGGAGGTGGCACTCAGTAAGCACTCAATACACGACTCCGGAGGACAAGGAGGGAGCGCTCAGTAAGCACTCAATACACGACTCTGGAGGATGAGGAGGTGGCGCTCAGTAAGCACTCAATACACGACTCTGGAGGACAAGGAGGGAGCGCTCAGTAAGCACTCAATACACGACTTTGGAGGACGAGGAGGTGGCGCTCAGTAAGCACTCAATACACGACTCTGGAGGACGAGGAGGGAGCGCTCAGTAAGCACTCAATACACGACTCAGGAGGACAAGGAGGTGGCGCTCAGTAAGCACTCAATACACGACTCAGGAGGACGAGGAGGTGGCGCTCAGTAAGCACTGTGGTGCGCTCAGTAGCACTCAATACACGACTCTGGAGGACAAGGAGGGAGCGCTCAGTAAGTTCTCAATACACGACTCTGGAGGACAAGGAGGGAGCGCTCAGTAAGCACTCAATACACGACTCTGGAGGACGAGGAGGTGGCGCTCAGTAAGTTCTCAATACACGACTCTGGAGGACAAGGAGGGAGCGCTCAGTAAGCACTCAATACACGACTCCGGAGGACAAGGAGGTGGCGCTCAGTAAGCACTCAATACACGACTCTGGAGGACAAGGAGGGAGCGCTCAGTAAGCTCTCAATACACGACTCTGGAGGACAAGGAGGTGGCGCTCAGTAAGCACTCAATACACGACTCCGGAGGACAAGGAGTGGCGCTCAGTAAGCACTCAATACACGACTCCGGAGGACAAGGAGGGAGCGCTCAGTAAGCACTCAATACACGACTCTGGAGGACGAGGAGGTGGCGCTCAGTAAGCACTCAATACACGACTCAGGAGGACAAGGAGGGAGCGCTCAGTAAGCACTCAATACACGACTCTGGAGGACGAGGAGGTGGCGCTCAGTAAGCACTCAATACACGACTCAGGAGGATGAGGAGGGAGCGCTCAGTAAGCACTCAATACACGACTCTGGAGGACGAGGAGGTGGCACTCAGTAAGCACTCAATACACTACCCTGGAGGATGAGGAGGTGGCGCTCAGTGCGCACTCAATACACGACTCTGGAGGGCAAGGAGGTGGCGCTCAGTAAGCGCTGAGTTACGCGACTCTGGAGGACAAGGTGGGAGCGCTCAGTTAGTACGACTCTGGAGGACGAGGAGGGAGCGCTCAGTAAGCACTCAATACACGACTCAGGAGGACAAGGAGGTGGCGCTCAGTAAGCACTCAATACACGACTCAGGAGGACGAGGAGGTGGCGCTCAGTAAGCACTCAATACACGACTCTGGAGGACGAGGAGGGGGCGCTCAGTAAGCACTCAATACACGACTCCGGAGGACGATGAGGGAGCGCTCAGTAAGCACTCAATACACGACTCTGGAGGACAAGGAGGGAGCGCTCAGTAAGCACTCAATACACGACTCAGGAGGACGAGGAGGGAGCGCTCAGTAAGCACTCAATACACGACTCAGGAGGATGAGGAGGGAGCGCTCAGTAAGCACTCAATACACGACTCTGGAGGACGAGGAGGTGGCGCTCAGTAAGCACTCAATACACGACTCTGGAGGACGAGGAGGTGGCGCTCAGTAAGCACTCAATACACGACTCTGGAGGACAAGGAGGGGGCGCTCAGTAAGCACTCAATACACGACTCTGGAGGATGAGGAGGTGGCGCTCAGTAAGCACTCAATACACGACTCTGGAGGACAAGGAGGGAGCGCTCAGTAAGCACTCAATACACGACTTTGGAGGACGAGGAGGTGGCGCTCAGTAAGCACTCAATACACGACTCTGGAGGACGAGGAGGGAGCGCTCAGTAAGCACTCAATACACGACTCTGGAGGACGAGGAGGTGGCGCTCAGTAAGCACTCAATACACGACTCTGGAGGACGAGGAGGTGGCGCTCAGTAAGCACTCAATACACGACTCTGGAGGACGAGGAGGTGGCGCTCAGTAAGCACTCAATACACGACTCTGGAGGACGAGGAGGGAGCGCTCAGTAAGCACTCAATACACGACTCTGGAGGACGAGGAGGTGGCGCTCAGTAAGCACTCAATACACGACTCTGGAGGACGAGGAGGGAGCGCTCAGTAAGCACTCAATACACGACTCTGGAGGACGAGGAGGGAGCGCTCAGTAAGCACTCAATACACGACTCTGGAGGACGAGGAGGGAGCGCTCAGTAAGCACTCAATACACGACTCTGGAGGATGAGGAGGTGGCGCTCAGTAAGCACTCAATACACGACTCTGGAGGACGAGGAGGGGGCGCTCAGTAAGCACTCAATACACGACTCAGGAGGACGAGGAGGGAGCGCTCAGTAAGCACTCAATACACGACTCAGGAGGATGAGGAGGTGGCACTCAGTAAGCACTCAATACACGACTCAGGAGGACGAGGAGGGAGCGCTCAGTAAGCACTCAATACACGACTCAGGAGGACGATGAGGGAGCGCTCAGTAAGCACTCAATACACGACTCAGGAGGATGAGGAGGTGGCACTCAGTAAGCACTCAATACACGACTCAGGAGGACGAGGAGGGAGCGCTCAGTAAGCACTCAATACACGACTCAGGAGGATGAGGAGGGAGCGCTCAGTAAGCACTCAATACACGACTCAGGAGGATGAGGAGGGAGCGCTCAGTAAGCACTCAATACACGACTCTGGAGGACGAGGAGGTGGCACTCAGTAAGCACTCAATACACGACTCTGGAGGATGAGGAGGTGGCGCTCAGTAAGCACTCAATACACGACTCTGGAGGATGAGGAGGGAGCGCTCAGTAAGCACTCAATACACGACTCAGGAGGATGAGGAGGGAGCGCTCAGTAAGCACTCAATACACGACTCTGGAGGACGAGGAGGTGGCACTCAGTAAGCACTCAATACACTACCCTGGAGGATGAGGAGGTGGCGCTCAGTAAGCACTCAATACACGACTCTGGAGGACAAGGAGGTGGCGCTCAGTAAGCACTCAATACACGACTCTGGAGGACAAGGAGGGAGCGCTCAGTAAGTTCTCAATACACGACTCTGGAGGACAAGGAGGGAGCGCTCAGTAAGCACTCAATACACGACTCTGGAGGACGAGGAGGTGGCGCTCAGTAAGTTCTCAATACACGACTCTGGAGGACAAGGAGGGAGCGCTCAGTAAGCACTCAATACACGACTCCGGAGGACAAGGAGGTGGCGCTCAGTAAGCACTCAATACACGACTCTGGAGGACAAGGAGGGAGCGCTCAGTAAGCTCTCAATACACGACTCTGGAGGACAAGGAGGTGGCGCTCAGTAAGCACTCAATACACGACTCCGGAGGACAAGGAGTGGCGCTCAGTAAGCACTCAATACACGACTCCGGAGGACAAGGAGGGAGCGCTCAGTAAGCACTCAATACACGACTCTGGAGGACGAGGAGGTGGGGGGATCTTCTCAATTCATCCTCCACGCATGAGGACTTGGATGTAGCCCTCTTTTTACAATCTCTTCACTACGCAGGACGACGAGTAAGTCGCCTTAATCTCCTTACTTCACATCCACCCTTCACCACCTGGAGTGATCAGCGATTTTACACTCTCTTCACGACTCTGGAGGATGAGGAGGTGGCGCTCAGTAAGCACTCAATACACGACTCTGGAGGACGAGGAGGGAGCGCTCAGTAAGCACTCAATACACGACTCTGGAGGACAAGGAGGTGGCGCTCAGTAAGCACTCAATACACGACTCAGGAGGACGAGGAGGTGGCGCTCAGTAAGCACTCAATACACGACTCTGGAGGACGAGGAGGGGGCGCTCAGTAAGCACTCAATACACGACTCCAGAGGACAAGGAGGGAGCGCTCAGTAAGCACTCAATACACGACTCTGGAGGACGAGGAGGTGGCACTCAGTAAGCACTCAATACACGACTCTGGAGGATGAGGAGGTGGCGCTCAGTAAGCACTCAATACACGACTCTGGAGGATGAGGAGGGAGCGCTCAGTAAGCACTCAATACACGACTCAGGAGGATGAGGAGGGAGCGCTCAGTAAGCACTCAATACACGACTCTGGAGGACGAGGAGGTGGCGCTCAGTAAGTTCTCAATACACGACTCTGGAGGACAAGGAGGGAGCGCTCAGTAAGCACTCAATACACGACTCCGGAGGACAAGGAGGTGGCGCTCAGTAAGCACTCAATACACGACTCTGGAGGACAAGGAGGGAGCGCTCAGTAAGCTCTCAATACACGACTCTGGAGGACAAGGAGGTGGCGCTCAGTAAGCACTCAATACACGACTCAGGAGGACGAGGAGGGAGCGCTCAGTAAGCACTCAATACACGACTCAGGCAATACACGACTCTGGAGGACGAGGAGGGAGCGCTCAGTAAGCACTCAATACACGACTCCGGAGGATGAGGAGGTGGCACTCAGTAAGCACTCAATACACGACTCAGGAGAACGAGGAGGGAGCGCTCAGTAAGCACTCAATACACGACTCAGGAGGATGAGGAGGGAGCGCTCAGTAAGCACTCAATACACGACTCTGGAGGACGAGGAGGTGGCGCTCAGTAAGCACTCAATACACGACTCTGGAGGACGAGGAGGGGGCGCTCAGTAAGCACTCAATACACGACTCAGGAGGACGAGGAGGGAGCGCTCAGTAAGCACTCAATACACGACTCAGGAGGACGAGGAGGGAGCGCTCAGTAAGCACTCAATACACGACTCCGGAGGATGAGGAGGTGGCACTCAGTAAGCACTCAATACACGACTCAGGAGGACGAGGAGGGAGCGCTCAGTAAGCACTCAATACACGACTCAGGAGGATGAGGAGGGAGCGCTCAGTAAGCACTCAATACACGACTCAGGAGGATGAGGAGGGAGCGCTCAGTAAGCACTCAATACACGACTCTGGAGGACGAGGAGGTGGCACTCAGTAAGCACTCAATACACGACTCTGGAGGACGAGGAGGTGGCGCTCAGTAAGCACTCAATGCACGACTCTGGAGGACGAGGAGGTGGCGCTCAGTAAGCACTCAATACACGACTCAGGAGGACAAGGAGGTGGCGCTCAGTAAGCACTCAATACACGACTCTGGAGGACAAGGAGGGAGCGCTCAGTAAGCACTCAATACACGACTTTGGAGGACAAGGAGGGAGTGCTCAGTAAGCTCTCAATACACGACTCTGGAGGACGAGGAGGGAGCGCTCAGTAAGCACTCAATACACGACTCAGGAGGACAAGGAGGGAGCGCTCAGTAAGCACTCAATACACGACTCTGGAGGACGAGGAGGTGGCGCTCAGTAAGCACTCAATACACGACTCAGGAGGATGAGGAGGGAGCGCTCAGTAAGCACTCAATACACGACTCTGGAGGACGAGGAGGTGGCGCTCAGTAAGCACTCAATATACGACTCCGGAGGACAAGGAGGGAGTGCTCAGTAAGCACTCAATACACGACTCTGGAGGACGAGGAGGTGGCACTCAGTAAGCACTCAATACACGACTCCGGAGGACAAGGAGGGAGCGCTCAGTAAGCACTCAATACACGACTCTGGAGGACGAGGAGGGGGCGCTCAGTAAGCACTCAATACACGACTCTGGAGGACGAGGAGGGAGCGCTCAGTAAGCACTCAATACACGACTCTGGAGGACGAGGAGGTGGCACTCAGTAAGCACTCAATACACGACTCTGGAGGATGAGGAGGTGGCGCTCAGTAAGCACTCAATACACGACTCTGGAGGATGAGGAGGGAGCGCTCAGTAAGCACTCAATACACGACTCAGGAGGATGAGGAGGGAGCGCTCAGTAAGCACTCAATACACGACTCTGGAGGACGAGGAGGGGGCGCTCAGTAAGCACTCAATACACGACTCCGGAGGACGATGAGGGAGCGCTCAGTAAGCACTCAATACACGACTCTGGAGGACAAGGAGGGAGCGCTCAGTAAGCACTCAATACACGACTCAGGAGGACGAGGAGGGAGCGCTCAGTAAGCACTCAATACACGACTTTGGAGGACGAGGAGGTGGCGCTCAGTAAGCACTCAATACACGACTCTGGAGGACGAGGAGGGAGCGCTCAGTAAGCACTCAATACACGACTCTGGAGGATGAGGAGGTGGCGCTCAGTAAGCACTCAATACACGACTCTGGAGGATGAGGAGGGAGCGCTCAGTAAGCACTCAATACACGACTCAGGAGGATGAGGAGGGAGCGCTCAGTAAGCACTCAATACACGACTCTGGAGGACGAGGAGGTGGCACTCAGTAAGCACTCAATACACTACCCTGGAGGATGAGGAGGTGGCGCTCAGTAAGCACTCAATACACGACTCTGGAGGACAAGGAGGTGGCGCTCAGTAAGCACTCAATACACGACTCTGGAGGACAAGGAGGGAGCGCTCAGTAAGTTCTCAATACACGACTCTGGAGGACAAGGAGGGAGCGCTCAGTAAGCACTCAATACACGACTCTGGAGGACAAGGAGGTGGCGCTCAGTAAGTTCTCAATACACGACTCTGGAGGACAAGGAGGGAGCGCTCAGTAAGCACTCAATACACGACTCCGGAGGACAAGGAGGTGGCGCTCAGTAAGCACTCAATACACGACTCTGGAGGACAAGGAGGGAGCGCTCAGTAAGCTCTCAATACACGACTCTGGAGGACGAGGAGGTGGCGCTCAGTAAGCACTCAATACACGACTCCGGAGGACAAGGAGGTGGCGCTCAGTAAGCACTCAATACACGACTCCGGAGGACAAGGAGGGAGCGCTCAGTAAGCACTCAATACACGACTCTGGAGGACGAGGAGGTGGCGCTCAGTAAGCACTCAATACACGACTCAGGAGGACAAGGAGGGAGCGCTCAGTAAGCACTCAATACACGACTCTGGAGGACGAGGAGGTGGCGCTCAGTAAGCACTCAATATACGACTCCGGAGGACAAGGAGGGAGTGCTCAGTAAGCACTCAATACACGACTCTGGAGGACAAGGAGGTGGCACTCAGTAAGCACTCAATACACGACTCCGGAGGACAAGGAGGGAGCGCTCAGTAAGTTCTCAATACACGACTCTGGAGGATGAGGAGGTGGCGCTCAGTAAGCACTCAATACACGACTCTGGAGGACAAGGAGGGAGCGCTCAGTAAGCACTCAATACACGACTTTGGAGGACGAGGAGGTGGCGCTCAGTAAGCACTCAATACACGACTCTGGAGGACGAGGAGGGAGCGCTCAGTAAGCACTCAATACACGACTCAGGAGGACAAGGAGGTGGCGCTCAGTAAGCACTCAATACACGACTCAGGAGGACGAGGAGGTGGCGCTCAGTAAGCACTCAATACACGACTCTGGAGGACGAGGAGGTAGCGCTCAGTAAGCACTCAATACACGACTCTGGAGGATGAGGAGGGAGCGCTCAGTAAGCACTCAATACACGACTCTGGAGGACAAGGAGGGAGCGCTCAGTAAGCACTCAATACACGACTCTGGAGGACGAGGAGGTGGCGCTCAGTAAGCACTCAATACACGACTCTGGAGGATGAGGAGGTGGCGCTCAGTAAGCACTCAATACACGACTCAGGAGGACAAGGAGGGAGCGCTCAGTAAGCACTCAATACACGACTCTGGAGGATGAGGAGGTGGCACTCAGTAAGCACTCAATACACGACTCAGGAGGATGAGGAGGTGGCACTCAGTAAGCACTCAATACACGACTCAGGAGGATGAGGAGGGAGCGCTCAGTAAGCACTCAATACACGACTCAGGAGGACGAGGAGGTGGCGCTCAGTAAGCACTCAATACACGACTCTGGAGGACGAGGAGGGGGCGCTCAGTAAGCACTCAATACACGACTCAGGAGGACGAGGAGGGAGCGCTCAGTAAGCACTCAATACACGACTCAGGAGGATGAGGAGGTGGCACTCAGTAAGCACTCAATACACGACTCAGGAGGACGAGGAGGGAGCGCTCAGTAAGCACTCAATACACGACTCAGGAGGACGAGGAGGGAGCGCTCAGTAAGCACTCAATACACGACTCAGGAGGATGAGGAGGTGGCACTCAGTAAGCACTCAATACACGACTCAGGAGGACGAGGAGGGAGCGCTCAGTAAGCACTCAATACACGACTCAGGAGGATGAGGAGGGAGCGCTCAGTAAGCACTCAATACACGACTCTGGAGGACGAGGAGGTGGCGCTCAGTAAGCACTCAATACACGACTCTGGAGGACGAGGAGGGGGCGCTCAGTAAGCACTCAATACACGACTCAGGAGGACGAGGAGGGAGCGCTCAGTAAGCACTCAATACACGACTCAGGAGGACGAGGAGGGAGCGCTCAGTAAGCACTCAATACACGACTCCGGAGGATGAGGAGGTGGCACTCAGTAAGCACTCAATACACGACTCAGGAGGACGAGGAGGGAGCGCTCAGTAAGCACTCAATACACGACTCAGGAGGATGAGGAGGGAGCGCTCAGTAAGCACTCAATACACGACTCAGGAGGATGAGGAGGGAGCGCTCAGTAAGCACTCAATACACGACTCTGGAGGACGAGGAGGTGGCACTCAGTAAGCACTCAATACACGACTCTGGAGGACGAGGAGGTGGCGCTCAGTAAGCACTCAATGCACGACTCTGGAGGACGAGGAGGTGGCGCTCAGTAAGCACTCAATACACGACTCAGGAGGACAAGGAGGTTCTGAAAACCTCGAATGCCTTCCTGAGGCCTCGGATTCACATTTAGAGCAAAACTGATCTGTCTCCATTTGGGGGGAATAGTTGTAAAAAAAGAGTCACAGAGACTCCGTCTCAAAAAAAAAACAGAAACGTCACATTTAACAAAGACACACGCCCCATTCCAACACACATACATTCACTTTGCCAAAGTCCAGTCACCTAAAAAAGGGAAGAAGGAAAGACAAAATAAGCAGTGAAAAAACAGAATCCGGAGACAAGAGGGGGAGAGCTCAGTAAGCGCATCAATAACAACTCAAGAGAGGATGAAGAGATACGCTCAGTAAAAACATCAATACACGACTCTGGAGGACAAGGAGGGAGCGCTCAGTAAGCACTCAATACACGACTTTGGAGGACGAGGAGGTGGCGCTCAGTAAGCACTCAATACACGACTCTGGAGGACGAGGAGGGAGCGCTCAGTAAGCACTCAATACACGACTCAGGAGGACAAGGAGGTGGCGCTCAGTAAGCACTCAATACACGACTCAGGAGGACGAGGAGGTGGCGCTCAGTAAGCACTCAATACACGACTCTGGAGGACGAGGAGGGGGCGCTCAGTAAGCACTCAATACACGACTCCAGAGGACAAGGAGGGAGCGCTCAGTAAGCACTCAATACACGACTCTGGAGGACAAGGAGGGAGCGCTCAGTAAGCACTCAATACACGACTCAGGAGGACGAGGAGGGAGCGCTCAGTAAGCACTCAATACACGACTCAGGAGGATGAGGAGGGAGCGCTCAGTAAGCACTCAATACTCGACTCAGGAGGATGAGGAGGCAGCGCTCAGTAAGCACTCAATACACGACTCTGGAGGACGAGGAGGTGGCACTCAGTAAGCACTCAATACACTACCCTGGAGGACGAGGAGGTGGCGCTCAGTAAGCACTCAATGCACGACTCTGGAGGACGAGGAGGTGGCGCTCAGTAAGCACTCAATACACGACTCAGGAGGACAAGGAGGTTCTGAAAACCTCGAATGCCTTCCTGAGGCCTCGGATTCACATTTAGAGCAAAACTGATCTGTCTCCATTTGGGGGGAATAGTTGTAAAAAAAGAGTCACAGAGACTCCGTCTCAAAAAAAAAACAGAAACGTCACATTTAACAAAGACACACGCCCCATTCCAACACACATACATTCACTTTGCCAAAGTCCAATCACAGATGCCCAGGAGTTTCAAGCTGCAATTATCCCGAAGAAAGAACACAGCCCATGAGCATCACTACTGTGCCATCACCTGGCAAAGGTCCGTCAATACACGACTCTGGAGGACAAGGAGGGAGCGCTCAGTAAGTTCTCAATACACGACTCTGGAGGACAAGGAGGGAGCGCTCAGTAAGCACTCAATACACGACTCTGGAGGACGAGGAGGTGGCGCTCAGTAAGTTCTCAATACACGACTCTGGAGGACAAGGAGGGAGCGCTCAGTAAGCACTCAATACACGACTCCGGAGGACAAGGAGGTGGCGCTCAGTAAGCACTCAATACACGACTCTGGAGGACAAGGAGGGAGCGCTCAGTAAGCTCTCAATACACGACTCTGGAGGACAAGGAGGTGGCGCTCAGTAAGCACTCAATACACGACTCCGGAGGACAAGGAGTGGCGCTCAGTAAGCACTCAATACACGACTCCGGAGGACAAGGAGGGAGCGCTCAGTAAGCACTCAATACACGACTCTGGAGGACGAGGAGGTGGCGCTCAGTAAGCACTCAATACACGACTCAGGAGGACAAGGAGGGAGCGCTCAGTAAGCACTCAATACACGACTCTGGAGGACGAGGAGGTGGCGCTCAGTAAGCACTCAATACACGACTCAGGAGGATGAGGAGGGAGCGCTCAGTAAGCACTCAATACACGACTCTGGAGGACGAGGAGGTGGCACTCAGTAAGCACTCAATACACTACCCTGGAGGATGAGGCTCAGTAAGCACTCAATACACGACTCAGGAGAACGAGGAGGGAGCGCTCAGTAAGCACTCAATACACGACTCAGGAGGATGAGGAGGGAGCGCTCAGTAAGCACTCAATACACGACTCTGGAGGACGAGGAGGTGGCGCTCAGTAAGCACTCAATACACGACTCTGGAGGACGAGGAGGGGGCGCTCAGTAAGCACTCAATACACGACTCAGGAGGATGACGAGGGAGCGCTCAGTAAGCACTCAATACACGACTCAGGAGGACGAGGAGGGAGCGCTCAGTAAGCACTCAATACACGACTCAGGAGGATGAGGAGGTGGCACTCAGTAAGCACTCAATACACGACTCAGGAGGACGAGGAGGGAGCGCTCAGTAAGCACTCAATACACGACTCAGGAGGATGAGGAGGGAGCGCTCAGTAAGCACTCAATACACGACTCTGGAGGACGAGGAGGTGGCACTCAGTAAGCACTCAATACACTACCCTGGAGGATGAGGAGGTGGCGCTCAGTAAGCACTCAATACACGACTCTGGAGGACAAGGAGGTGGCGCTCAGTAAGCACTCAATACAGGACTCCGGAGGACATAGGAGGGAGCGCTCAGTAAGTTCTCAATACATGACTCCAGAGGACAAGGAGGTGGTGCTCAGTAAGCACTCAATACACGACTCTGGAGGATGAGGAGGTGGCGCTCAGTAAGCACTCAATACACGACCCCGGAGGATGAGGAGGTGGCGCTCAGTAAGCACTCAATACACGACTCTGGAGGACAAGGAGGGAGCGCTCAGTAAGCACTCAATACACGACTCTGGAGGATGAGGAGGTGGCGCTCAGTAAGCACTCAATACACGACTCCGGAGGACAAGGAGGGAGCGCTCAGTAAGCACTCAATACACGACTCTGGAGGATGAGGAGGTGGCGCTCAGTAAGCACTCAATACACGACTCTGGAGGACAAGGAGGGAGCGCTCAGTAAGCACTCAATACACGACTCTGGAGGATGAGGAGGTGGCGCTCAGTAAGCACTCAATACACGACTCCGGAGGACAAGGAGGTGGCGCTCAGTAAGCACTCAATACACGACTCTGGAGGACGAGGAGGGAGCGCTCAGTAAGCTCTCAATACACGACTCCAGAGGACAAGGAGGGAGCGCTCAGTAAGCACTCAATACACGACTCCGGAGGACAAGGAGTGGCGCTCAGTAAGCACTCAATACACGACTCCGGAGGACAAGGAGGGAGCGCTCAGTAAGCACTCAATACACGACTCTGGAGGACGAGGAGGTGGCGCTCAGTAAGCACTCAATACACGACTCAGGAGGACAAGGAGGGAGCGCTCAGTAAGCACTCAATACACGACTCTGGAGGACGAGGAGGTGGCGCTCAGTAAGCACTCAATATACGACTCCGGAGGACAAGGAGGGAGTGCTCAGTAAGCACTCAATACACGACTCTGGAGGACAAGGAGGTGGCACTCAGTAAGCACTCAATACACGACTCCGGAGGACAAGGAGGGAGCGCTCAGTAAGTTCTCAATACACGACTCTGGAGGATGAGGAGGTGGCGCTCAGTAAGCACTCAATACACGACTCTGGAGGACAAGGAGGGAGCGCTCAGTAAGCACTCAATACACGACTTTGGAGGACGAGGAGGTGGCGCTCAGTAAGCACTCAATACACGACTCTGGAGGACGAGGAGGGAGCGCTCAGTAAGCACTCAATACACGACTCAGGAGGACAAGGAGGTGGCGCTCAGTAAGCACTCAATACACGACTCAGGAGGACGAGGAGGTGGCGCTCAGTAAGCACTCAATACACGACTCTGGAGGACGAGGAGGGGGCGCTCAGTAAGCACTCAATACACGACTCCAGAGGACAAGGAGGGAGCGCTCAGTAAGCACTCAATACACGACTCTGGAGGACAAGGAGGGAGCGCTCAGTAAGCACTCAATACACGACTCAGGAGGACGAGGAGGGAGCGCTCAGTAAGCACTCAATACACGACTCAGGAGGATGAGGAGGGAGCGCTCAGTAAGCACTCAATACACGACTCTGGAGGACGAGGAGGTGGCGCTCAGTAAGCACTCAATACACGACTCTGGAGGACGAGGAGGGGGCGCTCAGTAAGCACTCAATACACGACTCAGGAGGACGAGGAGGGAGCGCTCAGTAAGCACTCAATACACGACTCTGGAGGACGAGGAGGGGGCGCTCAGTAAGCACTCAATACACGACTCAGGAGGACGAGGAGGGAGCGCTCAGTAAGCACTCAATACACGACTCAGGAGGACGAGGAGGGAGCGCTCAGTAAGCACTCAATACACGACTCCGGAAGACAAGGAGGTGGCGCTCAGTAAGCACTCAATACACGACTCAGGAGGACGAGGAGGGAGCGCTCAGTAAGCACTCAATACACGACTCAGGAGGATGAGGAGGGAGCGCTCAGTAAGCACTCAATACACGACTCAGGAGGATGAGGAGGGAGCGCTCAGTAAGCACTCAATACACGACTCTGGAGGACGAGGAGGTGGCACTCAGTAAGCACTCAATACACGACTCTGGAGGACGAGGAGGTGGCGCTCAGTAAGCACTCAATGCACGACTCTGGAGGACGAGGAGGTGGCGCTCAGTAAGCACTCAATACACGACTCAGGAGGACAAGGAGGGAGCGCTCAGTAAGCACTCAATACACGACTCTGGAGGACGAGGAGGGGGCGCTCAGTAAGCACTCAATACACGACTCCGGAGGACGATGAGGGAGCGCTCAGTAAGCACTCAATACACGACTCTGGAGGACAAGGAGGGAGCGCTCAGTAAGCACTCAATACACGACTCAGGAGGACGAGGAGGGAGCGCTCAGTAAGCACTCAATACACGACTCTGGAGGACGAGGAGGTGGCACTCAGTAAGCACTCAATACACGACTCTGGAGGACGAGGAGGTGGCGCTCAGTAAGCACTCAATGCACGACTCTGGAGGACGAGGAGGTGGCGCTCAGTAAGCACTCAATACACGACTCAGGAGGACAAGGAGGTTCTGAAAACCTCGAATGCCTTCCTGAGGCCTCGGATTCACATTTAGAGCAAAACTGATCTGTCTCCATTTGGGGGGAATAGTTGTAAAAAAAGAGTCACAGAGACTCCGTCTCAAAAAAAAAACAGAAACGTCACATTTAACAAAGACACACGCCCCATTCCAACACACATACATTCACTTTGCCAAAGTCCAATCACAGATGCCCAGGAGTTTCAAGCTGCAATTATCCCGAAGAAAGAACACAGCCCATGAGCATCACTACTGTGCCATCACCTGGCAAAGGTCTGGCACTTCCACTGAAACGCAGATGTGCTGACCCAGGCCTGGCCCAGTCCCCAGAGATGCATGGAGGCCCAGGCCCACGGGACTCCCCACGGGTTTCCACACCATGTAGGGTCACAGTTAAAATGCAAAGTTAATATGATAACAAGCAGAGTCTATTTTGGGCCTTTTCGGACAAGGTCTATTTGCTTTCACTTAGTTGCATTCTCACACTCGGCAATGAGGCACAGCAGGACAATGGCACTTAGAAGGACCACGCGGCGTCCAAGTCAGCGGAACGGGTTTGCCTCCCATTAGCAAGTCAGGCCGACGGGGGCCACAGGTTTTCCCCGAGTGCCGCGAGTTGATGGGAAGAAAGGGAAGCCCTCCCCGTGGGAGTGCAGGTAACGGGTAACCCTGCACCTCGACCCTGGATCCAGATGGCGCCTCAACCCAGGATCTGGACTGCGCCTCGACCTGGGATCTGGACTCATGGAGGAATGACTCATCCTCACGTCCACTTCAAGGCCGCCCCGTCCATAATCTGGGTGTTCCAATGGCACCCGAGCCTGGAACTCAGGGGTCTTGTTTTCTAGGCCCACCCCAGCCTCTGAAAAATTAGAGATGTAGATAAGGCAATTCAAACAGTTCTTCATGCTCTCAGTCCTATGACCTGGGTTTTCTGAAAGATCCTACAGCATCGCAACAAGGGGATAGATAAGGCGATTCAAACAGTTCTTCACGCTCTCAGTCCTACGACCTGGTTTTCTGAAAGATCCTACAGCATCACAACAATGGGTTATTTTGTCACAGACACCGACGGCTCCTCCATGGCCCCTTGTTGGTTGTCCAAGGTGGACGCACAAGCGTTCAGGAGGGGAAGACACATACTCGGGTCTTGGAGATGCAGCAACACATTTGCTGCTTCCGCTTAATGAAATGACCTCTTCTAAGGATAAACTGGCTTGAGAAAGGGTGTTTTCTTCAAACTAGGAAAAATAAATTATTTGCACCAAAGTGAGCTCCTTAAATACTGGAGTGAAATCAAGAACAGAAAACACATCGCCAGGCCCTCTGCCCTCTAAACCTTTTATGAACCCATCTCCTCTTCTAGAGCAGTCCCCTGCCCAGCCCCTTCCTGGACTCTGCATGGGGCCAGCTCTGTGAGGCATCCATGGTGGAACATGTGCTGGTAGCGCTCCAACTGATAAAAACACCAATCTTACTCTCATTACGTGGGGCCAAAACCCCAGCTATTATCATTTTTCATCATCCCTCACTTTGCTTGGCACTGAGTCACCCCTTCCTGACATCCCATTTGCAGCCACAGCCTGGTGTCCCTGGATAAGCCGCGTGCCTCTGCACAGATCCGATCTGGCCTCTGAATGGGGCATCCAGACTCATGGGTACTGCCAGGTCGTTCTGCAGGGTACCCCAAAACCCCTACCTCAGGCCGTTTGCTTTCTTGTTGCAAATCCTTGAATGCCCCATTGCCTAGTTTGGAAGCTCGTAATGTCTAGCCTTGGATTCAACATCCTGCACAATGTCCCCATGGGAACTTCTGAGTTAATCTTTCCAATTCCCATCTAGCCAACCGGGGTCTCATTATCCCCAGACATTTCTGCCTCCAAAGCTTCTTCCTACTCTTGGAACGTCTTCTTTCTTCTGACTTAGTCCAACTCATTTTCAAGGTCCTGTTGTATTCACCCAAGGCACGTGTTCCAGATGACCCCACATGGGGGGTTCAGCTGCTGCCCCTTCGTCCTGCCAGCACAGACCCTGGGTCTTTCTGATTTCAGTGCTGCCATGCTGACTGTGTTTAATTTGGCTTCTGAGGTTGCTGCCTGCCTTGCCATTTTATGAGGACGGTGATGCTGCCTTGTAATTCTTTATGACTCTTGCACACAGCACAGTGTGTTTGCATTCGCTATGGGCTCGCTCTGTGGATAAGAGACTTGAAAAATGGTTTTGTAACAGAGGGTTGAGCTGAAATCCACCTGCAGTATTCTCAGGCAGAGCCCTCCGCCAAATGAAAAGATCCTCCCTCACCACCAGCACCCAACAAGAGACTCAGATCAGAGCTTGGCGGCTCAATGGAGGTGAGAGGTGGACGGGACTGCAGTTAAAGGGCAGAAGTCCAGTCCTCAAGCAGGCAAGGGAGGCGGCACGCAGAGACCAGAGGCCCGCAAGCATACAGGAGCACACAGCTCGACAGATTGTCATTTTCTAATTGCAGTGCAGTACACAGAGGTCCCAGAATGGACAGGAAGGGCTTGTAGGTGGGCCTGGAACTAACCCTGATGTTCTGAGTTCATGGCCATCTGTTTCATTTTATGCATACAAAAAACTTACTCCAGCAAAAGGAAGAAAATGAAAAAAAAAGTATTATTTTAATAAACGGAGTTTTAAAAGGTCATACATAAGAGTTTGTAAAGATACAAGCACACCACAGCGTTGTGTAGGTGACAGACACATTTCTGCGCCTTCTGGAGAAGCCCAGATGAGAGGCTCCCATCTGGTTTTCACCAACATGATTACTATGGCAGAGATCATTCCAGAGTCGTTTGGTTTACATCTGGAGAGCTCAGAGAGTGCCTCGATTTAGTTACTGATTTTTGGAAGAGCTTCTCCTCTAAGCCTGATACTCCACCAGGGCCCTGTGATCTCCATCAACGGATGAAATGTCAGCCTGTTAAGTTTTTCCTGCCTGGAAGCATTTCCAGGCAACATCCATCCAGACACACTCCGTGGGTGCAGACGAGAGCCTGCGGTTGCTCCTGTTCACGTGTGAGGGAGAGCTGTCTGTGCCGGAGCTGGGTGCTCCGCGGCCCCTCTCTGTGGGACGCCTGCTAGCTGTTTTTCAGCAATCACTGTTGTCTTCCAATTTTCATGAAAAGGCAGATCTGGGTCTGGGGCAGATCTGGGTCTGCGTTGGATCCTTGCAGGGAAGGCTCGCTCTGGGTCTCCGCCCGGGGTTGTACCTGTAGGTCCCCAGCTGCTCCACGGCCACCTAAGAGGAAGTCTGGAAAACAGC